>NC_000008.11:21678284-21981314 GCF_000001405.40 Homo sapiens | reverse complement strand
ATCATTCAGCACAACTAACCGATAGTTAGCAAAGTTATACAAATGTTTCATATATTTATATCACTTACTGTAATTTATTCATATAGTAGTATTTATATGATATAGCAAATATTACAGCTATTTTAAAATCTATTCTACCAGTATATTTAATTGTAAGTTTCCTGATATGTCTTCTTCTGTTAGCATATGTGGGCTAAGACTTTGTTTTGTTCACCCGTGTATCCCTGGCACAGAGTAGGTATTCAATGTAATTTGTTGAATGAATAAATGAATTTTAAAAAGAGGGACAAAACTGAGTATATTTTGAAATAAACTGCTTTTTAATTTTCTTCTAGTATAGAGAAGTGATACTTTCAAAAAAATACTGAATCACTGGGACTTCAAAAGACAAAAAGGGCAATCGAGTTATGAAATTAACGTTTGAAAGAAGTATCTTCCTTCCCACCTAAAAGCAGCCCTATATACTTAGGTTACCGATAAACATTTTTTAAAAATGGTAAACAAAATCAAAAACCAAATGTTAGTTTTTTTTTTTTTTTTGAGACGGAGTCTTACTCTGTCGCCCAAGCTGGAGTGCAATGGCATGATCTCGGCTCACTGCAACTTCTGCCTCCCGGGTTCAAGCGATTCTCCTGCCTCAGCCTCCCGAGTAGCTGGGATTACAGGCACGTGCCACCATGGCCGGCTAATTTTTTTTGTAGTTTTAGTAGAGACAGGGTTTCACTATGTTGGCCAGGCTGGTCTTGAGCTCCTGACCTCAAGTGATCTGCCCACCTTGGCCTCCCAAACTGTTGGGATTACAGGCGTGAGCCTCTGTGCCCGGAGATGTTAGAGTCTTAACTTCTTGGGGGGAAAAATGACTAGCTTCTTCCTTATTTCCTTATAGCGAAGTGATTCTTTCCTGTAACTCCTACATTTCTGAAGCGGGAGGATATAAGCTCCTCTTTTGGGCAAATAATCTCAGAATTGGCCTACAAATAGAGATTCACTTCAGTCTTCCCTGAAGAACAGACTGAATTGTTTACTGGGCCTTGGGATGGATTTCCTTCTGACTCATAACAGCTGGCCATACACTAATCCTATACATATGTAAATTCTCAGATAAACTTACCTGTGGGTTTTCCAGTATTCGTTTAACACCATCAACAAGATGAGAGAGAAACTTGGCCCTCTCTGCATTGTTAAACAGGGATCTTCTGACTGAAGCGATCTGTACCAAGCAGGATAATACCTAAATGCAGGGCAGAACCCAAACACAACGATTAAAAAGACTGTACAGTTACTTTCACCAGAAACGTTCCACCTCCTACAATATCCTTCTTTAGGATATCTGAAGCAACATTATTTTAAAAAGAGAAAAGAAAAGAACATAGATCCAAGCAGACCACGGCAGCCCATTAAATTCAGTTTGGAAATTCCCTTAGGTACAAATTCCTTTGACCACTCCAATGGCATCTTTGTTCTTGCTGAGATACGTTATTTCACCCTTAAAAATATCGAGCAATTTATACTTTAAAGTTTTAGATTTAGTTTTCTTGGCTAATCTGAGTTTGACATGTAGATGTTATGTGCTTATGTCATTACATGCTATAAAGAAATAAGCGTATCGGCCGGGTGTGGTGGCTCACGCCTGTAATCCCAGCACTCTGGGAGGCTGAGGCAGGCAGATCACGAGGTCAGGAATTTGAGACCAGCCTGGCAAACATAGTGAAACCTCATCTCTACCAAAAATACAAAAAATTAGCTGGGCGTGGTGGCAGGCACGTGTAATCCCAGGTACTTGGGAGGCTGAGGGAGGAGAATCGCTTGAAGCTGGGAGGCGGAGGCTGCAGTGAGCCGAGATCGCGCCACTGCACTCCAGCCCGGGCAACAGTGAGAGACTCCGTCTCAAAAACAAAAAAAAACGAAAAAAAAAAAGAAAAAAAAAAGAAATAAGCATATCACATCTGGGCCCTAAAAAAGCCAGCTTTGGCCAGGTGTGGTGGCTCACGCCCGTAATCCCAGCACTTTGGGAGGCTGAAACAGGCAGATCACCTGAGGTCGGGAGTTTGAGACCAGCCTGACCAACATGGAGAAACCCTGTCTCTACTGAAAATATAAAATTAGCCGGGCGTGGTGGCTCATGCCTGTAATTCCAGCTACTCAGGAGGCTGAGGCAGGAGAATCGCTTGAACCCATGGGTAGTGCCATTCCACTCTAGCATGGGCAACAAGATCAAAACTCTGCCTCAAACAAACAAACAAAAAAACACAACCCAGCTTTATCCCTGAAGACATTTCCCTCTGTTCCCACTGTGTTAGATATTTACATTCTCTGTTTGCCCCCTCTAGATCTGCTTTCGACCCTTTTCCACCCTGCCCTATTCCCTAGGAGGCTGACCTCTGTTGAGGAGAGCAGCCAAGCTCCCTTGCCCTCTGGCTTCTAGTTGGCTTCAACCAATGGAAAGTACCAGCAGGAGATTAGAGGGCAGAGGGAACAGGGTACCCCTCTTCCGACCATCCAGCTGGCTATGCAGTGGCAGAGTTTCTCTAGTGATGGCTGTAGTTCTTGTTGTCCAGCCCTCCTCTAAGACACAGCTTCAACTCTCTCCAGGTTTCCTTCACTTGCCCTTTGAGGCTCCCCACTACTGCCAGCCCCAGGGGCATGCACCACCACCCCGTGCTGGTGTCCCTTAATTTTACCCATACCTTTGCAAGTAGTACTCTCTTAATCATCCCTCTTGACTGTGCTACCTTTTCTTGCAGTAACCTTAACGATACACCCGACAACACTGAAATCATGTTTCAGCGAACACAAAGGTCTACATTAATTTGGAGAAGTGCTACAATGGCCAGAAAAGTCCTCTACTGAACAAACACTATGCACACCACTCATTACTTCACTGTGTCTTCTTTATATATTTTGTGTATAACACCAACCGGTAATTTACACCAACAATCTGAAATACCAGACCAATAGTATTTTAGAACGTGAATGAATTTTGAGGTTTTAGGTTAATTATGGCTTTAAAAGAGAAATACACCATTCCCAATAGCTTTCAAATGTTATTCAGGGTAAGTATGCAAATTAGCCTTCTCATCACAGTTTCCATTTATGACAATCTAATGTACACCTAAGGGGTTTTCTGAGTCAGGACAATCTTAATAGTTCAACTAGACAGTATTAGGTGAATCCCCAGGTGCTAGCCTGTGGCCGTTTGAGGAACAGCATAAAGTCAGATACACGATGAGACCCAAAAGAGCTTGACCATCTGCAGGAATTGGCCTTTAGACAGGAATAATTTAAAAATAATTAAGACTTTATGGCTGGAACCTTTAGGCTACAAGCTTAATCTCAAAAGACTAGATAACTAGCCTAGTATTTCTATGCTTTACTTGTATAATTTTATAAAACAAAACGAATATAAGGTTCATTCACCATTGCTATCTTCTATGAATAGGTTTGCTTTAAGAAACGGTAGTCCTGACTCACCAGAGGTGAAAATGAAGGAGGGATGGAATGATACAGGTCAAAAAACAGCTGCAAGGTTGAAGAATCTAAGAAGGCTGGGGAAGAAAAAGACAAAAGACATCACTTTATTAAGTATGAACATTGCCGCTGGCATACTTCCAGCACTATACATCAGGGAGCACATCCTTCTGCCTACTTATCTTACAGAGTATTTATTTCCTTTGGAAGTGATAAGCAAATAGGGGCTTTTTGGTTTCCCTTTTTCTTTTCTCTTTTTTTTGAGACGGAGTCTCCCTCTGTAGCCCAGGCTGGAGTGCAATGGCGAGATCTCGGCTCACTGCAACCTTTGCCTCCCAGGTCCCGGTTTAAAGGATTCTCCTGCCTCAGCCTCCAGAGTAGCTGGGATTACAGGCACGTGCCACCATGCCCAGCTAATTTTTGTATTTTTAGTAGAGACGGGGTTTCACCATGTTCGCCAGGCTGGTCTTGAACTCCTGACATAGTGATCTGCCTGCCTCGGCCTCCCAAAGTGCTGGGATTACAGGCGTGAGCCACCACGCCCGGCCTCTTTTCTTTTTTTGAAAGTACTATTTTAGCTTCTCTAAGAAACAGATTTCTTCTTTCAATTCTCTGAGAACTTAACCTGAACACCTCTGTCCATAAAAAGAATTTAAAACTTTTATCCTTCTGGAATACAAAGGCAAACATAAGAACAAGTTGTTGTGTTTGATTTTGTTTTTAAAGATAGTTATTACCCTAAATAGATTACAGAAGTCTCTAGGCAATTAATGCAAAAAGGTGAAATACATATCTATTATTAATCGGCAATTTTAAAAGTTCTTTGACACTGGGGGATCTATGAGATTACTCCAACAACCTCCCCAACATTATAAAATAGATGTTACTGGCTGGGCACAGTGGCTCACACCTGTAGTCCCAGCACTCTGGGAGGCCAAGATAGGAGAATCACTTGAACCCAGGAGTTCAAGACTAGCTTGGGCAACATTGTTAGACCCCACTTCTACAAAACATAAACAAACAAAATTAGCCGGGTGTGGTGGCATGTGCCTGTAGTTCCAGATACTTGGGAGGCTGAGATGGGAAGACTGCTTGAGTCCAGGAGGTTGAGGATGCACTGAGCTGTGATCGTGCCACTGCACTCCAGCCTGGGTGACAGAGTGAGACCCTGTCTTTAAAAAACAAACAAACAAAAAAAGACGTTAGAATTTTTTCTCAATTCTCCCTCAGAATACACAGGAGTTGCCAGGAGTTCTTTAGATCATTCTACAGACACTCTGTAGGGGAGTGACAGACAGCCTTTGAGGTGGAGGAAGTTCTGTTACCTGATCTCCAGCTGGTGGGAATCTGCACTGTACACAGGTCGTCTGAGGACTCATCAGTGGAAGTGCCGATGAAGTCAAAGTTGAGGCAGTTATGAGTGAGCTTGAGCAGTTGCATGAGCAAGCCATGCTGACTTTCATCATTCAAGTTTAGATTCTTTCCTGAAGCCTGTAAAAATTACCACATAATGAGTCCCCAAAATCACTCCTCTCTTCCCAGCTTGCTCCCAGACTCAACAAAGCTGTTAAGTCAGAAAAGGAGGGCTATATGTTAGCACAGTAAAATGTCCCCTTCTCTCCAAAGATGTGGTACTTCTATCACCTGTGACTATGAAAATACCTAGCTCCTTATATACTATTAAAACATATTTACTATAAAAACATGAAGTTGGTATTTAAAGAAAGCCCTGTTTTAACACTTACTATACTCCTCACACAATGTAGACATAATGGTCACAGAGAATTCTGAAGCAATATGGCTCCTGTGGTCATTTTATTGGCATGTGAGATCTTAGTTATTTCTAGACAGGGCTGGGATTAAACTCTGGAGGGAGCTCTGAGGATGCTTAACACCCTGCCCTACTTTCTTTCCTCGTTTTTACAACCACCATCACCAAAAATCTCTCAAACCAGAATTAAAATCATCAGTGAATTTTATTTACTCATTGCAATGTACCTGCAGACTACAGGTGAGTACTGGCCATAGCTACTGTGCCTGTCCCATTCCAAGGTTATACCAGCTGAGCCTCCGTGACTGGCTGGCTAATTATTTGTTCCTGATGGTATCAGTAAGGAGGATTCAATCCTTAGTTTTCTCAAAAGCTTTTCCCCTCCAGCGGGTGCAACAGCTTTTGCTAGGCAGCTTTGCTTAACCTGAGGATTATTTGGGAATTCTAAGGTAAAACTAAGTAATTGAGGAAAAAGATGAATATCGTTAACTGGAATAACAGAAAGAATACAAACTGGCTTCCAAAACTAAAATTGGGAAATGTTGGAAAATAAGAACAAAACCACAAAAATGAACAAAAAACCAGAGGCTAACCCTATTTAGCTTTCTTAGGGATAAAGCATCCGAGCTGTGTTACAACTGTGTGGAACTCCCAGCTTAACACTTCTTTCTTAGTTCAGCTCTATCAATAAATGAATTGAAAACACCAACTTTCGATTTTAACACAGGTAATTTCCTTATGTGATACTGTCTACTCCTCCAGGTTATTAAATCTAAATGGATGTTAAAAATTCAAAATCTACTTTTCCTTACAGATGTTACTTGTTTATGTGCTGCTTTTAACTCAGCGGGGGACAGGGGAACCAGCCTGGTTTCTGTATGCTAACAACATAGTCTGAACCTACTTTCAGAGCACTAAGAATCCAAACACCATAAAACTAACATGCTTTCGCACCATATAGAAAGATTTTATGTGGTTATAAAAACAATAACAACACAACTTCAAACTCTGAGTTAGGTAAACTAGATCCCTTTAAGATAGGAGTATGGGATAAATGCTCACTTACTGCTCTTTACCTAGGGGAATTGAGCTTAAACAGGGAAGTGACAATCATTTCTCCAACCTCAGTGGTCACTCTGACCAGTTTCTTCAACGCCTCTATGAGTCTTATATAAGAGATGATGATTAAACAGATGCATAAACTCTCGTGGGATCAGTTAAAAGCTGACATTTAACAAGTTCCCATCCATTCTCATTCTTTCAAAAGAAACTGGGAAATATGACCCAAACTACATGCTCACCTGTTTTAGTAAATTGCAGGAAAGTGTGAAGATATCAAATAATGATGAATCGCGAAAAGAAGAGGCTATTTTTCTGTGCTTGGTTAAAGGATGGGTGGTGTCTGCCTGTGCAGAAAAAGAAGAAACCAATGCAAAGAATTAATTGCAAAAAAAGAATTTTTCATGTAGACTTCCTATAAGCTAGAAGGATTTCCAGTAAGAGCAACATAAACATAAAATACATTTTTAACATTTAAATTATTGTGAAACGCTATCTAGTGAAAGGATGGAGGATAGTAAACTGCTAATAGCCAGGGTATCCTTTCTCTCTAGCTTACAGAGGGAAAACAAAAGGATGGATAATCTCTGCTGCAAATTCTTATTTTCCTCTGTATTCAGGGAGGTAAAACTTAAATTGTTGGCAGACGTTACTGATAATTACTTTCATGTTGTACTGTGGCTTAATGGGCCAGGCGTGGTGACTCACCTCTGTAATTCTAGAACTTTGGGAGGTTGAGGCAGGAGGATCATTTGAGCCCAGAAGCAGACACAGTGAGACCCCCCACCACCTCTAAAAACTAAAAAAAATAAAAATAAAAAAATAAAAAAATCGGTGTGGTGGTGCATGCCTGTAAGTCCTAGCTACTCAGGAGGGCCTGGAGCCCAGGCATTCGTGGCTGCACTGCACTCCAGCCTGGGCAGCAGAGTCTCTTAAACACCCACAGACAGAGTAACAACTCTTTGATTTCAGTAAGCAAAACTCAAAACAAAAACAAAAACAAAAAAAACCCTCAACGCTGAAGTTACTGCAGAATTTACAAATGACAACAGCCCATAATATTCACCTCCTTTTCTAACCTATTTCAACATATTCTCTATACCCCAGAAGTGAAAACTTAATTTAAGTAGTTGTATTGGTCTTTGACTTTCCCTGTTCTTGTCTTTTCAGCTAAATTTATGTTTTTGTGGTTAAGAACTAAATCTTTTACTTCTTTAGTATGCTCCCAGTCCTAACACACAGTAGGCATTCAATATGTGGAATAAAATAACTTCAAAGTTGTCAGGAGTATTTTCAGTCTAACCATGTACTGAAAGCTTAAATCTCTTCTGTTTACTGATCAATTCATCCAAGAGGAGACTCATTTTGTTTTTTCCACATTAAAGTGTAAGGCAGCAAGATTACTGACAATCAAGTCTTCTTAATTTTATTTCTAGGTTCTAAGTAAGAATAGTGACAGAAATATACTTTCTTTTTTGAATCTGACAATCACAAAACAATGGAAAATTCAAATTATTTAGAGGCTCAAAATATTCTCCAATTCTTGCTTCTGTCATTGTGTTATCATGTGTCTTAGATAATAAAGGTCTTGCTAGATTATGTATCATACAATCTGTTATATTGATCATAACACAGAGAATGATTACACACTAAATGCTACACAAAATTTCATCACTTTCTTAGAAAAGTAAAATCTTGAAGTTTTTTATTATACATATATCAAAATTTATGTACTCTGTGGGGCCAAGCTTCAAAGGGGAAAACATTAAGTCCACAATCTCTATCCTTAGTTAATGCATCTGCTCTTCTGCTGCAAAGATAAGAGTGGTTAAATAGTACATTAGTTGTTAAGAACACAGGCCCTAGAATAAGACTATTTGGGTTTGAATCACATCTGTTGCTTGTGAAACCTTAGGCAAATGATTTCATCTTTATGGGCCTCAGTTTCCTGATCCAGAAAATGGGATAAACACAGTACCTACCTCATATGACTGTTCTGAGAATAAAATTAGTTACTATAAAGTGCTTAGAATGGTGGTAACAGTAATCACTCAAAAGTGTAAGCTGTTATTATTTTGGTAATTACTGATCACAACGGGGATTGCATGTGGCAAGAAAACACAACATGGACTCCCAATTTTCACAGGCTCTAAGCTAACACATTTGAAATAGGACCAACTCACAGTTAAGATTTCTCAGGGTTAATAAAAATGTCTGCAGAATTATGAGCAATAGCAACAGTAATGCTGATATCATTAATATGCTTCCAACTTAAGGGTGAGATGTTATAGCTAATATTGATAAGGGCCTGTTCTATAATCACAAATTTTTAGCTGGATAAAAAAGTAAATGACTAAAATATAGCCAGGACAAAAGAAAGCCACTGGTGTTTCCTCTGTAGTATTCTGTGGCATCAATGACCATTTAAAAAATTTAAAGTATATAGGAGCAGAAGGGGCACACAAAAGGTCGACCTTTATGGTCTCTTTTTTGAAGTCATTCTCCTTCATGGGCAAGGCAGTAGTATTTTGCTTTTTTTGAGATGGAGTTTCGCTCTTGTTGCCCAAGCTGGAGTGCAACAGCGCGATCTTGGCTCGCTGCAACCTCCACCTCCCGGGTTCAAGCGATTCTCCTGCCTGTCTCCCAAGTCGCTGGGACTACAGGCACATGCCACCACGCCCGGCTAATTTTTTGTATTTTTAGTAGAAACAGGGTTTCAACATGTTAGCCAGGCTGGTCTTGATCTCCTGACCTCAGGTGATCCGCCTGCCTCGGCCTCCCAAAGTGCTGCGATCGCTTTTATCTCTAAAATGATAATTAGTACCAATAAAAAAAAAAAAGCTAAGATGGAAAAGGGGAAAACAACCTGGAGACAGAAAGGGAACAGGACAAAAAGTGAGGTGAGTTGCAATTACAGAGGAAAACCCAATGGAACTATTTTGTTTCAAAAGGGCATTAATCACTTACCGCAAAAGCACACAACTGCCAAAAAAGATCATCCCACACACAGCAGAAAACACCAATACTAAGAAAAAATATGGCACTTACTTCAATGAGGAAGGCTGTAGCACTTACTTGATTAATTTCATTGGTTAGCTGAGATAAAATTGTGACACCAATGATGCAGTATTCAACACTATCCTGGTTAAAAAAAGTATAAGGTAGAAAGAGTTGTCATGTGTGCTTGGTTTTGGCATTTGGAATGCACTCATACTTTCGAATGACGGGTTCCTGTGTCATTAGTAAAACTGCCTAGACAAGGCAGCAAGGAATCATAGTTTAAAACTGTTGTTTTGCTGGACTTAAAACCTAACTGTCACCACAAAGGAAGACTGTCAAATCTGACTTCATCAAAATTTAAAACTTTTACATTAAAAAAAATTCCCATAAGCATTATAGCATATACATTTTTAAAAGGTAAATTGCAAAACACATCACTAAAGTAAATGACAAGTAAACAACACATTTTATAAAGAGAATGCATAAAACAATAAGCAAAGAATCTGAGGAAGTGTGGTTAAGATATAAATAGAAGTTCACAGAAAAACAAATATAAGCAATAAATAAACATATCAAAATTTATCCAGTCTCACTCATAACCCAAACAATAAGATACCAATTTTTTTAACCTATTAAATTAGAAAAATTAAGTTTAGCTTCCAGGGCTGAGGTAAGCAGGTCCTCTTATCAACTGTTTGTGGAAGTAGATACAGTCATGAGTCACTGAATGATGGCGACACGTTCTACGAAATGTGTTATTAGAGGATTTCACTGTTGTGCTAACATCATAGAGTGTACTTACATAAACCTAGATGGTACAGTCTACTACACACCTAGGCTGTATGGTACAGGCTATTGTTCCTAGGCACAAACTTGTACACCACGTGACTATACTGTGGGCAACTATAACAATGGTAAGTGTTTGTGTATCTAAACATAGCAAAGATAAAGTAAAAATTCAGCATAAAAGATTTTTTTTTTAAAAAGCTACACCTGTATAGGGCGCTTACCATGAATGGAGTTTACAGGATTGAAAGTTGTTCTGGGTGAGTCAGTGAGTGAGTGGTGAGTGGATGTGAAAGCCGAGGACATTGCTGTACACCACTACAGACTTTATAAATATGTACACTTAGGCCACACTAAATTTACTTAAAAAATAAATTGTGCTACAACATTAAGACAGTTCGACATCACTAGGCTCCATTTTTTTTCCAGTTCCATTATAATTTTACGGGACTGCTGTTGTATATGTGGTCTACTGTTGACGAAAACATCATCATGAAGTGCAAGCTGTATAACTTTTTTGAGGATAACTTGGAAATATCTTTCCAAGGCTAGGAATTGACCCTACAAACGCACTTATTCAAAATATATGTACTGGGCTATTCACTGAAGTATTAATTTAACACTCGAAAGAAATGCCCATCTATAAAATATTAACTAATTAATTAAACATATTTTTGCTTGGGACCATATGTAGGAATTTGAAAGACTGAGACATGGTTTGTTTTTGCCAACATGCAAACACTACCAAGACCTATTAAGGGTAAAAAACATGCAGAAGAGAATATATCATATAATTCTATTTTGTGTCATGTTTAAAAAGTAGATAAGCGTGTTAAGTTGTGTGTGTGTGTGTGTGTGTGTTTATATATATGTATATGCTGGTTCTCCCATTCCCATTACATCAAATATATACACTGTACCTGTAAAAACCTTGTGACGTCTGTGATTGCATTTCTGAAGACATAGTCATCCTTCTGACAGTCAAACCAGCCCAGTTTTGTGATTCTGGCATATAACTGAATAAGTGCTTGTGTCACGAAAGTAGCCAACTTCGGCCGAGTGGCAAGGTAGTTGAGCACATAGTTCCCTATTAAAAAAAAACAAGAAACAAAACCAATCCACATAATAGAAAGCTCTGCCAGAGAAGGGTGTATATCTTTAGACATGCTAAATGGCCAAGAAATTATAAATTTAGACTATTTAACCCAAACTGTCTTAATTATTTATGCTACTGTTCCAAATGGGACTTTAAATTTAAGATTAGTAGGTGTTCTAATTCAGAATTTTATTTTGTCTCATGAAGAATTTGCAGTATAGCTGCTTTGACTCTATCCCTAGGTAGCTAAAGAACGTGGTCTACACAGAATTCAAAATCATTAACAATGTTTTTCTTAGTTATTAGTGGCAGTAAAGAAAAGATGAATGAAGAAATCTCCCGATAACAAAAGGGAGGACTTAGGCTTTATCCAGAAGTTATTGCGTCGGGCCCTTCACTTTCATAAGCCCCAAATTCTGGAAACGAACTGGATTCTAGACATTTTGTATGGTTAGCAATCTCAGCATATCATTGAACAAACACGTACATTTGACTATTACTAGCACATCACTAAACAAACTATTTTCTTCAAGACAGAACAGAAAATTCTCCACTTACGAATATCTATTCGCTGTTCCAATGGTAGGGGGTTGTTTGTGCGTGATACAAGCTTGGTAAGGCATGTAGCTGCCAGTAACTGGGAGTAAGAGGACTGTGAAAAGAGAGGGAAAAAGGACTTAAAATTGTATTGAGTAAGCCAGTCACAAGGTTTTTAACTTGGAGATCTCTGCTCAGATTCAAGAAAAGGCAATCAGTTTTGGCAGATTTGATCCTCTGGATTTTAGAGGGTCTACTGCTCTGAGGAAAAATGAACCACATAGCATAAGTTTATTAGCTGACTTCAACAATGAACAACGGGGAAGATAAAGTGAACCGTCTGATCAAGCTGAATCTAATACAGGTATCTGCTTCACTCTGAGGGACAGACACTAGAGGGCATCTTTTCAGAAAAATAGAGATTAGAAAAAATCTCTCCCCTCATTTAAACCAAGAAATCTCCCCTTAGTATCTGTTATAATGATATTTCAAACAGTTTCACCTCAAAATATTTCTATGGCATGATATTGGGGAAAAAAGAAAAGAAGTATTAGAGGAAACCATCACACTATGCTGTATAGTTGTCTCCAAATTGTATCTTTCCATCAGCGCAGCTATCAATCAGCTATTGGGCTGGGGAATGTATATGATAGTTTAAAAGTAAACTTAAGGTTATTTGTGAGAAAGGAGAATTATGCCTTAAGCAATGGAATAGCTTTATCACATTCTCAAATGTGGGTTTAACAAGTTTTAACCTTACGGAGACTCAAAGCATTCCATGTGATCAAAATGCCTAAGGAAGAATTCCTCCATGTGGCTATATTATATACAATGCCATAAAACAGGAACAGGCTCAGAAGCATTAAAGTATTTTAATCAAGGGTCAAGGACAATTTTCTATGACACAGAAAGTCCTTAAGATGGTAGTCCCTCAGACTATCCATTTATGTTAATATTACATAATACCACCAGGTATAAAAATTTAAGACTAGTGGTGAGAGAGACTGTACTGTCACTCCAGCAGGAGTTAGCTGGCAGAGCTAGCTGGGCATCTCCCACAGGACAAATACAAGTGCATCAATCCAAACACCAAGTGATTTAAGAGCAATATATAAAACACTATGTGCGTAAAACAGAACAGACCACCACACAGTCTTTGACCATGACTTTGTATCATTCAGATATTTGGGGGAAAAGTTATACCCCTCAGCTACTAACGGATAATTTCAACCAATTATAATTTGTTCTATTTACTGTATAAACAATATTATAATACTAATAAAAAGTCAAAAATAAAGTCAACTAGAATTCTATCCTCTCAACCAATTAACTTTCATTTTTTCACATTTCATTCCAGTCTTAAGGATACTTTTTGGAAAGCAAATTTTGATTAAGCAATTCTTTAGGGATTACTGTTGTTCAGAATACCACATGGCATTATCATTTCTATTTTCACCTTTTTCCACACACACAAGAATGATGGCTAATATATGTGCCTTTTCTTGGTGTTTTCTCTTTCATCTGTGAAAGAGCGTAATATAGGTAAGCACGACTGGGAAGCTGTTTGAGGATTAGGAAAAATATGAGGACTGCACTTTATGTTGCCACTTTATCAAAAGAAGGCCAGTGCTTGCTGCTGAAGTCTAGCTGGGATATGCCTCTCATGATGCCCTTTCATGGGACCCTGGGGGGATCCCACCCTTCCCAAGACTTCCATCTTGCCAAAGATAGTGATTTTTTCAAATTGTATCTCAGGAACATTATTTTGATCACTGCAATGCCATTTTTAAGCTGGAGGAGGTTCTAATTCCATTTAAAATCCTACAATCTCCTGTAATTTCATTGTCAAGGTCACTGTTCCTGGATTTGTAAGGCAATAAACAGCAGCTGTGGCAGAGAGGACACAAAACACAGAGAAGACTGAGGATCTTGTACTAGGACTTTGGATTAAAAAGGTCATTTATTGGCCGGGTGTGGTGGCTCACGTCTGTAATCCCATCACTTTGGGAGGCCGAGGCGGGTGGATCACCTGAGGTCAGGAGATCGAGACCAGCCTGACCAACACGGAGAAACCCCGTCTCTACTAAAAAAAATACAAAATTAGCCAAGCTTGGTGGTGCATGCCTGTGATCCCAGCTACTCGGGAGGCTGAGGCAGGAGAATCACTTGAACCCGGGAGGTGGAGGTTGCAGTGAGCCAAGATCACGCCATTGCACTCCAGCCTGGGCAACAAGAGCGAAACTCCGTCTCAAAAATAAATAAATAAACAAACACAAAGGTCATTTATCTACAGTCCTATCTTATTCTGGAAAGGACAGGATGTGGCACTTAAATGTAAAAGCAGAAAACAAGTTCTGGAAATTTAGGATGAAAAATTACAGAACAGAAATGCATGTTCAAAGAGATTTTCTTGATGAGACTGTATGGCTGTTTTGCCAACCTGGTAGGTATGGTACTTCTTAAAAGTGAAAATAAGTCAGGGACACCTAGAAAAATCAGGGAACAGAAGCCATCCCATGCCATTCCTACACAGAGAACCAGAATAACGTTTCCGAAGCGCCTGTTATCCTTTAGGATTTTCAGATCTTACGCACACTTCCTCTTTCGAGGAGTAGCTGGCACTTGCTCAGGCAATCAGGGCTGTTGGTAAATTCAACCAAGGCTTTCTCTGCCTGGAGTCGAGTGGTTGTGTCTGTGGTTTCATACAGCTGTTTGCACAGATTCTCTAGTTGGGCCAGGCTCTGGAAAAGATCAGTCAGGAAAGAAAACAGTTCAGCCTACTACAAATGTAAGCAACTGTGCTTAAAATTAATAAACAAAGATAAATAATAATCAGTAAAGAAAGAATTGCTTCTGAACTGAGGAGAACCTGGGTAACATTCACCTAATAACCATTTATAGGTCTCTTTATTTGATGCTATAGAAGACAAAATGGTAAGATGCTTAGAATACCTATATAACTTTTTCATCATTCCCTTGAGGATCAATCATACATGATACATTTTTCCGCTTGCAAATACCCAGCCTCCTAAGCTTTCCTAAAAGGCTTTGAAATAAAAATTCAAAATTTACTTATTCTGCTATTAATGTAAAAAGTGTGAAATACCAGAGGCACGGCTACTAAAATTAAGCACATAAACATGATATAAGTACCACACACATTTTCATATAGCTTTAAATATTCCTTTGAGTAGTAGTTATTAGCTTACAATAATGTATATGCGTAAAGATGGTCACCTGTACGAGAAAACCTCTAGAGAAAGCTTCAAGATGTATTTACGCACCTTCCTCCCTGGATCCCTCATGTCTAAAGTTCAGCAGACTCTCTTCTGTTGCACTTTAAACTCTTACTTTGGTTCCAAATTTAAAATGAAAGCGTCAAAATAAATTCAACCCTAGCATATGCTCACTCACAGATAAGACAAGGGAAACACCCACAAGCAAACTCTTCTCTCCAAATCTTGAACCAGTTCCAGGGAGGCAGGAAGGGGTATGGGTGTGTGCTTTGGTCAAAAACCCATAGGGAGGCATATATACTTGCACTTAATGTGGTGTTTAAAGGCAAAGAGGAAAGTAACTAATTAAGACTATACTTCAATATCACCTTTCACTGACTGGAGAGTAAACATCTGTTAGCCTTTAAAGGAATGGTTTGGACTTTAAGAAAAAATTGGAGCCTATTTTCACCAGCAGCAAGGATAGTTTGAGGGATCCTACTATTAGAAAGGACAATTCTGACAAGAACAAAAATAATAATAATTAAACCAACCTGTGTAAATTGCCTAAAATATATTACACAGCCAGTCTGCCCAAGGCTTTTCATTATCACTTTATTTCATTACACTGTGTCTTTATAAATCACAGCTTTTCCACTAAGTAGGAAAGCCTTTGGGGCAGGATTCATATTTTACTCAACCTGATTAATAAATTTCCAACACTAACTGAAAGGAAACAAGAACGATGAATACTGACGCCCTAAGATCATCAGTCCTACTTCAGACAGCCCCCAAAAGAACAAAACAACAACCTTGCCCTTAAAACGAAACAAACCATCTTTCACAACATCTTGGGACTTTGATTAGGCTTATGTTTAACTTGTTTCTGACTTCCAGGGGTCCCACTTAATCTCTTCTTCAATTCAAAAGCACAGAGAAAATCGCAATTGCAAAGTCAGATCTCAAGCAATAAAGTTCTATAAGTAGTACCTGAGTTTATTCACATGGCTTATGAACACAAGTAGAAAATAAGGCTAATTACATACATTCCATAAAATACATGCAAAAGCCATTTTTATGCTTGCCAGTACTGCTCAAGACCTTATTGAGAATTGAATCAGTTTAATTATAACCACTCACATTCCTAAACAAGGCATTAAATCTCCTTCACAAGGTTTTGTTTCAACATTGAAATCTATTTCCCCCCTCCTACAAAATGATTCCCTTAAAAAAAAAAAAAGAAAAAAATTATTTAGGAAAATAGGTAACAAGAAAGACATCAAGAGAAAGACACTGTTTAACTAAAACGTAAGCTGCTATAAAACCTGGCATCAGGTATTGGGGAGCAGCAGCAGCCTCAGAACCTCCACAGCCATCACACACTTTGAGCTTTCCAACATCCTGAACAGACACTCCCTGAACAGTCCTGATGCTTATGGTATAATGGCTCTCCTTAAAGTCTGATCAATCAGTTCCTGTGGTTCCCCCACTGCAACTCTTGTTTATGTTTATTACAACAAAGTTGTTCACATGACAATGTCTAAGCATCTGTTACAGGTAGTTCCTTACTGCTAAAAACCTACATGCAGGTTATGGTAGGCTTTTTGTTGTTGTTTTGTTTTGATTTGCTTTAATTTAGCAGACAAAACATACTGCAGGGTAAGTCTGGTAATGAGTTCTCAGCTCAGGAAACAAGACTGTTTAAAAAACAAAAACGCAATTTGACCATTTACACACTTTGAAGAACGACAGCTCCATTTTTTTTTTTTGTTCCCAGAAGAACAAATGGGAAACAATTTTGTTTTCCTAAACAATTAGTGGAAACATCTGAAAAACAGGGTCATTTTCTTTGGGTTGCCCACACTACCGATGAAGGAGAAAGGAATGAGACATTAACATTTATGCTTTTTTAGTTACCAGTGTTTTCAAAACAAATCTAATGGTTAGGTTCTTTTGAATCATCTTTTTTTTTGGCCTAGCATAAAATAATTTACCCTATAATTATTTGATTAGCTATAACAACTAGTACTTCACACTAAGGGTGGCCGACTACACACCACAGCACTCTCCTTGGCATGATAACATCTATGTCCAATGTTTTCCTAGTCGCCAGTTCTTATTAAGGATATCTATTCTTTGATGCCACTTTGGTCAGAGAAAATCCTCCAGAGAAGAATGTCTATTTTCTGTTCCTGAAAAATTGCCTATAATCCATGGAGAAACTTCTTGTCTCGCTGGAATAGAAAAGCACATTTGGTGAAATGCTTTATAAAAGTGAAAGGTGATCTTCAGCTAGCAAAATACTGCTTTTTAGTATAAGAAACTCATGAGGATTAATTCCCAAACCTAGAACCAGACCGATTTTACCAACAATAATTACAATGAAGGTATTAAAAGAATGCATCTTCTTTAAAATCTAGCAACACCAGTATTTTAGTCTATTCAACTTGGATAGAGGATATGCAGCTAAGTTATTCTTATTTCAACATAAGGCGAGATTTGTTGAGATTACAGACCTTAGAATATAATAATTTGTCTGACAAGGTGCCTCTAGATTAGGGGAAAATAAAGATTTTGTTGGTACATTAGATGTTATATTACTCCACAAAGCAGAATACCTCAGATTTTACTTTGTGTATAGTATTGCTCTTTAAATAGCCCAATGGTTATACTTTTTTTTTTTTTTTTGAGACGGAGTCTCACTCTGTCGCCCAGGCTGGAGTGCAGTGATGTGATCTCGGCTCACTGTAACCTCCGCCTCCTGGGTTCAAGCGATTCTCCTGCCTCAGCCTCCTGAGTAGCTGGGACTACAGGCGCGTGCCACCACGCCCAGCTAATTTTTTATATTTTTAGTAGAGACGGGGTTTCACCATATTGGCCAGGCTGGTCTTGAACTCCTGACCTCATGATTTGCCTGGCTTGGCCTCCCAAAGTGCTGGGATTACAGGCGTGAGCCACCGTGCCCGGTCTATACTTTTAAATTAGCCTCACTGCTTTAAAAAATCCGCATGGAGAGTTCCAATCACAGACTACGATTCTTGCTTTTAGGAAGGAGTCAATGACACTCCCAATAATATTGAGTACTGAACTAGACATAAGCATAATCCTTGGGTGACCAGTCAGATCCGCAGGTGTTCTGAAGAGCACATTCTTAACCTGACTGCCACCCAGCCATCTGAGATGAGCAGAAGCTGCCATCATGTTACAAAATATAGGCACAACACAGAGAAGTTCTAGAAAACTTAGAGTAGATTTACCAATTTTGTAGCTGAATTATCATAATTCGAATGCCACAAATATATAAAGAATTGCCGAAAACCCAAGCCACTTTCACCCTTTTCACAAACCCTTTTAATTTATGTCCCCCTTAGTTGCAATTTTTCTGTGTACTGGGAAACACTGTGTTGAGTAAATTAAAATATTTATACTGAACCTTGCCAGAAAATGAACCATTTTAAGGACCTAGAAGGTTAATTGACATATAAATTACATTTTACTCTATTTAATAAGGCATTCTTATAGTCAATAAGTGAGTATCCAATTATCAGAGATAATAAAAGAAACTTAAAAAATTCAGTAACAACAATTATTGTTAGGTTAGAAGGTGAATGGCAAAACAGTATGTTGAGTATATTACCATTTGTGATGCATGTTAGTAAATTTATAGAAGAAAACCTAGATGAATACAAACCAAACTTAATTGTCTCTGGGAAGTGAGAATATGAGAGACTTTCAATTTCTGTAACCTTGGAAATTTTGACCACAACCACATATTCCTCTGTAAGCAGAAAAAAATCCTAACAACTGTAAAGATAAGCATTTTTTAAAAGGGCAATTTAAGCTACATTCTTTTCCTAAATTAACTCTTCACATTAGTAACATTTTACTAGTTAACGGCTGATTCTGTTACCAATCAGAATTCATAGAACAATTCACAAAACCAACCAGACAAAAAACTATTCACAAGGCTAAAAAAACAAAAACAAAAACAAAAAAATACATTTGCATTTATTACTCATTTTATTTTCTTTTTTCTTACCAGTGCTGGTAGTTTTAGCGGCCTGAAAAGAACATTCAAGGTTTCTTCTTGTTTATAAATTTATATGAAAGGCAATCGTGGTGGCCAAAGTCATCTTGGTTTATAGATGTATCAGTAGACCTCTCAAAAGTTACTTACTACAATAGAGTTCACAGGGCAAACTCGCTTGCTCTTTGAATGTTTATAAATGCACACTATTTATTTTTTAAACTCATTTTAAGGAAAAAGTTTACCAAGTCAGTGCCAAATACTTGTTTACGTAATTTACAAGAGAATAAGCCAAGCAGCCAATAAACAAATGAAAAGGTGTGCAACCTCAATAATCATCAGGGAATGTAAATTCAAATCACGATGAGATAGCCATTAGAATGACTAAAATGAGGCAGGGCGTGGTGGCTCATGCCTGTAATCCCAGCACTTTGGGAGGCTCAGGCGGGCAGATCACATGACAGCTGCAGTTTGAGACCGGCATGGCCGACGTGATGAAACCCCGTCTCTACTAAAAGTACAAAACTTAGTTGAATGTGGTGGCGTGTGCCTGTAGTCCCAGCTACTTGGGAGGCTGAGGCCGGAGAATCTCTTGAACCCAGGAGGTAGAGGTTGCAGTGAGCCAAGATCCTGCCACTGATCCTGCCACTGCACTCCAGCCTGGGCGACAGAGTGAGACTCTGTCTCAGAAAAACAAAACAAAATGAAAAAAATGACTAAAATGAAAAAGCCAAGATCAAGTGTTAGCATGTGGAACAACCAGAACTCGTATGTTGCTAGTTTAGTCTGAACTGATTCAAATACATTGGAAAACTGGGAGTATAAAGGTACACATATGGAGGCTGTGCACAGTGGCTCACACCTATAATCCCAGCACTTCAGGAGGCTGAGGTGGGAGGACTGCTTGAGCCCAGGAGTTCAGAACCAGCCTGAGCAATATAGGGAGACTCCGCCTCTACAAATAATAATAACAAAAAAATTAGCTGGGTGTGGTAGCGTGCCCTTGTCATCCCAAGTATGCAAGAGGCTGAGGCAGGAGGATTGTCCAAGTCTGGAAGGTCAAGACTGCAGTGAGCTGTGATCATGCCACTGTACTCCAGCCTGGGTGACAGAGTGAGACCCTGTCTCAAAAAAAGAAAAAAAAAAAAAAACACCCTGTGACCCAGCTATTCCACTCCTAGATACACACTCAATGGAGATGCGTACTAAGCTCACTCATGGCAGCACTAAATGTTAACAGTTCCCAAATAGAAAGCCAAATACCCATCAATAGCAGTATGGATGTTTCATTTCTTAATTTGTGTGCTGGTTACCCAGGCATGTGCAGTTTGTGAAAATTCACTGAGTTTGTGTATTTCTAATTTGCATACTTTAATTATTTATATATTTATAATTCATGTATTTTTCTGTATGTATGGATGAATGCCATAGTTCTGCCCAAATTCTCTAGTTACTTATTGTCATCGATTACTTTTTAATACTAATGGAAAAGAAGTTTTCATCAACAACCTACAGCTGCACTTTAGATTCAGAATGCTTTAGTTTTACAACGCTAAATGCTTTTACAACCACGACTCCCATTAGTTTCTCAGGAAGAACTAAGGTAAGACTAAGAGAGTGAGTAACACTTTTGGTTGCAGATGCTGTGTATGTCTACTACGGTAAAACAAGATAAAATACTTATTTTCAGCAAGTGATAATGCTATGCCAGAGCCTGGCGTGCATGAGATAAGGATGGCAAGTCCACTACCATATGAGACTGCAAAATTCTACATTTACTTCAAAATACTAATCAATTCTAACTTGTAATAAACACAGATGATCTTTGTGTTGTGGGTAATATGTGGCCAAAACACATGCAAACAAATTATTTCATGAAGTAAATAGCCAGAATGTACCTAGTCACTTAATGGTTTATTGACTTTTAAGTTTAACCCAAAAGCATTCTCTTAAGTGCTCACCAGAAACTGGCTTGGATTCCTTCTCATAGTCTCTAACGGTGCAGAGGAAAGAAAGCTGCAGGGCAAGGTGAATCCTCTAAAGGAGAGGTTTCAATCTGACGCCCTGAAACGGGCCCACAGTCATTTTTGGTTTTTGTCTTGCACTGTGGTTTTAAAGTGACACAGCTGGCAATATTTCACACTATCTGGTTTTCCAGCTTCCTGTGAAAAATGAGAAGCTCTGAAAGCACTGGGTCTGCAAAGGGTCACAGAGGGAGTGCTTTCCTGGGCAGGCTCTCTCCAGTTCCCCACGGCTCCTCTGTAGACAGCTGTTTTCTCCCCTTGCTCTCCTGCAATTCTGTCTCCTATCAGTGGTTCATTCCTGGATGTCAAACTTAAAAAGTGTCATGCATGATAGGACAACAGATTTGGGCTGAACTTTGGGTACTACTGCTTCACCAAATTCGGTTAAAACACAAGGAACTATGTAAAACTTAGGCAGAGAAGAGTTCGGTTGATACTGGATCGTTAGATACCGGTCTTAACGTATGACTGTGGGTGAGTTAACTTCCAGGAACTTCAGTTTCTCATAGGTAGGTAAAGTAAATGCATTTTGTTACATGATTTTTAAAAGACACTTCCAGTTCTAAGATTCTTTGACTGCAATAAACTATCCATCATGTTTTAATTATATTAGTGAATGAGAATTCCAAGTAAACAAATATTGAAGTTAAAATGATCATGAAAACGATGATTAGGACATTTTTTTTTTAAAGTGAGAATGGTATTTTAAAAAAATAAATTGGTAACACTCACATCCTTGTGATTGTAGTGTAGGATCTTTACCCACAAACAACTTCAGTGACCTAGCAGCAGGAACAAGGTTTCTTTTGGAGTTGATTCAGTACAGAGTAATGGGTAAGATTTTAGGTGGCAGACAAATCCCTACTCCTCCGTCTACTGTAGGAGCATGACTTAAGTTACTCAAATCATTCAAATATTTTCCCTTTCTTTTACATAGAAATAACACCCACTTTACAAGGTTGTAAAAGTCAATGAAGTAATGTGTGTACACTGCTAATTATTACTGGCTATTATTGATTATACTGGCTACCAAAAACTCTGGAGAATAGCAGCTTTTTTATTGCTTGCATGAGCGCACACAAAATCTGCACTGTTTCTTCTAAGGGGATTATAAATGCCCTTTCCCCTGTAGGGCCAGGGGCATCAGGGATCAAATATATAATTGATCCTCGTTATTCGCAGATTCTGTTTTGTGAATTCACCTACTCACTAAAATGTATTTGTAATCATCAAATCCATATTCGCTCAGGGTGCTTCTGCAGTCATTCATGCACGTGGACAGAGTGGTCAACAATTTGAGTTACCTGACTTACACAATCCCAGCTGAGGCTCAACACTGCCATGCTTTGCCTCTTTTTTTTTTTTTTTTTGGAGACAGAGTCTTACTCTGTCACCCAGGCTGGAGTGTAGTGGCGCGAACTCGGCTCACTGCAACCTCTACCTCCCGGGTTCAAGTGATTCTGCTGCCTCAGTCTCCCAAGTAGCTGGGATTACAGGTGTGCGCCACCATGTTCGGCTGGTTTTTGTATTTTTAGTAGAGATGGGGTTTTCCCCATGTTGGCCAGGCTGGTCTCCAACTCCTGACCTCAGGTATTCCACCCGCCTCAGCCTCCCAAAGCACTTGGGATTATAGGCATGCGCAACCATGCCCGGCCTTGCTTTGCCTTGTTTCAGCTTTCACACTAAACAACTGTAAGGTCCTTTACGGGTTTTTTTTTTTTCACTGCCATGTTTCTTGCAGTTTTGTGCTTTTTGTCGGTAATTTCACTGCTTAACATGGCCCACAGAGTGCTGAAGTGCTATGTCGAGTTCCTAAGGGCAAGACGGCTGTGATGTAACTTATGGTGAAATTGTGTGTGTTAGATAAATTTCATTCAGTCATGAGTTACTGTGCTTTTGGCCATTAGTTTAACGCTAATAAATCAACAATATGGTTTAAAATATCTTTAAACAAAAACACAAATAAAACATGGTTACATATTGCTTGTTTGACGCAAATGTGGTGACTAGCAGCTGGCCTGAATCTAACCCTATACTTCCCCTAGGAGCAATGGGTCAGTATTTGCTAATTCAGTGTTCTCGGTGACTTTACAGAACATGACAACAAGGAATAATGAGGATCAGTTTTATTTCTGGCACCACTGGGTGGGATTCAGTACATACTTCTCCATAGAAACATAATTATATTTATTGCCACTTTTTAAAGGTATTTGTTCAAATAGAAGTATTTGTTAGCCTATGTAATTTCCATATTAATGTCTGTACAACTGTCTCAAACGTTTGCTTAAATCGCCATTTCTATTAATTATGCATGAATTATGACTTTTCATAATTCTTGCACTTAGGAACTAGACATAGACAGCACTTCAGCACTCTGTGGGCCATTTTAAGCAGTGGAATTACCAACAAAAAGCACAAAACTGCAAGAAACATGGCAGTGGGAAAAAAAAAACCCGGAAAGGACCTTACAGTTGTTTACAGTGTGAAAGCTGAAACAAGAAGGCAAAGCAAGGCCAGGCATGGTTGTGCATGCCTATAATCCCAGTGAGCACAGTGCATGGACTGGGATGGAAATGCAAAGTACAAGAGTGTCTGGCACACAGTAGGAGCTTCATAAGAACGTCTTAACATTGGATAAGTCTAACTCTTAAAGCTTCCAAAGGAAATTCATATTAAAATGGCAGATTGATCACATATCTAATTTTGTTCCCTCCCCAAACCCAACTAACACAACACTAAAGGTATTCAAAACAAAACCAAGCCCTAAACCCTCAGGATCCCACAAGGATAGATAGGGAAGACAGGAAAGAGGACAACAGCAACATAATTTTGGGATACAGAAAAATCAATGGTAACTGACTTAAATGAACTAAGAAAGCCAAATCCCTAGCCAGCAGTGAGAAAAGCTGAACAAACTTCATTTATGCTACATGCTCAGATGTTAAGGTGAAGTGGGGTGGCCCAAAGAAGGAGAAACAGGGTGAAAGTATCTTTGAGAAGTTAAGATTCCCAGATAGTCCTCCTCACTGTATGCCTCTCAGTAACTGTCCCTCTCTTTGGACTGAGAGACACCAAGCCAGTCAAAAGCACATCTGAAGCTATGGGCACCCTGTAACAAATAGGTCAATGAAGTGGGAGTGCCGCTGAGTCTTCCCTCACTAGGATCCACCGAGAAATTTCAGTGTGCAGACATACTCTTTAGGCAGGAGTTTGGAAGATTTTCCCGAGAATCTCATTAGCTACAAAGCAAAAAGTTGCAGATACACTAATATGCAGGTTACTCCACAAATGGCACACCTGATTACTCTCCCATGATGCCTCAGCAGACAAGCCTCGCCACGCTTTCAGAGGTTCCAGTCAACTCTGTATTATCTTAATCTTGATCATGAGCAAATAATCAAGTATTATCAGAAATCTGAAGAAAGCCTTTAACATGGAAGATAGACAGCTAAACAAGCATGCAAAAAGCAATCTGGAACAAGTAAAAACTATATAGGGAGAAGGAAACTTGACCAAAAAACAAAAGATGAAAACATACAATTAAGCCCAAAATTGCAAGTGTGGAATAACAGGATGCACAAAAAGAAAAAAAAAAAAGACATTCAAAGAACATAAAAAGAGATGTTAGAAAATAAACATATGATGACAGAGACAAAAATATTCTATTGAAAGGTGGGAAAATAAAAGTTAAAATCTCACAGACAACAGAGCAAAAGGACCAAGAGGGAAAGAGCAAAGTTTAAAAAAATCAGAGACCCAGTTCCATAGGCCTAACATCCAATTAACAGGAGTTACAGAAAGACAGAACAGAGAATGGTGAAGGAAAGGAAGTTATCAATAAAATAATTTGAGATAACTTCCTAGAACTGAAAAACATCAGTTGCCAGAATGGAGTGTCCACCCAATGCCAGCATAATACATGAAAGTCAACCCACACCCGAGGCACACCACTGGGAAACCTCAGAAACCTGATGACAAAGAGAAGATTCCATATGCTGCTTTTAGCAGAGAGAGAAACACAGAAAACAAAACAGGATCAGGAATCACATGGCTCTGGACATCACAAAAGGAACACTGGAAACAAGAAGCCAACAGAACAATTCCTGCGAAATCCTCTAGAGAAAGAGCTCCAGCATAGAAGGCTATACTTAGCCAAGGAAGGAATCATGTGTGAGTAGAACAAAGTTATCTTTGGGGGTGTAAGGCCACAAAAATCTATCCTCCATGCTCCCCTTTTTGAAGAGCTACTACAGAATATACTTCACACCAAAGTAAAGTGTAATTCCATAAAAAGGTAAGCACGGGGGCTGGGCGCAGTGGCTCATGCCTGTAATCCCAGCACTTTGGGAGGCTGAGGCGGGTGGATCACAAGGTCAAGAGATCAAGACCATCCTGGCCAACAGGGTGAAATCCCGTCTCTACTAAAAATACAAAAATTAGCCAGGCACGGTGGTGGGCACCTGTAGTCCGAGCTACTTGGGAGGCCGAGGCAGGAGAATCACATAAACCCAGGCAGCGGAGGTTGCAGTGAGCCGAGATTATGCCACTGCACAACAGCCTGGAGACAGAGCGAGACTCCATCTCAAAAAAAAAAAAAAAAAAAAAAAGGTAAGCACAGAATACAGGCCATGAGTTATATGGCCATGCTGATCCTATGAAACCCAACAGAGAAGAGGGATATCAAGGAAACCCCTGGAAGGACGGCAAAGGGCCCAGGACAACAACTGTGAGTTGGCCATTAAGAGCATCCAGGCCTTATTCAAGCAATGTGGCTTCAGGGACAAGTCATGTTCACAGAATCATCACCAAGATCCCTGCCACCACTGCCTACTTTAACCTGAGGACAGAATACCTGGATGAGAATTCTCATTTAAGATTTCACCTTAATCCGTGTTGAAGTTTACTGTACAGAAAAGCCCTCAATTGACAAACACTGTACTTTAAATTTGGAAAGTTTTTCTACAAAGGTGCACCATCATTTTTAACTAATGTTCCAAAGACAAAAGACAGTTTGAGTTCTGATAAGGAGGAAAAAAAACCCCATATACCTGGCTTTTGCCACCTTCACTCCTTCTTCATAAAAAAGAAAGTTGTTTAATTCCTTTTATGGAATTGATTCTGCATGGACAATATTAAAAGACCAAAACAACGTACTCCACTATGAAAATGGCTGAGTATGAAAGATTATACAGGCCAGGCAGATTACTTGAAGAAAGAATGCCAATATTCAGCTATTTGAGAACCCAAATTTGCAGTGTTAAACAACCATGTATGTAAATAAACTTTCCTGCTATATTACCATTTCCCTAAAAACTGCATTTTTATAAGCAGGTCTATACTGGAAGAACAATCCTGTAATAGCTCAGTACTCCTAAGAATGTTAACCAACATCTCAAATAACTTAAATTGATGTGATCAACTTAATGTCTTATCAATTTTTTCCTTACAAATAGTGATGTTTACCATACAGCAAACAAGGTCAAACAACTGACTTCTAAAGTTCAGAAAGTGATAACCTACTGGCTAGATATTAAAGCAGTCAAAATATGAGAAAGAGTTGTATAAACTCACTTCATTAAGTTCTGGTTTCCAAGAGCTATTTATTTTTGAGTTCTCATGTAAGCTACACTGCAGAGGGACACTGTTGGGCCGGTGCACATTTATTATTTATTTATTTCATTTATTTATTTATTTTTTTGAGATGGAGTCTCACTCTGTTGCCCAGGCTGGAGTGCAGTGGCAAGATCTCAGCTCACTGCAACCTCCACCTCCCGGGTTCAAGCGATTCTCCTGCCTTAGCCTCCCGAGTAGCTGGGATTACAGGTCTGTGCCACCACACCTGGCTAATTTTTGAATTTTTAGTAGAGATGGGGTTTCACCATGCTGGTCAGGCTGGTCACGAACTCCTGACCTCGTGATCCGCCTGTCTTGGCTTCCCAATGTGCTGGGATTACAGGTGTAAGCCACTGCACGCAGCCCACATTTATTATTTTAAGTTTATGTTTTTAGGATCAATTTGATACAACATTCAAACCGGATTATTGGGTGTATTTTGTACAGAATCCTATTAAAACCTCCATTTAAACACTGCGTTATATATAGTAGAGCAAAGGAAGCGATCAAAAACACACAATCACCAATTCTCTGAGGCCACCTATCACTAAGCTCCATCATTATGTTTTACAATGACTAGATAAAAAGGATTTCAGATTCAAACAATTGTACTTAGGTTTATTATCAGGCTAGCCAAATACATAAACTGGCCCAGAGAATTATCTTCCCCAGTCCCCCTCTTCTTTCTATATGTTACTAGTTCTTAAAATTTCCAGGATAGAAATTTCATTTACAAACAGAATCTAATTTGCTTAAGAAAATGAAAAGACTAGTTACCAAATGGGAGAAAACCTCTGCAAAAATCTGATACAGGACTGATATCCAAAATATACAAAGAACTCTTAAAACTCAACAATAAGAAAACAAACCAATTAAAAAAGTCAAAAAGATCTGACCAGACACCTCACCAAAGATACACAGATGGCAAATAAGCATATGAAAAGATGGTTAACATCATGTATCATCAAGAAACTGCAAATTAAAGTAACAGTGAGATACTACTACACACCTATTAGAATGGCTAAAACCCAAAACATTTATAACACCAGATGATGGCAAAGATGTGGAACAACAGGAACTGTTGGTGAGAATGCAAAATGGTACAGCCACTTTACAAGACAGTTTGGCAGTTTCTCACAAAACTAAACATACTCTTACCATATGATCCAGCAATTGCGCTCCTTGGTATTTACCCAAATGACTTGAAAACTTATGTCTACACAAAACCTGTACACAAATGTTTATAGCAGTTTTATTCATAATTACCAAAACTTGGCTACAAAAAGACATAGAGGAACTTAAATGCATACTGCTAAGTTTAAGATGCCAATCTGAAAGGCTACATTATTGGGTGATTCCAACTACTATATGACATCCTGGAAAAGGCAAAACAATAGAGACAGCAGAAAGAGCAGTGGTTGCCAGGAGTTTGCAGGGGGGGAGAAATGATGGTGACAGAGGCAGGGAGGGAAGGATGAAGAGGCAGAGGCAGAGCACAGGGGATGTCTAAGGCAGTGAAACTGTTCTTTATGATACTGTAATTGTAGATACATGTCACTGTAAATTGTCAAAACCCACAGAGCACAACACTAAGAGTGACCTTCAGTTGTTAATAATGTATCAATACTGGCCCATCAATTGTTAATATACCATACCAATGCAAGACGTTAATGGGCGGGGGCAGGGGTGGGGAGAGAGGGGGAGGGGCGGATAACAGGGTATGTGAGAACTCTGTACTTTCTGCTCAGTTTTTCTATAAACCTAAAACTGCTCTAAAAAATAAAGTCTAGTAAAAACATCTAATTTGCCAGTTTAAGAAGTCCTATTCTTCCTTCCGCAGTTTGATCTTAATGCTGGCTAGTTTACTAACCAATATTTAATACTAAAACATGACATTTTGTATCTTAGCTTTCATGCCCAACTCCCACTCCCTACCACCTGACAGGGCAACAGAATGGTTACAATTCTCTAGCTGAAAACACAGGCGTTATAACACTGACATTCATTGTCAAAGCCAACGTAACCAAGCGTGGCTCTCTGCCATTCTAAACTAGAATCCATACTGTACTTATCTGGTATAAAATATTTTTCTCCTAGAGGATCTATATAGAAAGTCCTTCGATTAGTTAAATTTATAAAGTCATTTCAAAGTAATGCTCATATTAAATAACCTACTGTTACTTTTCTAAATTATTGCCTGCCATCCATCCAAACATATGTCTCTACAGATAAGTCAGCAAAGTATACTTTAGTTTGCTGTATGAGTCTTCTATTTTATATAGCTTCTCTGGTGTTCTACCCTCCTTTCAAAATTCTGAATACAATTCTGACATACTTCAACAGTTGAAAACATTTTCTCTATAAGTTCCTGCAGCTCAATCAAGCATTTGCTTCCATTAAAAAAAAAATACAACACTCATTCACCTGAAGAACAGGGTTGATACTAAATTGTAGATTTGTTGCTACCTATCTACCTAGCAAACTGTGTAACAAAAAAGTCAGTGTGCAGCATAGCAATACATTTATTTTTGAATATTCCTAATAGTTTTCATTTACAAGCTTGTTGCAGGAAATGACTATAGTTATTTTACCATCCCTCACATCCTAAAGTGGCATGTTTTTTGAGCCAAAGTTTCACAAAGGAAGAAAGCAGGCCATCCTAGGAAAGGAGAGAAGTAACACCTGCTGAACAGGTCATTAACGCCACATTTTTGCACAATGTGGGGATGGTACTGGATTTTTACTGAAATTGCTGAGACTGGGCTGGTTATCACCAATCCCTCCTATCTTGATTAACTGCTGTGTCTCTTCATCACTTCTAGGGATTCACACTGTAGAGACAGCATTAGGATCGACAGCTGTAAGACTCGTAATTAATGTAAGACTTTATGTAAATTCCAGTACCATACATACTCTTCATAAAGAATTTTCCAAAATACTGGGCTGAGAACGTGAGGTTCTGAAAAACCTTAGCAATAGTTGGGAGACAATAACAAAACAGTTGACAACACACCTACACGGCTATTGGTTCTTCTAAGTGTGACCAGATGCTGATAAGCTGCATTAATATTCAAACAAAATGGGCAGAAAAGCAGGCTACTGAACATGCAAATCAGAAAAGGGCTTTAACTGGTGGTTTTATGTGCAGCTCTGCCCTAGACTATTTATGTGACTCTGAAGTCCCCTAATTCTCGAATGTTTCTATTCCATTACATGGGAAACAGGATCCATACAACAACAAATATCTGAGTACCTTTGTGCCAAACACAATTCTAAATGGTTGATTAAACATATTATAATAAATTATATGGTATGTTAGCAGGTGATAAATACTATAAAAAAAACAGAGAAGAGTAAGGATGATTAAGAGTATATGTGGGTATATAATAGAAGTGTAGGTTGCAGTATTCAAAAGGGTAATTAAGGTAGGCCTCATAGGTTTAAAAAAAAAAAGACGTACTTAACCAAAGAGGTGAGCATATCTACCTATGTCACCTAACAAGGATTCTCTCTGGATAATGTCCACCAAGTCCTCAAAAAGGAAAAACTGTCACTTTGCTGAGTACCAACTATATGCTGATCCCTGTGCTAGGTACTTCCTTAATTAATTAATTAATTAATTAATTAAATTTACTCGCTCTGTCGCCCAGGCTGGAGTACAGCGATGTGACCTCGGCTCACCCCAGCCTCCGCCTCTTGGGTAGCTGTGATTACAGGCATGCACTACCGCGCCCAACTAATTTTTTTTTTTGTATTTTTTGTAGAGTCGAGGTTTTGTTATGTTGGCCAGGCTGGTCTCAAACTCCTGGCCTCAAGTGATCCACCCTCCTCAGCCTCCCAAAGTGCTGGGATTATACGCCAGGCTCTAGATACTTTATATATACCTCATTTTCTATATAAATTTACGGTAGAATATAAAAATCCCATTGGTATTCTCATTTTCTAAGTAAAAGGTAAATATAAATTTTATACAAATTAATTCAAGGAAAGGCTTCTGAAAAACAAATATGAATATATATGTATATACTATATGTTTTTAATTCACAGAACTCTTTTAAAGTTAAAGTAACAATCATCTGTTGCAAGATACATCAATTTGAATTCATCTAAGGAAAGTCCATATAATATTATTTGTAGGCTAATAAAGACAACTTGAAACTAATTTGACAATCTAGCAGCTTAAGTGAAAACACCACTAATGTTCCCCAAAACAGACATGATGCAACCTAAACATGTCAACATAACCTCACCAACAAATCTTACTCATTTGATGGGGAGAATAATTCTCACTTTTGTTCTCTTTAGAAGAACAAAAATTAGCTCCTATAGTTTAGGAATATGAAATAGTCCACCAATGAATGGCACTAAAGCTAATTAAACCTTCAGGTGTTTCTTTGAAAATGTCCTTGAACGTCTATGAAACAAGTGAGATTAAAAATGACCTTAAAAATTTATTTTGGAACTTAAATTTCTGTTCCTGCTTTGGTGATTAGGTTTAAAGCAAAGTCCTTACAACTACCCACACTCTCTTCAGAAACGTAAAAGATTTCCCAAACTACAATACGTTAAATGTTTACCTGCAAATCTCTAACAAAAATGACCAACAGTGGTCAGTCAAGTTCAGAACTGAACAATACCTGAGAGCAAGAGACTGAAGACACCAAGGCCAAGTGCTTTTTAAAAACACAGCCTAGGGCCCAGTACGGTGTGTCACACCTGTAATCCCAGCACTTTGGGAGGCCAAGGCAGGCAGATCACCTGAGGTCAGGAGTTCAAGACCAGTCTGGCCAACATGGCGAAACCCTGTCTCTACTAAAAATACAAAAATTAGCTGGGTGGTGTTCCCCTGTAATTCCAGCTATTCGGGAGGCTAAGGCAGGAGAATCGCTTGAAGCTGGAAGGTGGAGGGTACAGTGAGCCGAGATGGTGCTACTGCACTCCAGCCTAGGCAACAGAAAGAGACTCCATCTCAAAAACAAACAACAACAATAACAACAACAAACAGCCTGGCCATGACTGAGCTTCACCTGACTCCTGGCAGAGGGCAGTGGCTGCCATGCCTTTGTTGTTATATGGGGGAAAGAAAGTCATGAACCACGTGGCCTTTAACACTATAGGTAACACTCCCATAATGTTCACCATATTGCTCTTCTAAAACTTCTTCCCCCACCACATTGCTTTTAACTGAATTCTTAAATGTTAACCCATTCTGTAACTACTCTGACACAATTAATGCATAAAAAGAATTTCCATCTGAGTGGCAATAATGGGAGAAGTATCACACATAGTAAGAATCCAAGAATTATCAGTGCCATGCTATCAGTATGTAGGCTTCAGACAAGGGCAGCTATATGGGCAACTGCCTCTAGGCAGGCAATGGGCTAAGAATGCCTGGGGCAGTATTTTGATGGCTGACAGAGCAATAACGGAATCCCCATGACTCGTGCTACCCTAGGAAGTAAAGTCACTTAATTATAAATGCAGAAATTAAACTTCACAGGGTGAGAATAAACAATTTTATGTATAATGTTAATTTCTGGAACTAATGTGTCAGTTCATGAGATTTTTCTGAAAAATGTGATACAACAGTAAAACAGAAACTAGAAGTAGGGTTATCATTTGAACAGAGAGATTAACAAACCTTTAGAAAACTAAGTTCACTTGTGGAAACTTTCATCTGTTCTCATCTTAGGGCCCGTAACTTGCGATTGCTGCCAGAAGCCCACAGACTGAGGGGCATATTTCCTGGTAATGACTCAAGTAACTATGGATGAGTCTATACATTCAGTAGCTATGCTCTTTAGGGTGACTTTTTAAAGGATCCTTGGAGGAACCAAATGGTTTATTTGAAATAATCCCACATCTATCTAGTCTGAGAATGTGTCATTCCTAAAACCTGTGATGCCTTCTGGTGTGTAAAATGTTAAATGAATTCAGGAAGATTCTGGCATAGATGCTTTTGATAGGATGATGAATTCTGGCCTCTCAATACTTATTTTTCTGGTGAAGGATGAATAAAAAAACAAAACTAGAAAAGCTCAATTCCTCATATCAGGTTGAACCACATGAAAAGGCCAAATATCCAAATATTTTTGACCTGTAAAAATGACAATTTTATGTGAGTCAATCTAGTATATAAAAACATTTAAAAACTCCTTTAAAGTATAGTCATGCCTTGCGTTATCGATGGGGATACATTCTGAGAAATATAGCCTTAGGCAATTTCATTGTTGTGTGAACATCAGAGTGTACTTACACAAATCTAGATGGCATACCTGCAATACACCTAAGCTATATGGTATAGCCTACTGCTCCTAGGCTACAAACCTGTACCACGTTACTGTACTGAATACCTTAGGCAACCGTAACACAATGGTCTTTGTGTATCTAAACACCTAAGCAGGTATGTTTAAAGTAATATGTTGTGCTATGATGGCTATGTCACTAGGCAACAGGAATTTTTCAGTTACATTATAATCTTACGTGACCACTGTCATAAATGTGATCCATCGTTGACCAAAATGTCACTATTCAGTGCATGACTGCATTGTGAAATCTGCGCTCTGCTTCTAATTAAGGGTTGGGTTTCACTTTTAGGTCAATATATGAGAGTAAGAGGTATTACAAATTTGGTAAGTAATCTGACTTTGAATTAATCTATTCTAAACTTACTCTCTCATTACTCTTCAATGAGAATCCTCTGGTCTCTCTGGTTTTCAAATCCACTGTGCTCCTTCTTCCTCTGGGCTTTCAAACATGCCATGTTTTTTTATTTTTTGTAGTTTTATCCTATAGTTCTATCAGTTTTTACCGTATATATTCTGAAGCTATTTCACAAAGCACATACAACTTGAGAAGCTCAATCTTTTGTTATTTAGTGACTTGTAATCTGTAAAGGCCTCTGTCAGAATGTGTTATAAATCTTCCCTCCCACTTTGTAGATTGCTTTTTCCCTCATATGCTCATCTTTTGATGAATATACGTTCTTAATTTTAACACAGCCTAATTTATCATTATTTTCCTTTATGATTAGTGCTTTGCTTGCCCTGTTGGAGAGATCTTTTCCTATCCTAAAGTCATAAACATATTCTTTTATATTATCTTCTAAGAGCTCTGTTTCTTTCGCATTCACCCAAGATGTAAAAACCTCTTAAATATTGTGTATGATGTGTGTCTATGTTGCAGGGGTAGTGGTGATGGTATTAGTAAGGTTGAATTTCCTCTACGGTATTATTTTCAATTCACGCAAACTGGCTTTTCATTTTGAGGTTAATATTTGTGATTACTAATATACCTCAGACCCCTCTGTCCCTTCTTCCTTTATGTTGTATTTGTTCTATTTTTCTTTTTTAAAGATGTTTTTGCTTGTTTTTGAATTCCATTTTTCTCCCCAGTACTAGTTATCACATATTCTAAAAAAAAGTCCAAAATTAGGCAGTGTATCTTATCCCTCCCCTCTTGAGTAACAGTGATCTTAGAAGATAAACTCCCATCAGTTGTATCCTGTGTTACGCTGTTACTGTCCCTTATTTTGGCTTTGTCTCCATAGCCCTAAACATTAGATAATACTATTATGTCATACGATGTTTAGATTTACCTATGCTTACCAATTTCTTTGGTCACCTTTGCTTCTTTCATAACCAAACACTTCTATGGCATTTTCCTTCTTTAAGTATATCCCTTATGGAAGTTCCTTAAGTAAAGATGTGCTGGTAGTAAACTTAGTTTGTGTTTATCTAAAAATGACTTTTAGTGCCCTCATTCTTGAAAGATAATTTTGTTGGGCACACAATGCTAGGCTGACATTCACTTTTCTCTTTTGGCTTCCAGGTTGCTGTTGAGATGTCTTTATCTGCCAGTCTGTTCTCTGCAGGTGATGTTTTCTTTCTGATAAGATGTTTTGTCTTTATTATTTGTGGCTTTACTATAAAGTGTGTAGGTATGAGTTTTAAAATTTATCCTGTTTTAGAATCGCTTGAACCCAGGAGGCAGAGGCTGCAGTGAGCCGAGATCACACCATTGCAACTTCAGCCTGGGTAACAGGGCAAGACTCCGTCAAAAAAAAAAAAAAAAAAAAATCCTGTTTTGCATATGTGGAACTTCTTTAACTTAGATTCATGTTTTTTTTTTTTGTTTTTTTTTTTCAGTTCTAGAAAAGCCTCTCCTCTAGTGTCTTTCTAGTTATTTCGTGGTATCTTACCCTCCATGTCTCTTAACCACTTGCAGTTTTCATGTCCTTTGTCGCCCCGTGCTGTAATCTGAACAGTATCTTCAGATCTTCTAGTTCTCTTCTACACTATCTAATATGCTAATCTATTCACTGAGTTTTAAATTTCACCTGTTATATTTTAAACTTATATTTGATTATTTTTCAAGTATGCCTTGTTGTTTTTGACGGTCACTTTTTGGTTGCTTATTTTTCCTTTTAAATATTATTTTGTTAAGCATTAACTTATTTTATAATTCTGTATCTGATGATTTTCCAGTATCTGAAGTCAGTATCCGAAGTGTGAGCGTGGGAGGATGGGGTAACCTAAACCTGCTACTTACAGTTTGTGCTGAATCTCTTCTATGGTGGCTTTTTCCATGCAGATGCATGTGTGTGTGGTAGTTTTTGTTTATAAGCTCATCATATGTTGACATAAATCTATGGAAATCCCGAGTACCTCCATTTTCCTGTTTCTGCTAGTGGCTATGGGGAGCTAACAACTCCAAGGTGCTTTCTAGGATCCTGAAGTCTCAGCTTTGGCTTCCTCATCTGGCAGTGGGCATAAGGGTTTCATGTTGGCATTTGACCCTACAGCAATTTTGACTTCACTACTCCCAACACTCCAGTCTGAATAGGTTCATTTAAGTTAATTAATGGGTGTGAGGGTATTGAGATTTCCCTTATTTCTTGCAAGCTTGTCAATGCATTAAAAAAGGAGGCTTATTCAAATTTAAAGAGGATCTACTTATATTACAGTGATAAGGCACTTCAGAATAATTGGTTTGCCATACAAAAGGAAATGGAATTCTTACACATTTTTGCTCCCAAGGAATTTTCCTTACTTTGAGTAAGGCCGACTATGTATTTAAAAGGATTTGTTTCAATATTTTATTTACTAAGCATTTTGGGGTGTTGTACAGTAGGAGGATTTTCAGATAACGTACCATGCCACATGCTAAAAATTTCATAAGGCCTATTTTGTCTCAAACATGTTGTTAAACTGTATCTTTCCTGTTTTACACCTATGTAGTTTTTCCATACCTACCTGCAGGATCTTGCATTTGTCTGTATAAAATTTTATCTTGTCAGATTTGGAGAACTGTTCCAGTATAATTTAGACATCTTTCTAGCTCTTATCAAATAATCTACCCCCTCTGTCTATGACCAGCATGTTAGACTTCTATTCCAGCAGTTTTTTATATGAGTTTCCTTTGCGATTACAGATTAAAGGATAATTCCTTTGAGATTAAAGGAAAGAATATTCCTTGGGGGGCAGCCCCCGCCCGGCCGCCACCCCGTCTGGGAGGTGGGGGGCGCCTCTGCCCAGCTGCCCCGTCTGGGAAGTGAAGAGCCCCTCTGCCCGGCCGCCACCCCGTCTGGGAGGTGTACCCAACAGCTCATTGAGAACGGGCCATGATGACGATGGCAGTTTTGTCGAATAGAAAAGGGGGAAATGTGGGGAAAATAAAGAGAGATCAGATTGTTACTGTGTCTGTGTAGAAAGAAGTAGACATAGGAGACTCCATTTTGTTCTGTACTAAGAAAAATTATACTGCCTTGGGATGCTGTTAATCTATAACCTTACCCCCATCCCCGTGCTCTCTGAAACATGTGCTGTGTCCACTAAGGGTTAAATGGATTAAGGGCGGTGCAAGATGTGCTTTGTTAAACAGATGCTTGAAGGCAGCATACTTGTTAAGAGTCATCACCACTCCCTAATCTCAAGTACCCGGAGACACAAACAATGCGGAAGGCGGAAGGCGGCAGGGCCTAGGAAAACCGGAGACCTTTGTTCACATGTTTATCTGCTGACCTTCCTTCCATTATTGTCCTATAACCCTGCCAAATCCCCCTCTCCGAGAAACATCCAAGAATGATCAATAAATACTAAAAAAATTAAAAGAATATTCCTTATTTTTAAATTTTATTTTATTATTATTTCTGAGATGGCGTCTCACTCTGTCGCCCAGGCTGGAGTACAGTGGTGTGGTCTCAGCTCACTGCAGCCTCCGCCTCCTGGGTTCAAGTGATTCTCCAGTCTCAGCCTCCCGAGTAGCTGGGATTACAGATGTGCACCACCACGCCTGGCTAATTTTGTACTTTTAGTAGACATGGGGTTTCACCACGTTGGCCAGGCTGGTCTCGAACTCCTGACCTCAGGTGATCTGCCCGCCTAGGCCTCCCAAAGTGCTGGGATTACAGGGCCACCGCGTTTGACCCTTATTTTTTATTTTTGATGGCATGTGGAATATATAACTCATGGGAGGTATTCAATAAATGCATACTGAATGAATGTCCTTACCTAAGTTACTGATACAGGAAAAGCTCATGGTCAGAGTCCTGGGCCCTAAACCTTGTTCCTAGCTGTCAGTGATTCACTGATTACCACTCTTGGGTATGGCCATTCAACTAGTTACTCAATGATTCAACGAATATTTGAGACTATATTAAATTTTACATTTTAGTCAATTACCTCATGTATATGAGGGTATTCAGAGAGATTTTATCAAACGTTTTGTTGAACTCCAGATACATTTTTGTCTATAACATTTCCCTTTTCTCCAAACATTATTAGCTTGTCTTAAATCCTTCATGAAGCTTTTCTGAATATTCAGATCATACTACTCTCTCCGGCACAACTTTGAATTCAGCAATATACTTTTTAAATACTTTAACCATATGCTGCCTTTTTCTCTTTGTTTAATAAGATTATAACTTATCTTCCCATGATATTCCACAATGTTGAACATACAGCAAGCAGTCAATAAATAAATGCTTAATAGTAGGATGTCTTTCAAATGTGTGAGATATTTGGGTGAGAAAACAAGAATTCTCACCTTAGCCCTACCCTCACTAGTGGGAAAATAGGAGGGAAGAAACAGGATTCTGTATTTACTCTCAAGGGAAGGAAATAAGGAATGTTTTACGCGTTTAACAAAATGACTCACCCTTTAATACTATCAAAATCTGGTTTTATATCCTTAAATCTAAATTTCTTCAAATAAATTATGGCAAGAAACACTTGTGAGAAAAATGTGTTCAGTTATAGTAATCCAAAGAATAAAAGGGGCTATACATTTCTCAGATGATGTGAATTAGAATATTTTAAAACATGCTGTCAATCACCATAGCATCCTAACACTACAGTCCCAAATATTTTATTTAATTCATGACACTCAAAAGGAACTGCCATAAAATATCAAGTTCTTAATTCTTGACAAGCCAGGGAAAGCCGTATTGTGTGCCAATTCCTTAAAAATCCAAGAAGTCATTTTCGTCTTTCTAAAAAATTAACCCGAGAGTGCTGGATATAACAGCTAGTGAGAATATATGAAGTTCTCCAGTTCATAGGTTCCCAAAATGTGGTCCATGGGCTCCTGGGGGTTACTGAAACTTAGGAGGTCTGTAAGAGCTAAGCTATTTTCATAGCAATACCAAGACATTATTTATACACTTTGCTGTACTGACATTTGCACAAACTGTGCACCAAAGGTACAAAGGCAATGGTGGATAAAACGGCTGGTACTTTAGCACAAACTAAGGCAGTAGCATCAAAGTGCACTGGGAGCCATTATATTCTTCACTGCCACACACTCATTTAAAACAAAACAAAACAAAAACCCAGCTAGTTTAAAGTAAGACTGCCCTTCATAAAGAAGCAAAAAAATTATTTTTACTAAATCTCAACTTGAGGACACATCTTGTGACATTGTCTTCCATGTGACAATATGGGAAGCATAAATAAATACTGCTGCATACCAAAGGGTTTTCATGTAAGAGTAAGGAAAGTTCAGATATGGTTTCAGATTCCACACTGCAATTAACCTTTACAAAACTATCACTTGTTGAAGAAGTATTGAAGAATACCCACAATTATCTAAAAGGCTATTGAAATACTCCTCCCCTTTCAAACTACGTTATCTATGTGAGGCTGGATTTTTATCACACACTTCAACCAAAACAACGTATCATAAATAGTCTGAATGCAGAAGTAACTATGAGAATCCAGCTGTACTCCAATAAGACACATATTAAAGAAATTCACAAAAAATTATAAAACAATGCTACCTTACTAAAATTTTGTGCTTTGGCTTGAAAAAGCTTCTCACAATAATGTCTAAAATGGGTTTAAGATGGTTATTTTAAATGAATCACATATTCTAAAAATTGTTTTAATTTCTACAGCAAATATTTTAGCTGTAAGCCACATAAAAGCTCTTTGAGGTCCTTGAAAATATTAAGAGTGTAAAAAGACCCTAAGACCAAAAAAGTTGAGAACTGCTGCTACAAATGATGAAAAGCTTCCCCTGAGAGTCCTGCACCACTTTAAACACAGTAGGACTTACAAAAGATCTAATTTATCTTATTTACCAAGAAATACTTAGGAAAACTATTTGCTACCTTTGTATCTTCTCCAGTATTGCAATGTATGACCAATGGAATTATTATAAGGATATACATAACACCCTCCCCTCCCTGATGTTAAGTAACCATTACCGACTTTTATAGGAATCACTTCCTTGCCATTTTCTTTTTATGGTTTTAGCATCTATGTGTGCTTCTTTAGACATCACAGTTTATTTATTTTGTCCATCAGAAAAAAAAATTGGCAGCCTAGGCAACATCCTGAGACCCCAACTCAACAACAACAACGAAAATTTAAAAAATTCACTACTGGTGGCATGCGCCAGTAGTCCCAGCTAGTACTTGGAAGGCTGAGGCGGGAGGATCGCTTAAGCCTAGAAAATAGAGTCTGTGAAAAACAAACAAACAAACGAAAATACCTTTTAGGTCTCTTTTAATCCATAGGTTTCTCCAGCATCCCTCCCATTTCCTTATATAATTGGCCTTCTGTATCTGTGGGTTCTGTACTAATGGACTCAACCAACCATGGATTGAAAATATTTGGAAAACAAAATTTTGTCTGTCTGTACTGAACATGTATACACTGTTTTTCTTGTCATTATTCCCGAAACAATACAGTATAACAACTATTTATATAGCATTTACATTGTATTAGCTAGTACAAGTAATCTAGAGATGATTTAAAGTATATGAGTCTGAGTGCAGTGGCTCCTGCCTGTAATCCCAGCACTTTGGAAGGCCAAGGCGAGAGGGTTGCTTGACCCCAGGAGTTTGAGACCAGCCTGGGTAACAGGGCCAGACCCCATCTCTAAAAAAAAAATTTTCTTAACTAGTCAGGTGGCACCCGCCTGTAGTTTCACCTTCTAGGGAGACCGAGGTAGGAGGATTGCCTGAGTCCAGGGAGCGGGGTTGTGGCGTGGTCAAGGCAGCAGTGAGCCATGATTGTGCCACTGCACTCCAGCCTGCAAGACAGAGCAAGACCTCATCTCAAAGGGAAGAAAAAAAAAAAAAGCATATAGGAGGATACGCTTGTTATATGCAAATACTAATCCATTTTCTATCAGGGACTTGAGTATCCTCAGATTTAGATATATGGGGGAGGTCTGGAACCAATCCCCCACAGACACCAAGGCATGACTGTAATTTACCTACTGAAGAACTCAGGCTGTTTGACCTAGAGTTCCCTAGGTTTAGGTTGTGCTGATTACATATGCTTGGTATAATTCGGCATGTACCTCTGTTTGGGGTATTTCCTGAAAACTACAGATGCATCCAGAGATTGGATCAGACTGAGGTTCTACCCCGCCTATGGCAAGATTACATACAGGAAGTGTTTTTGGCAAGACTATACAGGACGATGAAAATGCCTGACCACTGGCCAGGCACGGTGGCTCATGCCTGTAGTCCCAGCACTTTGGGAGGCCAAGGCAGGTGGATCACCTGAGGTCAGGAGTTCGAGACCAGCCTGGCCAACATGGAGAAACCCCATCTCTACTAAAAATACAAAAATTAGGCGGGTGTGGTGGCATGCACCTGTAATTCCAGCTACTGGGAGGCTAAGACAGGATAATTGCTTGAACACAGGAGATGGAGGTTGCAGTGAGCCGAGATCACACCACCGCACTCCAGCCTGGGTGACACAGTGAGACTCCGGCTCAAAAAAAAAAAAAGCCTAACTATGTATCTTTTTGTAATCCCGGGAGCCACTGTTGCTTACTACCCATACTACCCACATCTCTCCACTCAGTGGGGACTATAAAATGGTGATACTTTAATTCTATCATTTCTTTTTCAGTTATTAATCAGAATACACTTAACATTTTATTACTCATCTACTATTTAGTTATCTATTGGTTTAGCTCACAAAGAAATAGGCAGGGTAAATATTTGATTCTTTTCCTATATCAATTTTCAAGATAATGAATTGGTATTGGTATTCTACCATCTTCTGAAGGTGGTGTTATTTTTACCATTACTTTTAAAATATCATTAAGAACTCAGGGATTCAAACATATTTGATCAATCTCTCTGCCAAATTTTCAAACAGCACATTCTGGCTACTAAGGACTAGATTTAGCTATTTAGATTTAGGAGTGTGAAGATCAACTTCACATTTGAAAAGGTACATTTCCATCAGCAAAGGTATTTCAGTTCTGAAAAGGCTAATAACTCAGTAGTTCTTAAAAACATGACAGAATTCAGGGAGATTACAAAATATAATGTTCTTAACACATATGCAAAGAAAATAAATAAAATTTAAAAGACTACTAAATGTTTGCTAATTACATTTGAAAATATTCTTCAATGAATTCTCCTTGGTTTTCAGAATAAAACTAAATCTCATTAGCTTAGCTCAGAAAGCATGTTATGATTTGGTCTCTTCAGTCTCATTTCTTGCCACTCTGTCACTTATCCTCTGATCTTTTTAGGTAGTATAAAAAAGAGTTGTCCATTTTGGAGATACTGTTTTCCTGATATGTTTAAAAATTTATCCATAAAAATCTAGAGACAGCTCATATTACAAGTATTCTACAAGAATCTGACTCAATTAACGTTGGCATAAAAAAGTCATTACTTGGTTGTTGGAAGTAACTGCCCTAAAGCAACTTTAAAAATCCAAAACAGACCTGGGGCGGTGGCTCACACCTGTAATCCCAGCACTTTGGGAGGCTGAGGCAGACGGATCACCTGAGGTTGGGAGTTTGAGACCAACTTGACCAACATGGAGAAACTCCCGTCTCTACTAAAAATACAAAATTAGCTGGGCATGGTGGCACATGCCTGTAATCCGGCTACTCGGGAGGCTGAGGCAGCAGAATCGCTTTAACCTGGGAGAAGGAACTTGTAGTGAGCTAAGATCGCAGCACTGCACTTCAGCCTCAGCAAGAAGAGCGAAACTCCATCTCAAAAAAAAAAAAAGAAAAGAAAAAGAAATCCAAAACCAAATTATTGCTTGAAAACAATGGGTATATTCCATAGGCAAAGCGTACACCTATTTTTTAGAAAGAATATGTAAAGAACAAAATAAGAATAGAAGAGCTAAAAACTAAATTATTTCATTTTATTATCAACTTGAAATTTCCAAAGGGGAGTATATTTCATGTATCCAGTGAAAAAAATAATGTAAATAAAATCTTGTTGTTACCAAATGAGATATGAATAAGACTTTCCCAAAAAGATAATTTTCAGACAGAAGGGCAATTATTCTAAACATTTAAAAGTATAATAAGAGATTTAAAATGCCCAGGCTCCTCATTCTCATTAAACAGCACACATAAAAACTCAAGAATCATAAATAACGTTTCTCAATCTGGGATCTTGAGATAGTCTCAGTGCTCCATGAGTTCTCTATGACATTTTTTTTTTAATGATGTATTTTCATTCTTATGACTGTTAAAAAGTTAATATAAGGGTATTCGGAATCATCTGGCTGATCACCTTCATATCTAGTACTGCATCATGTTTGGTTTTCACATTCCTGTTTAGGGGTGTACTAGTGTCAAGTAGTTATAATTTAATCGTTGAGGACTAAATAAAAAGGAGCAGAGGTGAACCTAATATGTAAATGACGCATCCTACCAAGTGAAAGCGAAATTACATTATCAGTGAGTTTCTCAGTGCCTTGAATGCAGAAAAATGGTGAGAAAATTGAGTCATCACATGGCATACCAGCAGTCCTGATATAATGAACTAAAAAAGAACTTACAGTGACTACTTATCGGGTATAGGGTTTCTTTTTGGAGTGATGAAAATGTTGTGAATTACACAGATAGTGCTAATGGATGTACAATATTGTTAATGTACTGGAAGCCAATGAATTCCATAACTTTCAAATTTTAAGTTTTATGTTATGTAAATGTTAACAAAAATATAAAAGAAAAGAAAGTATGGTATACCAGTCAGTATTACAGACATTATCATCTAACATATTAAATATATGTTGCTAATTTGAATGTAACTGGTTCTGTGGTTTGTTTTAAATCTGTAAATCTGTTTATAGTTGCACAAGAAGACAACCCTGAGGAATTTACATCTATTTTTACTATTGTTAATATCTGTTACATTAAAATCAAAATAATTTAAATCAATACCAGAGGGCTTGTGAGACACCAACAGCTATTTAAAAGGGGGTTATATATGCAGAAAGTTTGAAAAAAAATTGATATGAAAGGCTCATAAATATTATCTATATCTTATTTCTCTGAAGCTTTAGTAATAAAAGTTTAATGAAAGTGGGAGTTTAATGCAAAATTTGTATCTACTTTATAAATTACTCCAAAACCTTTGAAGATTCTCATTTACGTAACATTCCTACTTGCAAAAACTGATGATCAATTTGAACATAATATCTGCTTAACAAATATATATTCCTTTTATAAAAGAGGAACAAAGATACCAAGAATCGGGTACTGATTTCCTTGTTGGTCCAGGGTACTTTAATTTCTGCTTGATCCTCTACAATTAAACAGGGTTACCAATAAATAACTTCTGATGATTTCAGTGAACCTTTTAATAATTGATGAACTAACTCCAAAAAGAAATACCTTCCCTGGGTTGACAAATGGCAGCTGTTGTAGATGGGGACACTGCAGTGACAGAAGCAGTGATGGGAACAGAGGGAAACAGCCATGAGCTACTTCAGAATCCTAGGAAACTAGACAAGCACAGTCGGAAAAGTACACTAAACTCAGCTCCTGTGGAGTCTGCCAGCAAAACATCAATTAAAAGTCCTTCCTATTACATGCGTACTAAGAGGTTTAATCTTCTTGGTAACTATTACCGTAAGACATTAAAAGTGCTTCAGCCTGAAACATAACAGATCAAGATGTTTTAAAAAGCAAACAGTTTAATGACTGAACTCAACTGTGTTTTGGAAATACATTTAACACATCCAAATAAGACTGATTCATTTATTCGACTAATATGAATTTGTGTATGCTCTATGGTGGTCATATCTACCATTGATTATATAAATTACTCGTTAATCTAAACACTTTCTAGCCATGCCAAAAATTCCACAAGATAAGCAGTTTTGAAACTTTTAACCTCTTATTGTGCTATGCATTAAAAATAAGGTATAATTTTGGAACTAACAGATTAGTCAAAGTCTGAGTCCGTTAAGAGTGATCTAAAGGTTGATGGCAGAGTGAGTTTTTATCTTGCTAAGGCCAGTATGTAACACCAAGGCACTCAGGCCAGTACTGCGTCGCCTAGTTAACCACTCAACAATGCTTCCCCCTCAACTCTCATTTCACCCGCAAAACCACCCTATATGAAGTAAATATTATTCCTCTTTTTCAAATGAAAAAAGAAGAGAAAAACCCCCAGAAAATTCTACCTATAAAGGAGTGAGTGTTTCACACTGGCCACTAATAGGATTACATGATAAAAAAATTCCAGTTTGGGAACTGCCCAGTTAACCAAAGTAAAATCATTTTTAAACAGAAGAACTCCTAAGAGTCTTTAGTATGCTAATATACACCAAAAATGTCTAAGAGAAAGATACAATACATAGTTTCCAACTTTTAAGATCAAATAATCCTTATTGTGGGCAACAGGTGATAGACCAATGAGCCAAAAAAATACTTAGGAAATTCTGCTTTTGTGGCTTCACGAAATTTGAAGAGTCATCAAAATTGGGAGATTAATCTTTTGAGACTATCTTTAGAGTATGTATCATTTAATACATATAGTAACATTGGTGAAAATAAGCATCAAACATTCTTCACAGGGCAGAAATCTAGTGACATGGATACTGGGCAAGACTGCAGACTATGAGATTCAAATTACATCTATGAAACAAAAGGGCAAAAATTGTTCTGTTGATTGACTGCATCTTCTGGACACAGAGACAGAGGCCATGGTAGAAGGAATAATTATCAGTGATCCACAAATGGCTGCTAATCGGAATGACTTGAGGGTGCTGATCTTAAAAAAAATTAACATGCCACAATGAAACCCTGATTCAGTAGGTTCAAGAGTGGTCCCAGGCAATTTTAGCAGAGGTAGGGTTAGCAGACATTAAAAGACTGGAAACTAAAGGAATTTACACTTAGCAAATTGTCTGATAGGTGGTAAGAGCTCAATAAATACTGTTGTTATTTTATGCCCAGTCGATCTTTCCTGTAGCAATTGGGGCAAAAAAGGGTTCTACAAGGTTGTTTTGGAGAGAAATACTCCACAAAAAGGTTTTGAGAAAAGAAAACCCCAAGGGACAGAATAGTGGCAACTACCAAAAAATGAGGAAAGCTGATTGAGTTTGTGGGATTTGCAGACGAGACAGAGAGAGAGAGATTGAGAGAGAGAGAAAGATATCTTGCCCATACCACCCCTCACGTGGACTCTGCATGGGCATGAGAAGGGCCATGGATTTAATTAGTAGGAAGCCCAACACCATTTTATATATAAGAAAACTAAAGCTCTTAAGGTTATTTAACCTTCTACTACACTACTACACCACTACTAAATGGATTAAAATTTAGATCTTGCTTCAAAATTCAATGCTTCCTCCAAATTCGGTCTAATAAAACAAATTCGTCTTAAAGTCCTATCTATGAGAAAAAAGCAAAAGGTCAAGCTAGTCAGTGAAAACTAATGCACACACCAAATATATGAGTTAAGACTATCTGTATTTAATGGAAAGGAGGGAGTACTGGAAAGATACCTGAACATCAAGCTTAAAACTAGAATTTTAATCCTGACTCTCACTATTTGTAGGACTTTAGGCAAAATGTCCAAATTAATTTCCAATTAGTTTGTTCACCTGAAAGAAGCCTGCACCTTGATATAAAAATAAAAAGAAATAATGCATTTGAAAACTCTGTGTAAACTTGGTTGAGACTTTTGGTTCCAGCAATATGGCAAACTAGTTAGCATGGAAACTTCCTGCCACAAACATCTACAGCTGCTATTTAAATATAAAAGTCCTTTTAGATGCCTGGCTGTACTAATCATAGAGTAGTCAAAATCAATTAGGGCCCAAACCTAATAGAACTAAAACCCAGAGCAGTAAGCATGAAAGCTCCTTTGTGACTGTCCTGATGCAAATGGGAAGTGTGGTTTTTGGTCTTGGTAATGCCTACATACAATGCAAATGTCCTTACTTTAGTTTATCATTTCTTATGACCTAATTCCAACAAACAGCCCAAATGAAAACATATGAAGTTTTTTCTTCATTAATCACACAGATGTCACAACCTGCTTTGTGGTGTACTTTCACTTTTTTGCTATTACAATCCACCTTGCGTGAGTCCCTGCAACTGAAAATCATAGTCAAGATGTTTACACAAGGCTTCACTCCATGCTTTTTCCTAATTTATGGAATTAGCATTTTAATAAATCACCCAAATCTCTGGAAATCTGGCTTGAATGCCTGCATAGCAATCCATCATATTCTAGTTCTTGCTAATCTCTTGAGCCCCACTGCCTCCTTAGCTCCCCAAGCTTCAGTTGGGATGTCTCCTTACAGTTCATCCACGTCTTTGTCTCCTCAGGAACTTTCAACATGTCATTTCTTTTTGTCTGGTACACTGTCCCCTTCTTTCAGTGAATACTGTCACCCCAAAATAAAAATATCAGTTCTCTATCTTAAAATATTTCTTTTTTTTTTTTGAGACGGAGTTTCGCTCTTGTTGCCCAGGCTGGAGTGCAGTGGCGCAATCTCGGCTCACCGTAACCTCTGCCTCCCAGGTTCAAGTGATTCTCCTGCCTCAGCCTCCCAAGTAGCTGGGATTACAGGCATGCGCCACCACGCCCGGCTAATTTTGTATTTTTAGTAGAGACAGGGTTTCTCCATGTTGGTCAGGCTAGTCTCAAACTCCCGACCTCAGGTGATCCGCCCACCTCGGCCTCCCAAAGTGCTGGGATTACAGGCATGAGCCACCGCACCCAAAGTACTGGGATTACAGGCATGAGCCACCGCACCTGGCCAAAATATTTCATTACAACACTTTTCTTCACAGCACTCATTGCAATTTATAAATATATATTTATTGGTATAATTTACTGAGTATCTATAAGAACTACGAAAGCAAGGACATGCCTATTTTGTTCTCTGCTTTATCTCTACTATGTAGCACAGTATTTGCCCTGGAACAATGTACAACTGAAAAAAACATTTTCTCGTTTAAACCTTAAGCATGTTTACTTGTACATTTTCTTTCATTATGCTAACAACATAACAAAATTAAGATTTTAATGGCTGGAAAAGTTAAAATTCATACATTATCTCTAACAAACAATATACAGTTAGCTACCCTCTAAAAAAAGGGGGTATAAATTCTTTTTACTGCATAATCACACTCTAAGATTTTTTCCTAGCTTAAAAACGATGTGATTCTAGTATCACCTCATTAACCTGATAACAGTTACTATTCTGAATACCATGGACACACAGTAAAATTTCTGCATTCACAAATGAAACATAAATATTCAGCTATGGGCAAACAAAAGGGGTAGACCTGGTAGAGAAATGTTAACTGGTTTAACAATGCTTTCTTAATAGACTCACCATATAAATAAAATATAATATAAAAAATGTTACAGTGTTAATAGAATCATGCTGTCTCTGTTTAAAAACAAGAGTCAGGGTAATATTTCAATGCTAAACAGACTTGTACATGTACTCAGGAAACTAATGATATATATAGCCTTGAGGCCTAAAATTAGAGAAATTTTCAAACTGTATTATATTATCTATTAAATAACAGTAACAACAATAACACTGTAAAATCCAGCAAAAGGAGGGGCCGGGCGCAGTGGCTCACGCCTGTAATCCCAGCACTTTGGGAGGCCGAGGCAGGCAGATCACGAGGTCAGGAGATCAAGACCATCCTGGCTAACATGGTGAAACCCCATCTCTACTAAAAAGAGAAAAAATTAGCCGGGTGTGGTGGCACATGCCTGTAGTCCCAGCTACTCAGGAGGCTGAGACAGGAGAATCACTTGAACCCAGGAGGTGGAGGTTGCAGTGAGCCAAGATCGCGCCACTGTACTCCAGCCTGGGCGACAGAGCAAGACTCCATCTCAAAAAAAAAAAAAAAAAAAAAATCCAGCAAAAGGAGAAGTAAATTTCCATCATGTTCTAAAACCTTAGAATGTGATATATGCCTATAATCCCGGCAGTAAAATACTACCATATACCACATGCCAATGAATATTTCCTTGCCCGTAGAAACACACCTTTGATTCTCTAACAAAGGTCAATGTGAATATTAAATATTAAACAGAGGTCAATGTGAATATTAAATATACATTACAGCCAACTTTCCTTGAATGCTCCCATTCTGTATGTTATTTACTCATGTATACACCTCTATATCACAGGTATAAACAATGAATAGCCTACAGTTGACGACTAGCCGCTAGACTATATTAACATTTAGCATCCCCCCTGGCCTACTGACCTGTGGTCCAATTGTCATCTAAACATTTAAACGTTAGAAATAATAAAAGAAGAGATAAGAAATAAAGGCATAAAGGAAGAAGACAGACAGTTTTAACTTGCATAAAAATTCAAAAGAAAGCTTTTTGGCCCTCCTTATCCCTTTTCGCATGAGAAAACCCAAAACACCACGTGTACTTCTTTAGAAGATTCGGCAAGAAAGAAGCATAAGAAACTCGAAACAGAACATTAAAGGGAAGAAAGATAAAAGCAATCACAATACTTAATCCTGGAACCCTTTATTTTGATTTACAGAAGCAAAGAATTCAGGGTTTCATATTTACCCTCTGACAAACAAAAAAGTAAAAAAGAATATTAAGTAAATGTTTCTTAAGAAGTTTTGACGTACACGCCCCACAGATTGCTAGTTTTCTCATTCTCTGGAATTCTAAATCATTTTTCCCTTAATAGTTTTGTAAAATATCAATTTGCTTTTCAAGTTTATACTGCTGTATGATCTATAGAAAATGCTTTTTATTAATCAAGTCAGCAAATAAGGAAGACCAGGCAAACAGCATATTTAAAAGAAGCTTCTGGCCAGGCGTGGTGGCTCACGCCTGCAATCTCAGCACTTTGGGAGGCGTGCGGATCACCTGAGGTCAGGAGTTCGAGACCAGCCTGGCCAACACGGTGAAACTCCGTCTCTACTAAAAATACAAGAATTACCTGGGCGTGGTGGTGGGTGCTTGTAATCTCAACTACTAAGGGAGGCTGAGGCAGGAAAATCGCTTGAACCCAGGAGGCGGAGGTTGCAATGAGCCAAGACCGCGCCACTGCACTCCAACCTAGGCAACAAGAGCAAGACTTCGTCTCAAAATAAATAAATAAAGTAATCTTCTAGCAGAATAGAAGATTTTAAAAAAGAAGCCTTTTCTAGATACCCTTGAAACAACAGTTGATAGAGGATAGAGAATGAATCTGGTTTTCTAATAGTTAAAACATGGGATGGAGAGACAAAACAGACCAAGAGTAGTTAAGGTAGAATTGATAGAAACCTTTAAGGGGTATTGGCAGCCAGAGCAGTCAACAATTCATGATTTATTCAAACTCCTGAGACTATGACCTCTTCTTTCTTGCATTAAATGCATGCCAATAAATTAAATGCATGCCTATTTCATTGCTGGTTGTAAAAAACATTTTACTCTTGTCAGTGGTAACAGAATCTGAGGCTGTTCCAGCAAACAAAACAGAATAAAATACCAGTGTTTCACTCAAGTCTTGCGGTTGCTGTAAGTTAATAAGAAATAAGGTAGGCATGGGCCAGGTACGGTGGCTCACGACTGTAATCCCACCAATTTGGGAGGCTGAGGTCAAGAGTTCGAGACCAGCCTGACCAACATGGTGAAACCCCACCTCCACTAAAAAGACAAAAATTAACTGCGTGTGGTGGCAGGCGCTTGCAGTCCCAGCTACTTGGGAGGCTGAGGCAGGAGAATCACTTGAACCTGGGAGGCGGAGGTTGCAGTGAGCCAAGACTGCGCCATTGCACTCCAGCCTGGTCAACAGAGCGAGACTCTGTCTAAAAAAAAAAAAAGAGAGAGAGAAATAAGATAGGCATGGGGTGGGCACAGTGGCTCATGGCTGTAATCCCAGCACTTTGGGAAGCAGAGGTGGGCAGATCACTTGAGGTCAGGAGTTCAAGACTAGCCTGGCCAACATGATGAAACCCTGTCTCTACCAAAAAATACAACAATTAGCTGGGCATGGTGGTGCGTGCCTGTAGTCCCAGCCTCACTTGGGAGGCTGAGGTGGGAGAATTGCTTGAACCCAGAAGGCAGAGGTTGCAGTGAGCTGAGATCGGAGATCGCAACACTGCACTCTAGCTTGGGCAACAGTATCTGACATCTGAGATATTTACAACATCTAAAGGCTATTGAAATGGAATTTCACTATGAAAAAAATGTGGGTTCTAATTCAACTTGATAACAGATAATCAACTTCCTATAACATTGTTGCAGTAATTATTCAGTTACTCTACTTAAAAACCTTCAACCACACACCTACGGTACAATTATTATGCTACAACAGGCACTTCATGTCCTGGTCTCTTCCTACCATTACATTGATTTCCTCCACAGAAGCCATATTTGCTTTCCTGGAATGTTAAGTGAACATACATATAGCTTTATCTATGGTATTCTGCTTGGTGTGCTCTTATCAATCTGGAGGACACCAGGCCTTTTCAGATCTGGCTTAATTATTCACCACTTTAAGAGGCTTTCCTGGATCTCCAAGGGAGGACTGACCCTTACGTCTTATGTTCTATGCATAGATGTGTCCTATCACCGATCTCACTCTATAACCCTTATTGGCATACATTTCTAGCTATTCAGGTCCTTGAGCAAGGACACTGTATTTTATTCACATTTATATTCCCATTGCCTAACAATCTGGCACACAGTACATGATCAAACAATACCAGCCAAATGAGGGAATGTTTACTGATGTGTGTATCTCACCAAATAACCAGAAGGATAATACCATTCTAAACAATACTATTCTGTTAAATAGGTGAACATTTAGGGTGTACATAAAATACATTTGGTCAATTAGAGAATGTGACAAAAACCATGTTTGAAACCAGAAATGGCAGAAGTTGTTTTAAAACATATCCTTCTGGGTGCCTCTAAAACATCCACTCATTACACATTTCCTCCACCTTCTCAGTGTTAGCTGGTGCATTTAGATTCCTACTTCAGCAAAACATTTATTTCTAGGATGGATTAGGGAGATATTGACATGAGTGATGAATCACCAAAAACTTACAAACATCTCTATGTTAAGAACAAAATAATTCATAATTACATAATATTTTTGCCAAAGAGAATGACTATGTAATCACAGATTTACTGACTTCCACTTCACTCTTTAGAGTCAGTTATGCCTGCCCCTTATCGCAGTCACACAAAACAGTTTACAGTGGGAAAAAAAAAACCCTTTAAATTCAATCTTAAAATAGGCTATCTTAGCCATTTCAACTTAGAATATTTCTGAATTATTTTCAAAACTCATGCTATTATGAAAAACTTTATGGTAAATAATACTTTAAAATTAGAAGCTGAAGAGAACTACGATTGCTAGTGAATCAGGACTTAGCACCAGGAAAAAGTGATTTCATGGTTTACTATCTCCCTTCATATTCTCCATCTCATCTGTAAAACAGTTACAACTATATGGGAATTTTAGAAGGTTTGTTCTTTGCAAAATGCTTTGGCAGATGATAAGTTAACACTTGTTTTTTTCCCCTTAAAACACTATTTCCTATCAGTAAAATTCTGAATTTCTTTTATGAGTTAACTGCTTCCTCTCATCACTTGGCCAAGAGAACAGGACATACATGGATAACAAAATATATCCATTTGCATTCACACACATCTGAGAGGACGAGGATCTAGCTTATTTTTATCGACATCCAGGAAAGCAATCCTATAACCTATGTTCCACTTTGCTTCTAATCCCTTTGGTTCAGCGGCAAGTTTATTCTAGAGTAGCACTGTCCAATAGAAATTTCCATGAGAGTGGAAATATTTTATATCTGCACTATGCAATATGGTAGCTATTAGCCTCATGTGGCTACTGAGCACTTGAAATGTGGTTGGTACAACTGAAGAACTTGATGCAGTTCCTGTCAAACTGGGCTTGGGTTAGAAACATACTGGGCTGGTACGTCCTCCACCCAAAAGTCAGGCAATAGATTTGAAGGGACACATCACCAAAGAAGATCTACCAGAAGTCTGCAAATGTTTTCTCTAAAGGGCCAGAAAGTAAATATTTTAGGCCAAAATGTCTGTCAAGACTATTCAGCTCTGCCACTGTGGTACAAAAATAGCCATACGGGATACATAGATGAATGCATGTTCCAATAAAACTTATTTACGAACAGTGAAATCAGAATTTCATATAATTATCATGCAACATGGAGTATTATTCTTTTAGATGTTTTCAACCATTTAAAATGTAAAAGCTATTCTCAGGGTGCAGGCCATACAAAAACAGGCTGTCAGGCCAAAACACCAGCCTGGTTTGCAAGCCTGAGATATACAAATGTCAGTAAGCACATGAAGAGATACTCAACATGTTAGTCATCAAAGAAGTACAAACTAAAAACACAAGATCCTACTAGAAAGGCAAAAAGAATGACAATACTAAATGTTGGCGAAGTTATGAAATAACTCGAGGTACAGTCATTTTGGAAAATTGACAGTTTCTTTAAAAATGTAAACATACACAATAAGACTCAGCCATCCTACTCCCAGGTACTCAAGAGAAATAAAAATGTACATCCATACAGAGACTGGTATATGAATATTCACAGCATCTTTATTCACAATGACTAAAAACTGGGAACAACCTGAATGTCTCCCAAAGAGTGAATGGATACATCCAATGTGATATATTCATACAACGGAATACTTGGCAACAATGAAAAGTAACCAAGCACTCCTACTATGCAACAATGAGAATCAATCTCAGAGTTACTATGCTGAGTGAAAGAAGTCAGAAAACAAGAGTATACAGTAAGTCCATTATATAAAATTCCAGAAAATGCAAACTAATTTATAGTGACAGAAAGCAGAACAGGGTTGTGTGGGTCTGAGAGCTGAGGGAGGAACAGACTGCAAAGAGGAAATGTTCCATATTTTGATCCCGGAGTCACAGGTGTATGTATCTGTCAATTTGTACACTTTAAATGGATGCAGTTTACTGTACGAATAAAATTTTAGTAAAAAGGAAAGATTTTATTCCACTGGCAACAGATTTACACAACAGTAATCTCTATGAACCAAATATCCACTTTTGTGAGTGCTGTTTACATTTGAGGGGACGGGTATGGGAGGAATAGATAAGAAGTTGGGTCAGCCAGGTGCGGTGGCTCACGCCTGTAATCCCAGCACTTTGGGAGGCCGAGACAGGAGGATCACCTGAGGTCGGGAGCTCAAGACCAGTCGGACCAACATGGAGAAACTCCGTCTCTACTAAAAATACAAAATTAGCTGGGCGTGGTGGTGCATGCCTGTAATCCCAGCTACTTGGGAGGCTGAGGCAGGAGAACTGCTTGAACCCGGGAGGCAGAGGTTGCCGTGAGCCGAGATTGCGCCACTGCACTCCAGCCTGGGCAACAAGAGCAAAACTCCATCTTAAGAAAAAAAAAAAAAAAAAAAAAGGTTGGTTTTTTTTAAGTCTCACCCTATCAATGCTATCAATGTTAACACGAAATGTGCCTTTGGGAACCTCTAGGGTACATTAACAGTAACCTAAACCAAACAGCTCTGAATGGACAGGTTTTAGGAATTCTGTGAAATTAAAACTTCTTGCTCACAACATTCTGCTCTCCCTGTATGGAGTGTGGCTAACTGTAGAATTCCAAGAACTAGTAAATAATCCTTTACATTACAACAAATTTTCATTTGTAACACCTGTGGGATAATGTCCTTATTTTATTTGAATTTAATTTAAATTAATTAATTAATTTTTTTTAAAAGACTTGGGGTCTTGCTATGTTACCCAGGCTGGACTTGAACTCCTGTACCCAAGTGATCCTCCCAGCTTAGCCTCCCCCCCAGTAGCTGGGACTACAAGCATGTGTGCCCCTGCCTGGCCTGTCCTTAAATACTCCCTGTTGCTCAGGTTCAATTCACCTAAAAACAATTTAATTTGGTTTTATGAAGGCCTGAAGAAAGTTGCTCAGTTCTGGAACATTATCAGTTCAAAATATTAAGACTAAGGAAAACAAGGTCACATTTTCCAGTAAGTTTTATTTAATCTTTAAAATTCTTGGGTATGCCCCAGGCTAGTTTTTGACAAGACCTCGCAGGGATCCTTAGATGGGTCAATGACAAGCTGAAGACAAAAATATCACCTACTAACACGAACATTACATTCTAAATAATTTGTGGCTATATATTGGGCAAAATTTAGATTTTTTTTCAACTGAGATGTATAGATTTTATCAATACATCAACAGATGTATTGATATGTGAAATATACATCAGGTTTCCCAGATCTTTTTCAGAGCAAACTTTATGTTTCAAGTTCTTACAGTTAAGTTAAATTTCATGACTAATTTTAGACAACGTCTTTTTGGAAGACAGAAGTAAAGCACTGAAGTTCAGGAGTTAGCAGAGGTGAATGAGGTTAAAAAAAAAACAAGCTTTGAAATAATTTTTGCCAAACTCATGACATATGCTTTCAAAACTTTGCAAACAATTTTAAATAGAATTGGAAAAAATCCTAAGAAAACCCTTCATTTCCCTTTTCTAGCCTTAAATACACCCCTTTAAACCATAAATTGACTCAAACTTTAGGGCAAATGTCTAGCAAAACTCTCAGTTCTTTCTGAGACTGCACATTGTAAATATCATAATTTCTTATCATGCAAAGTACCAATGAGATCAGCATGTGTCCAACTCAAGTTCATATATTTAAAAGCTAAAAGGCCACTACAGTTATAAGATTACAATTTCCTGAAGTAGTACAAGGGATATTTTAATAATCTGCTTGTTTTCAGAGGAACATTGTTTTCCAGAGGAAAATATTTTGATTTTTTTTTTCATCTAACTAATGTTTTTCTAAGAGAGGTTTAAAACCCAGGGGCTTTTAAGTGAGAATCATTTCTCAGCCTACCGGCATCAACATTTGACTAATAATGTTAATTTCTTGTCCCATAAGAAATATCTTTCACTGCTTATTGTCCAACTAAGAGACCTCTTTCGTTACTGTTTGGGGCATAAGAGAGCTCAATTTGTGAGAAGTGCTACAGATGACTAGATCTTACAGAAAAAAACTCTGGGAGTTTAAGAAATTAGGCGTAAAGAAGAGGAAGATATATTTAAGATAGATAAAATGGAAATGTTGGTTTGAGCATAAATATTTTAAGGAATTTTACAAACATGTACATATGAATTGAGAACACGGTGCTATATTGGGGAGAGAATACAAGGATGACAACTGGAAATCCCATCCAGAATGCTTGAAGTACAAGGGACTTCACAGATCACTTAATCCAGGCTCAGAGACCAAACGAGTTTCCCAATTAAATGGCATAACACTATAAAAGGCTTAGCATGGTGCCTGGCATATAACAGACACTCAGTTAATACTGGTATCCCCCTTTCCCTATGACCAACCAAGTCACACTCCAGTAAGTCTTACAATAACCACCACCATGAACATCATCTAAATCTTCCAACAGCGAGTTCTCCAGTCTTCCAGGGATACCAGGTCTTTTAATCAGCTTATTTCAAGGAAAATTCTATTACTATTATCTCTATACCGATGTTACATTGCTGCGGTGAGCATTAAATGATATCAATTAATGCTAGCATGAAGTTTCCAATTCTGCCTTCTCTTAAATACATCCTTCCCATTTTATGGCAGTAGGAGTGTGTGTGTGTCCTTGTGTGCATGCACACATGTGCGAAGGGGTGAACAGCCATTGAAGCAAATATCAGAAATACTTAGGATCTAGGTTTTTTACAACTCTCTCCCTCCCCCAAGATTTTGATATGCCTCCTGGGTACCAATCCCATTCCATTGAGAATTTCCTAGTAATGAGTCACTATAAATGTTAGGAATGAATGTATTCCAGACATGTATTGGAATGGGGGAAAAGATAACGGGGTAGTGACTGCCCCCCATTCAGGGACATGTCGACAAAACCAGTCTCACTACAAATTCACAACTCAATGACCAGGCTTGTTGTGATGCTCAATTCAATGTAAGGCCCTGGAAGTAGAATATCACATCTTGTATTTCCTTCTATGTGTCTGCACAGTAACAAAAATGGGATATTAGTAGATGCTTAAGTGGTCACCATTAATCATCCTCAAGAATTTATTTCAATATTTAAAAATTCAGCTTGCATGTAACTCTCCAGGAACATTTATCGTGGTCCTGAACTTGCTTTTCAAATAAGTCAAAAGAGAAATACTTGTAAATCAGTTTCTCAATAAAATGTTGTGAGCATTTTCATCTAAAAAGAAACATATATTTAAACTCTAGTTATCAAGGTTCATGAATGGCCTAAAATTGTGGGTAAAATTTTGTGTAGGCACACTCTCCCCACCCCCACCAGAGAGCAGTAACATAGCTTCCATCATATTATGAAATAAATCCCCCCAAAGCTGTATAATCACTGCTCTGTACTGCTTCTCCCCCTGGCTTTGAAGCTAAAACTCTCAGGTTACTCAGCTTGAGTTCTAAAAGCAGATTTAAAAATAAAATGACAGGATAGTAGTTAGTGGGGTGGGGGGGGGAGGGGGGCTACAGGTAGCTGTTGAGATGGTATCAGGGGACTTCTGGGGCACCGATAATACTGACTTGATTTGGGTGCTGGTTAGTAAGGAGTATTCACTTTGTGAAAATTCATCAAGCTGAACACATATGATTTCTGTACCTGTCTGCAGGTATATATTTCAATAAAAAGTTTTTGAAAAAAATAACAAAGATGGGTCACTTATACACAGCATATATCATTACAGAATTTAATGAAGTCCTTAAAAATGATGCACTAGGAGAGGCCCATTGGTAAAGAACTGCAGCCTCCAGACAACAGCCAGTGAGGAACTGAGGCCTGACCAGGCCCGCTGTGTGTAAACCTAAAGAAAATTCTCTATCCTCAAGTCAAGCCCTGAGATTGACTGCAGCCCGGAGCCCCAGCTGAGAGTTTGACTGCAAATGAGACCCTGAACCAAAACCATCTAGTTAAGCCACTCCCAGATTCCTAACCCTGAGAAAATGTGAGATAATGTTAGGTGTTTTAAAAAGATGCAGTTTCAAAACACTATCTTCCTTGCACATACTGAAGTGGGCAAAGTAGCCTCAGTAGTTGTACCTACAGAGAGACATTAGCTTATTGGTTTAAACTGGCAACTTTCCCACCTCGAAAGGCTGTGGTACAATATTGCTTTCAAAACCCAACCAAGAAAAAAGAAAATACAGCTGGTGGTTATGAACATCAATTTCTGGGTCAAATGGAAGCTAATTTCTCTGTAAGATATAGAACAGGGATCTTCCTGATACTTCTTTCTATACCTTCATCTAAATTAGAGATTCTTCCATCACTGTACTGTATTTTGTTTTTTCTGTGTTAAGTGTTTGAATGATCCCACACGTATATATACATCCCTTAATTTTTCTCAAGGCTTCTCAGGAAATATACTAAAGTCAGAGTAATCAAGTAAATATATAGATATATATGTTTTAAATACAGACATTTCCAGTGTGGTGTTGAATAGGAGTAAAATAATGAAATAAAATACACACATATTATTTGTATAAACCCACGAAAGAGGTATAATCAGGGTGGGAGTGGGTGATGGGATATAGTTATTGCTTATCACCCAACACAGATGTAGCATGTTTTGAAATCAATGTATTCTTTCTTGTATCTACGTGTGTGCTCCTGAAGCCTGCCAAAAGAGCATCAGAATTGGATATTTCAGCAGTCTGGCTCCAGTGTCTTTCTCATTCTGAATCCTCTGAAGTGCCCAGCACAGAAAGGGCCTTGCACACACTAAGCATTCTGGTATTAGTCGAACTGGAAAAAAGTTAGAAAAGTTATGTTTTTTCCATTTAAAATTCTCAAAAGTTGTACGGAACTCCCTTTTCAAAATGGACTACCCATAGCACTTATCATTTCCTTGCATATTGTTAAAAGCTGAAAAAACAACCATCACTTTTGCTATAATCAGGCCGACTTTTTGCACCCTGCTAAAATTTAACCTGACAAGTTGTAATGATTCTTCACAACTCCCTGGAGTTACACTGGTAGTCAATATTTAATTACTGTGCCTGGAATTTAAAACAAACTATGACTACTTTGCAAATAGTACATTCTCCTAGTACAGTCATAATGCAAAGCCCAGTAAATAATAAGACCCAACACAACAACGTAGTAATTCCAGCAAAATCCTGGAATCAGTCTTCATTTCCATTATTTATGGTAAAACTAATATAATTCATATTAAATAGCATATTCGATATATAAATCATATTCTTTCCTTCCTTTTCCTCTCGAGCTCCTGAACACCAGCTAGCACTATTAAAACTAACATCTGATCCTTCTTAATCTTCTTCATCACCACTGTTCACTGAGCGTTGTCTTCATCTCTTTGCGATAACTTACCAGCTTTAGATATGTTAAAAAAAACATGAAAGGAAGGGCAACTAAACATAATTAAACACACATAAGTAAGTTTGATTTTTTTCTCCCACGCAAAGCTTTGTAACCACCCTGCCTTCAGGGTGAAAGTTAGATAAGGTTATCTAAGACCAAGAGTAAGAAACCCATCACATCGAGGAGCTGCTTAAGGGCACACTTCTACAGACACTTGCCTGTAACATCAACAGAGCTAAAGGGCAATCCAAATATTATAATTTTCCCATTACTAAAGTTTTATAGCACTTAAAATCGTCCATAAAATACATATCCTTAGAAGAGAGATATCCAAGACATCAGCCTGAGAGAACCCGAGAATCATATGACACTCAGCCTCAATTATGAAAAAACTGCTCACCCTGGTGGTTCAGAAAAGCACTAGATAACATAATGACTCGACTATTTAGTTCAACAAATGCAACTCTCCAATAATCAGTCATGAATCTGTAGCAGACACCTTTATAAACTTCACGTTTGATTAGTGTTATAAGAAAAATATCCCCGCCACCCTCCCCTCAATGCATTGCAGACTGTCTTTAATGAATCCTTTATTTACTCATTATACCTAGGGAAGCGTGTATCTTTTTCATAAGAAGGTTTTCTGCCACAATAAAGTACCACCTTAACATCTGTGAGTGCCCAATACTATTAACACTTAGTGGTCTGACAAAGAAAAGCAGTATGTCCCATTCTCTCTAAAGGGAAAAAAATTCACTCACAAACTTACCCCGTTGATATGAAGACCACTAAGCACTAATTTAGACCAACAGATTGCAGCTCTTAAAAGTAAATAAAGGGTACCAATAAAACACTGATCAACATGCTCCCCTTTGTTTTGAAAAGTTAATAAATTCTTACTTCCGTAGATTTTTGAGTGGTGAGTGGGAGAACAACATCTTACTAAAAATAAGACAGACCTTCGTTGGAGCGACAAATGCTGTGAAGATTGCTTTGATGCATCCTGACTTTCACAGGAATGACAACCTTTATGCTTCGAAAATGTGGGAGATCACATTAAGAGATATTTCTTTACGGGAAACAGCAAATAGCACGATGTATATTCATAAAAGTACTGACTCCCTCTGCATTCCGAAGCATGGTTCACAAAGGCTATCTATTCAAAGCCTGTTCTAGAATGCTCATAGACATCCCCCCAACCCCCAGTAAGGAAGCGCACTGGACCCAAACTCCAAAGACTTTGGGACACTTAGACTTACCTTAACCAAATCTCATTATCATTCTTGTGCTTTGGTTTTTGTTCCTTTAAATGACAGAAGTAATTCCTGCCTGAGTCTTGTAAGATCCAAGAATTTTTAAAAATCACATAAAATATTTCATGCTTCTTAGAAATGACTGCTATAAAACGCAAGGTGCTATACTATTATTATTATCATTATTATCATCTCCTTGTATCAACTTTTACTGTCACTTCTGAATTAAGCCAAGGTACTGGCTTTGAAACACAAATCCCGTGGTTTTCCACCTGTGATTACGTTTCTTGCTATAATTCTGTCCTGACAACTTGTCCCGCACACTCCGAAGATCTACTTTACTGATCTCTGGCCTGAAAATTAAGTCTTTTATTTAGTCCCTTCTCTCCAAAGAAAGGGGCAGAAGTCACACCACTCCAGATTCTTGTAGACGTATTAAGAATGAGATCATTCTTCTTACTTGAGGAATGATGCCACAGAATATAAAGGCGACACTTCTTGCCCTCTAATCTTTCCTTGCCACAACACAAAACCTGTGCACTTGGTTACCTAGAAAATTGGAAGGTTCCCCACAATGGATGTGCATCAATAACTGTCATAAAAATATCAGATCTCTGGCACAGACAGGAAAAACTTTATCTAGTTTGCAAGAAATTAAACCCTGCAGTCCTCCATCTGCTACTGGGTTTGGTATGGGCTGTCCCTTTCTAGGGCCTGTGCCTGTCTTTGAGGAGAGTGGCCTGGCCCCACAGCACGCTAGGAGCAGCTCTTGAGCCGGATCAAGACCCTCCCGAGCAACGTCTGCACCCAACCCTGCATCTCTCATTTCAGACACACCCCCCTCCACCCCGTGTTTCATAGGAGGTGTGGGCGCTCAACTCCTTCACTGTGGCTAGGGGGACGCGAGGGGAGGCGGGCCGAGGCCTGAGCACCCATTTTGGAAGACCGGGGAGCTCGGCCCTCCGGGCTGTACGATTTGGAGTGTCGGAGGGAAGGGCGCATCCGTGGGAGGGGGAAGGAGGCCGGGGTTGCTGGGGGGTCTCTCGTATTCCGGGGCGTGAGAGGAAGGCGGCGGGAAAGACTCCGGAGAGCGAGGTTTATCAGCGCGAGGTTTCCTTTTTGTTATCTGCTGAGGGATGGCGGGCGTCATGGGGGCGTCCCCCTCAGTAAAGTCAGCAAGGGGGTCCCCCTCGCTTCACCGGGGGGCGGGCGGGGGGGCCCGAGGACTTGACGGAGGCCTCCCCCGGGGACGAAGACAGTGACTGACGAACGTTGTGGGCTGCGCGCGCCGGGATGCCCGTTCCTGTCCCTGCAGCCCCGCGCGCGAGGTGTGGGACCGGGTGGGAGGGGACGGAGAAGGCCCCCGGCCCGGGAGGCGGGAAAGGCCCCGGGGCTCCGGGACGGGCGGCGGCTCCAGAGCCCCGAGTGGCGGCGGCGCGGGCCTGCCGAGTCCCGAGCCGGCTGGCGCCCTGTGGGCCGTGTGCACCCCCGACTCCACTCGCCGCTCTTCGTGGTCGCCCCCTCCCCCCCGCGGCTCCTCTCACCTGCACATGATCCGCCATTTTGCTCCATTCATGCTCCTCTCCGGCCCCCCCTCCCCCCCAGCGCGCACCTCGGCCGGAGCCGCTGCCGCCGCCGCCGCCGACGCCGTCGCCGCTGCGCCTGCGCGCTGGGGACTCGTCGCGCTGCGCTCGTGGCGTAGCGCCGCTCAGCTGCGCAGGCCCCGGCGGCCCGGGCCGTGGTTGGAGAATGCGCAGCACCGCTGGGACGGCGTAAAGGCGCGGGCAACGTCAGCGGCCCGGAGACGCCGGGTGGGAGGAAGGAGCGGGCCGGGGGAGCGCGAAGGAGGGGCAGCTGGGGGAACAAAGCTTTGTTTACATGGTTTTTAAAGGGGCCGCGCTCGCTCCGGCAGGCGGGCGCTGGAGTGGGAGTTGGCGCTGCCTTCTGCTCGTTTGCGTGGTGAGGGCTCCTGGATGGGGGCCGAGGTCTGTCGCCGCCCCGGGACCCCTGCACCCAGTGGCTTCCTCTCTTCCCAACCGTCTTCCCCCTTGACTCGCCCCTGGACGTCTCCCACCCCCACCCCCACCCCACCCTGCAGCTACGGGGACCCCCCACACCCCACCTAGGCTGCCTGCGAGATTCCTTACTTTCCAATGCCCTCTACTCAACGGGGGCCGATTCTGTGCTTGTGTCTGTCTAGCTTTCTGGACCAGGGCCATCGCTCTCTGGTCTGGATTTCACCAGCAACCCCAGTGGTTGATCTCGTGTTTTTCATTTCTGTCCTTTCGTCCTTGATAAACATTCATGGAAATAACCACCGAATGGTGGTGATGATCAAAACATACGAAGGCACAGTTCTGGCTTCCCAAAGACATTGTCCTCGTTGCCAATACTCTAGACTGCCTCCCGAGAGGGTCAGATGCTGGAAGAGGCAGCGGGGCTGGTGGTTAGGACCCCTAGGCTCGGTCTTGTGGAGGTATGAGTGGGAAAGCCATCTCTCTGGGTCAGATAAGGTCAGCCCCTGCATGCTGAGGCCAATTCCAGTCTTCCTCACTAGGAATTATCTGTTAGATAATGCCGGTTCCTGTTTTCCATTGGATTCCACTGTGGCTTCCTTTTAAGGCCCCCAGGTTAGATCATAGCTGGATTCTGAGAGCACTGATTGTTTGAAGTTTGTATTTACAGGGGACTACCATCATATGCAAATGATGGTGGTAGTGAATTACACACCCTTGGTGGATGTAGTGGACCGGTGCTCAGCATTCATTTCGACTTCCGTCCTCCTAGTAGGTCTTCCTGGTTTGCAGAGGTAGGGCACCTGGAAACTACATTACCCAAACTTCCTTGCAGCTAGGGTTCTGTATGCAAATTAGGCTCTGCCAATTAGGCTGACTCAGAGAAGATTTAAGAGGCAGAAGATTTAAGTGGCAGAGCTTTTGACTGTTAACTTCTAGCGAGCATAGACCTTTTCAGATGTTGGGTTTTTGTTTTTCCCCAAAACCTCCCAGCGTCCAATCATTAGCTCCGAGCGTATAAAGAGGCGGGGTGATGGGGTCAGTGGCTTTCTGAACCTGGCATCGGGCAATGAAATATTCTCAGAGTCACAATTGCAATGGAAATTCTTTGGATTCCCTACTGGACTGAATAGAGGTAACAGTTTCACAGTGGGCCAGGCCCAAATTTCTGTCCACCCTCCCTTCCCCCACCCCCGCACCCCAACCTCCCCGTGTTTCTCCCTGTGTCTTCCCTTCCTCAGTAAATGGTACCACCATTCATCCAGTTGCTCCTAATAAACACTCAGGAGTTGGTTCTTCAAGTCTTATCAGTCCCCAACATGCAAGTCACCTGCAAGTCCTGTTCAATCTATATCTAATATATACCCAATATGACCACTTCTCCATCCATCTCCACTGTTAACACCTTGGTCCAAGCCACCATTACCTTTCTCCTGTGCTCTGGTAATAGATTCCTAATTAGTTTCCCTGCTTCCTGTCTTGCCCCTTGATAACCCATTTTCCATATAGCTGGACGCTGCAGAACATTATTTTATTTATTTGTTATTTTTTGAGACAGAGTCTTGCTCTGTTGCCGAGGCTGGAGTGCAATGGCGCCATCTCTGCTCACTGCAACCTCCGCCTCCCTGGTTCAAGCGATTCTCTTGCCTTAGCCTCCCAAGTAGCTGAGATTACATGCGCCCACCACCATACCTGGCTAATTTTTGGATTTTTAGTAGAGACAGGGTTTCACCACGTTGGCCAAGCTGGTCTGGAACTGCTGACCTCAGGTTATCCACTCGCCTCTGCCTCCCAAAGTGCTGGGATTACAGGTGTGAGCCACTGCGCCTGGCCAGAACATTCCTTTAAAATCATAATTCAGATAATTTACACTCCTACTTAAAATCCTTAAGTGGCCTCATGTTGCATTTAGAATTCGAATCTTTGCTGTGGCTCAAGAGGTCGTATGAGCTGACCTCACTCTACCATGCCCCCTCTGGCTCAATGCTCTGTGGTCATTCTGGCCTTGCAGTTCTGCAAAGCCAGGATCTCCTGCCTCAGGGCCTTTGCACTTGCAGTAACTTCTGCCTGGATTGGTTTCCCTTCAGATCGTGAAATGGCTGGCTCACTCTCCTCATGGACTTTTCAGCTCACTTGTCACCTCTCAGAGAGCCTTTTCTCACCACCCTCTTGAAAGTTGTCCCCTGTGCCTATCACTATCACAGCATTGATCACTGTCCAAAACTACATATTATTACTCTTTCATTATCAGTCCCTCCAACTAAAAGCAGACATAGTATAAACAAGGATTCTGTCTATGTTGTATCCCTAGTACCTCTGCACAGAGTAGATGCTCAGTAAATAATTGTTGAGGCGGGGCATGGTGGCTCACACCTTTAATCCCAGCACTTTGGGAGGCTGAGGGGGGTGGATCACCTGAGGTCAGGAGTTTGAGAGCAGCCTGGCCAACATGGTGAAACCCCGTCTATACTAAAAATACAAAAAATTAGCCAGGCATGGTGGTGTGCGCCTGTAATCCCAGCTACTCAGGAGGCTGAGGCAGGAGAATGGCTGGAACCCAGGAGACGGAGGTTGCAGTGAGCCGAGATCGTGCCACTGCATTACAGCCTGGACAACAGAGTAAGACTCCATCTCAAAAAATAAATAAAAATAAATTTAAAAAACTGTTGAATGTATTAACTTCTTTATGTCTCATTCTAGGGTGCATGTGGGTTTCATATGAAGACATAAAGCATTCTAAATATTATGTCACTGTTAGGTAACATGTTATGTTATGTTATGTTATGTTATGTTATGTTATGTTATGTTATGTTATGTTATAGGCCCTTCCTCTCAGCGGGTTTCTAGAACTGGGTTCTCTCTTTCCTTAGTACTGAGAAAAGTGATAGACTTAATGGAGAAAGGGTGGGGGGCTACAAATGAAGCTCAAGAGACTGGCATTGTCCCCCTCCCACACCCCACAGTCAGGGACCACTGGGGGTGGAAGGGGCAGGGATGGGGTCCTTCAGAATACACGCTCACTAATTCTTTCGCTCAGTCCTTCACCCGTCTCAGGCCCACATCAGTTCTCTGCCTATCCTATACGTACTTACCTGTTGTGTGCCCAGAACTACCCCTTAGCTAGCTTCCCTACCTGCACATCATTTGAGGGTTACCTAATCCCCAAGCCGGCCCAAGGAGTCAGACACAGTCTCCTCTCCTCCTTCCTTTGTTGCCCCAAAGACAAGGTCCCAGCCCTCTTATGTTAGGATTGGGTTGCTAATCACTGCAGCAGAATAGTAATGAAAATTTCTTGGAGCTGTGGTTCCTGACTCCTGCTGAGAGAAACTGTTGTAAGGGACAGGATCCCAGTGGCTTAGAATGAGCCACAGGTGGGGTTTGGAGTGCCTTTTCCTTTCCCGTAAAAACAAAGACAAGCCAAGAGGCACCCTCAACTCCTTTACAGTGCTTTTTCTACACATCATTGGTGCCTGTGGACCCTAAGGGCTTCTCATTCTGTGCGCTTCTGCTGTGTCTTGGAGCAATGTCTCTGGGCTCCTGTTTACAGGGTTTCCCCATGGCTAGGCAGAAGGTACTGGGGTTAGTGCTTCTACATCAGGGTCGCCACAAATCCTGCTAGGGACAGTTGAAGGGGCCTAGAAGGACTGCAAGGGTGTTGCTCTTGGTATATACTCTGCTGCCCTATCTTCTGCAGTCAACGGCTACCGGAGAACTCCTCCAGCTTCCATAAGCAAGGGATGACAAGGGAGTGTCTGGATTGCCTGGGGTTCAGGCCTCCGGGTTTAAACAACTTTCAAGTAATCTGGTAAACTTGGGTGCCCCCCTGTGGTTCTGAGTGGAATGTGTCCATTTTGCCTTCAGGGAAGGCGATCAGGTTAGCAGGGGACATCCTCTGTCACCTTGCTACTCAGTGTGCTTTGACCCACCCACCACCGGCAGCATCTCAGGGCTCATTCCAGACCTACTTTATTGGAGTCTACTTTGAACAAGATCTACATGTTACAGTTTGGAAGGCACTGCTCTGGCAGCCCCTAAGATGGCCATAAAGCCCTCCTCTTCTCACTCCCTGCACCAAAGACCATGCAGCTCCCAGGCAGAGTTGACTCTCCTTAGGGACTAAAGAGGAAGATTAGGTCACATCCCATTTCCATACCCCTAACCACTTCCCAAGGTGTGCTTTTCCCAAAACAGTATGCTTGGTTCTCCCTTGAGCTTTGGATCAACCTCTTCAAACCCAGGCATCACGGCTGAGGGCAGTGAGTTTGAAGTGACTCATCCTTGTCCTCACAGAGCTCATGACATTCATTTTTTTCAAGCTTATTTGGTCCAGTCCATGGCATGTACAGCAGAAGGCCTAAGCTGTGCACGGTGCTGCTCGCTCCTTGCCACGGTAACTGAACCCCTGTTGTAGAGGAAATGGGCCTGTTTATATAAGCACCTGTTATGGGATTAACCCCAAGAGTGTTGGTCTGAGTCTCAGTTTTTTCCAACCCTTCTGCACTGTGCCTCCATACAGATTGCTTCTCTAAACCATCTGGCTTTAAGTTAAACTTCTCTGAGCAGCTTGGATTTCCCCACAGCAATGGATCTTTTTGCATGGATCTGGATTCCATTTAGGGGCCCTGCAAAATGTTGAATTAAAGATCAGGAGCCCTGGTCTCTACTTCTTCCTCTGCCCCCAACTACCTCTGTGACCTCAGGCAAGTTGCAAATAAGTGTGTTCATACCTGCCCTGCCTTTGTCAAAGGATGGCGTGGCTGATGAAAAGTGTGTGCCTAGAAGCTTTGCGAGCTACGAAGCACTTTCGGTAACTCTGAACCATTTTCAAAATGTATATGAAAGTGATTGCTATTGAAACTTAAGATAATTTGCAGATGAAACCTAAGCATCTTTCTAATGCTCAGGAATGCTTGCAAGAAGGCAAAAATCCAACAGTTGAGATGTACTTGGGGAGTCAGTCCCTTCTCCAGAGGGGATGATCATCTTTCTAGAATCTTTACAGGGTTGGTGTGAGTGTGTGTTGTTGGCAGACAGGGAGTGCTCGCATGTAGTTAAACGGTTGCCTCTCTCTCTCTCTCTCTCTCTGTGTGTGTGTGTTTGTGAAACTGGTATCTGGTTAGGCCCACATGAGCTGTCTTATGTGTCTCTCTGTGCAGTGCCGTGTGTGTCATTCAGCTGTTAAGCGTTGAGAGACCTGGGTTCTGGTTTGGTGACCTTGAATAAATCCCTCAGACTTTCCAAGCCTGTTTCCTTATTTGTAACTTAGTGGTTTGTCCCTTCCAACTTGCGTACAGCTTGGAGGGGGGGGCCTTCACTACTGATTTCACTGTCTAGTTTGGTTTCTGGGTCTCTGTTCCAGTGGGCCAGCCACTCTTTGCTGGCGCCTCCCTGTGCCAACTTCTGTACCTGAATTGTTGCTCACTGAAGAGCTGGCATTTAGCTTTTTGGAAATTGTCTCTAACTCACTGGAAATGCAGGAAGCTTGAGTATAAAACTCACTCAGAAAAAAAAAAAAAAAAGAAAAAAAAGAACACACACTCAGAAGAAACCGCAGGGCCTATCAGCCTGTCGTCATCGAGCAGACTAGAATAGTATAGAAAACCCTAGGCAGAGAGGAAATGAACTTCAGAGAAGGGAAACACACGGCTAAGAAGAGAGAGGCAAGGGCAGGAGTGAAGGAGAGAGCTGAAGCCTGGGGCTCCGAGATGGTCAGAGGATGGGAGACGGGGCAGTGAAACAAGGCTTCTTGTATCTTCAGCAGCAGCAGACGTTTGGAAAGGTAGGAGTGAGGCTGGGCTGGGGTTGGGCAGGGGGCCTGGGAGGCTGCTAGAATTCCTGGGTTGGAGAGGGAGTTTCATATTCAAAACCCTTATAGGTCTGACTGTGCACCCACCAAGTTAGACCCAGAGCTCAACTTTGGGAGGGCTCTTTTCCTACCCGACGCTGTCTCCTGAACCAGGCCCCAACCAGGTCCCAAACTGTGCTCCTTACTGAGGGCTGTTTGCCCTGGGTGGGGGTGGGGGATGTGCTGCTTTCATCTCTTGCCTCTTTTGCTCTCTTGCTCTATGTTGACTTCTTTTCACCGGACACCTTGGAAGGGAATGGAAGGGGCAGCTGGAGGGACAGTTTAGGATGACAATAGAGGTTCCTTCCCAACCCCAGTGGGGTGCATGTGGCTGGTGTTCAGCTTGGGCTGGGGCCTCTGGGGGCCTGGACCCCAGCCGGCTGTCCATCCTCTTTCCCCTTCCCTGGCCTCCTTGAACCAGGAAGTCCTCGTCCCCTAACCAACACTGGGGGGCACACCTGTCTCTCTCTCATGGCCCAACCTATCAAGGAATGAGGCAGCAAGGTTCAGGAGGGTGGAGAGAAGTTCTCCTTCAGGATTTCGCACAGAAGGAGAATGAGGTCTCCAGCCCGGGTCACACGCCGCCCTCCTCACTCCCTCCTCTGGGCCTCGGCCACTGCCCCGCTTTCCTCCCCAGACTGGAGTCCACTGCGGTGGGCCTGTTTGGCCTTCTTGCAGCCTGCTTTGGGCTCATCCCGGCGTTGCTTTCTGCCTGGGCAGTCTCTGCTCTTGCTCGTGGGCCTCCTTCTCGGGGCTGGCGGCTGATCTCCGATTTTCTAATTCCTGCAGTCACTGTCCTCTTCTCTGCCTCCCTGGGTCTCATGTGATCTTCACCTCTCTCTCCCCATCTCCAAGTGGCTGCCCCAGTCCCCCTCCCACGGTTCCTCTTCTCCCCTTGGCTCACGATCTCCCCGTCTCTGGGTGGCTCCCTCCCGCCCCCGCCTCCCACGCCTCTGGCACAGAAATGGCGCCGCTTCGGCGCCTCACTGTATGGAGGGTCGGACTGCGCCTTGGCCCGGCTGGAGCTGCAGGAGGGCCCGGAGAAGCCTCGTCGGTGTGAGGCTGCCCGGAAGGTCATCCGCCTCAGTGACTGCCTGCGGGTGGCCGAGGCCGGCGGAGAGGCCAGCAGCCCCCGGGACACCAGTGCCTTCTTCCTGGAGACCAAGGAGCGCCTGTACCTCCTGGCGGCCCCTGCAGCGGAGCGCGGCGACTGGGTGCAGGCCATCTGCCTCCTGGCCTTCCCCGTGAGTCGCGCGGGGTGCGGAAAGGGCAAGGGGGCGTGCAGGCCGAGGGTGTTAGATACTTCCTGTGGGCAAGTGTTACAGGTGTCAAGGTCAGGGTGATGGGGTGCTTCCTCCATGTGGGGGGACCCGAACCCAGTGTGCAGACAGAGCCAGCAGGTTGAGGTGGCCTGAAAGAAGGCCTGGGCCAGAGGGGGGCCTGGGGATCGGGGAAGGTGATGAGACGGGGCGCCTCCTCCCTAGGGGCAGAGGAAGGAGCTCTCGGGGCCAGAGGGAAAGCAGAGCCGGCCCTGCATGGAGGAAAATGAATTGTACAGCAGCGCAGTCACAGGTGAGGGGGCGGGGGCTGCCCTGCTCTCCCCTGGGGGCTCTCCCCAGGGTGAGGTGGAGAGGAGGTGTGGGCTGGCTAGCTGCTGGCCCCGAGTCTTCCTGCCTTGTGGTTATCCCCAGCCTGGGCCAGCCCCGTTATCAGCCTCTCCTTCTCGCTTCCGGGTGCAGCCCAACGTAGGGAGCCTACCCTGCCTTGAGTCTCTCCCTTGGTTCACCTCATCTTACCTAGGGCCTGCTGGTGGGAGAGGGGAAGGCTGGGGGCCCAGGTGAGGGTGCTGCTTTTTTCTATTTTTGAGACGGAGTTTTGCTCTTGTCGCTCAGGCTGGAGTGCAATGGCACAATCTCGGCTCACTGCAACCGCCGCTTCCCGGGTTCAAGCGATTCTCCTGCCTCAGCCTCCTGAGCAGCTGGGATTACAGGCGTCGGCCACCACGCCTGGCTAATTTTTTGTATTTTTAGTAGAGTCGGGGTTTCACCATGTTGGCCAGGCTGGTCTCAAACTCCTGACATCAGGTGATCCACCTGCCTCAGCCTCCCAAAGTGTTGGGATTACAGGCATGAGCCACTGCGCCTGGCCCCAGGTGTTGCTTTTGAGGAGCTGGTGGAGGGAGGAGAAACTTTCATCTGCCTTCCATCTAAGCTTCACCCCCAGGGCCCCGGCAGTGGGAGGGCAGGGCCAAGGCTTCACCTGCAGCTGTGACCGTAGGGACTAGGGTGGTGGCTGGTTTGGGGTGAGAGATGGGGTGGGGAAGACAAGACTGTGGCTCTGGCGACAGGGGCAGGAAGGATGTGGGCACGAGGTTGGGGTGGATGTGGGTAGGGGCGTGATGCCTACTAGGGTAGGGGGTGGAGGTACCTGGCCTTTTGGGGAGTATGACCTGGCACAGAGCAGCTCAGCCTCCAAGACCCAGGCAGGGGGCCATAAGTGTGTGGATAATACTTTCTAGAAAAGTTCTGGTACGCTCATTTAGAACTGGGCAGTGGTGAGGCAGGCCAGCTGTTTCCCATTAACTGCCTTCGCCTTCTCTCTCTTCTTCTCCCCAGTCGGCCCCCACAAGGAATTTGCTGTGACCATGAGACCTACAGAAGCCAGTGAGAGGTGCCACCTGCGGGGGTCCTATACCCTCCGGGCTGGGGAGAGTGCCCTGGAGCTGTGGGGTGGGCCCGAGCCAGGGACCCAGCTGTACGACTGGCCCTACAGGTTTCTGCGGCGCTTTGGGCGGGACAAGGTGAGTGGGAAGCTGCATCAGGGCAGGTTGAGAGAAAGGATAAGCTACGAACAAAGAGGGGTGAGAAGCAGCGAGGGGATGGGAGAGACCAGGAGAGGGAGATGGAGTGAAGCAAAGAATAGAGTGACAAGATGGCAGAAGTGGAGTAGAAGGAAGGAGAATGAGAAGAGGTGGAGAGACCGTAGAGGGGTAAACAGCGTCTGAACTAGTGCCTAGCTCCATCCTTGAAATGGTGGCAGTGAGCAGGAAGGGCCTGGAGAGGGGAGAGGAGAGAGCCAAGTCTCTGCCTGTAGGGGAAAGCACAGAGGGCAGAGGAGGCTCCAGCAGTTCCCATGAAGGGAAGCTGGAGGTCCCAGGGCTTGGGTTAGGGATGGGGTTTAAGAAAGCATCCCTAGCTGGGCGCGGTGGCTCGTGCCTGTAATCCCAGCACTTTGGGAGGCCGAGGCAGGTGGATCATGAGGTCAAGAGATCGAGACCATCCTGGCCAACATGGTGAAACCCTGTCTCTACAAAAAATACAGAAATTAGCTGGGCGTGGTGGCATGCGCCTGTAGTCCCAGCTACCAGGGAGGCTGAGGCAGGAGAATCGCTTGAACCTGGGAGGCGGAGGTTGCAGTGAGCTGAGATTGTGCCACTGCACTCCAGCCTGGAGACACAGTGAGACTCTGTCTCCAAAAAAAAAAAAAAAAATGCACCCCTGCCCTGTGGCCTGGCCAATAACCTGCTTTCTCCCTGGTCCAGGTAACCTTTTCCTTTGAGGCAGGCCGTCGCTGCGTCTCTGGAGAGGGCAACTTTGAGTTCGAAACCCGGCAAGGCAATGAGATCTTCTTGGCCCTGGAAGAGGCCATCTCTGCCCAGAAGAATGCTGCACCCGCTACACCCCAACCGCAGCCAGCCACAATCCCCGCGTCGCTGCCCCGGCCTGATAGCCCCTACTCTCGGCCGCATGACTCACTGCCGCCGCCTTCACCCACCACACCGGTGCCTGCTCCACGGCCTCGGGGCCAGGAGGGGGAGTATGCCGTGCCCTTCGATGCGGTGGCCCGTTCCTTGGGGAAGAACTTCAGGGGCATCTTGGCAGTCCCTCCTCAGCTCCTGGCCGACCCTCTGTACGACAGCATTGAGGAGACCCTGCCCCCTCGACCTGACCACATATACGATGAGCCCGAGGGAGTGGCTGCCCTGTCCCTCTATGACAGCCCGCAGGAGCCCCGGGGTGAGGCATGGAGGAGGCAGGCGACAGCTGACAGGGACCCTGCTGGCCTCCAGCATGTCCAGCCAGCCGGGCAGGATTTCTCTGCTTCTGGCTGGCAGCCAGGAACTGAGTATGACAATGTTGTACTAAAGAAAGGCCCAAAGTGACAGAGGCAGCAGAGGGATGGTCCACCGCCCCTTGGCTTCTGCTGGTGACTCCTCCTGGCCACTGCATCAGAAGAACCTCCTCTGCCCCTTCTGGAGCCCGAGGCCTGGCCTGTCTTCGTTGGGGCTGATAAATTGCCTCTCCCAGGGCCTGCTGGGTGAGTCACCATCCCAAAGCAGGAAGGGTGCCCTGGAGAGAACCACCCTCCTCCTACTCTTTTTCCACTTCCTCCTCTTTCTTTCCCCAGCTGAGGAGGAACCTGGGGCATTTAGGGCAGAGGACAAAAGGATGTCAGCAATTGCTTGGGCTGCTTGGCTATGCAAGCCTCCTGCCTGCTGATGGCCACTTCAGGGACAGCCTGGGCCCAGGCACCCAGGGGGATGGCGGCAGCTTCCTGCACCTTTCAGATTTCTTGGTGGCATTAAAGCATTTTCAGAACATTTCTGTGTGGCATGAATGCTGTGGGAGTGAAGTCTCCAACTGACCAACCTTGATCACATCCTCTCCCAGCTGCAAGATCCCCCTGGGGCCTAGGCTGAGCCCCAAGCATCTGCTCACAGAGGCCTCTAGAAGTCAGTCAGGGTGCCCTGGGAATAGTGTTCAAGTATGTCTCCCTTTTGCTGGGAGAAGGTCAATGTCAGAAAAATGGTGGGGGAAGCACGGGGGAGCGGGGGGCGAGCCAAAGTGCAAGGAAGGAAATAATTGGATTGATGGAGCCTCTTGTACACCAGGAGTGGGAGTCACCAGGTGTGTGGTCCTGGGCCCTTTCGCTTCCCTGAGATTTCTGCACATCTTCATAAAATGAGGGGGTTGCCCCATGTGGGCAAGGAGGAGCCATCCAGCTCTGTGATTCCCATTGGCTCTGGGTTCCTAGGTCCCCACACACCATTTCCCCACAGGTCAGCCTGTGTCCTTGTGCTTGCTCCTCTTATCAAAACCTGCTTTCCCAGTAGGGTGTGTCCATGGACTTCAGCTATCAACCCAGTCCGCCGACAGCATGGGCACTGTTTGTGGGAGGCTGTAGACTGCATGGCCTGTGAGAGACACACTGCCCAGAAGGGGATGAGATGAAACAAGGCACAGGTGTCTGTCACAGAGTGGGTGTGAGTGCCACAAGGGACCAGACAGGGCCATGAGTGCCAGAGAGGTAACTATTTGTTGGGAGCGCAAGAAAGGCTTCATATCAAAGGTACCATTTAAGGTGGGCATTTACGGGTGGGAAGGAGTTCCATGGAGATAAAGGGGGTGTGAAGGAGCATCTTGGATAGGAATGGGAGTGTAGGTGAAACCACGGGGAGGTACGGATGTGTTGCTTTCGGGACGGAGTTCTACGCTCAGAGTGCGGGTAAGGTGACACAATCTAGTTGGGAAGGCAGATTCTGACTGTATTAAGGGGAATTTGTACCTAATTAGAGGGAAAGGTGGAACGACTAAAGGCTTTTGAACAGGGAGTCCCATAAAAGCTGAGCTTTAGGGCAATAACCCGATAGCCCTGTGGAAGGTGGACTTGGGGTGGGAGGGGGTAGGTTGGGGCTGAATTGAAAAGGGGAAATTCTGCCAGGCACGGTGGCTTACACCTGCAATCCCAGCACTTTGGGAGGCCGAGGAGGGTTGATCATGAGGTCGGGAGTTCAACACCAGCCTGTCCAAGATGGTGAAACCCCATCTGTACTAAAAATACAAAAATTAGCTGGGCATGGTGGTGGGCACATGTAATCCCAGCTACTTGGGAGGCTGAGGCAGGAGAATTGCTTGCAGTGAGCTGAGATTGCACCACTGCACCCTACTGGGTGACAGAGCAGGACTCCGTCTCAAAAAAAAAAAAAAAAGAAAAAGAAAAAGAAAAAGAAAAGGGGAAATTCATCTGGGCACCGTGGCTCACACCTGTGATCCCAGCAACTTGGGAGGCCAAAGTGGGAGGATCACTTGAGCCCAGGAATTCGAAACCAACCTGGGCAACATAGTGATGAGACCGCGTCTCTATAAAAACAAACAAACCAACAAACAAACTTAGCCAGGTGTGGCGGTGCATACTTGTAGTCCCAGCTACTTGGGAGGCTGAGGCTGGAGAATCATTTAGCCTGTGCAACAGAGCAAGACCCTGGCTCAAGAAAAGTGGGAAAGGGAGAAGTTCAGAAAGGACTGGATTCAAAAGATGGTGTAGAGCTAGCACCTGTGGATCTTGGACTCATAGTGGATGTGGAACACAGAGAAAGAGGGTTTCTAGAGAGACTCGGGTTTTTTTTTGTTTGTTTGTTTTTCCTCCTGAGATAGAATCTCACTCTGTCACCTACGCTGGACTGTAGTGGTGTGATCTCGGCTCACTGAAATCTCAGCCTCCCGGGTTCAGCAATTCTCCCACCTCAGCCTCCCGAGTAGCTGGGACTGCAGGCGTGCACCACCACACCCGGCTAATTTTTTGTATTTTTAGTAGATATGGGGTTCCACCATGTTGGCCAGGCTGGTCTCAAACTCCTGACCTCAGGTAATCTGCCCACCTCAGCCTCCCAAAATGCTGGGATTACAGGTGTGAGCCACCACGCCAGGCTAATTTTTGTATTTTTTTTTAGTAGAGACGGGATTTCACCATGTTGGCCAGGCTGGTCTCAAACTCCTGACCTCAAGTGATCTGCCCACCTCGCCTCCTAAAGTGTTGGGATTACAGGCGTGAGCCACCGTGCCCGGCCTGAGACTCAGGATTTGGGAACAAGATGAACTTAGTTTCTGATGCGATGAGATGGAGATGGCTAGTATTGATCCGGCAAGACGAGTCCTGAAGCTGGGTGGGAGAGCTAGCGCTTAGGAGGGAGAGGGGCGTAGACTTAGACATGGACGTTGGCCTCCCAGGTGTGCTGTGACCTCTGTTTCTCCTCTCACCGTGGCCTTTTCCCTTGTTGAAGGAACTTGAGCAATGGATCAGCTGCTTGGAGAGACCCAGTGAGGGGCCTTCCTGTCTGTGTGGAAGGTGCCCCCTGGTACCCTCCCTTTCCAGCCTCTGGATCACTAAAGGCTGGAAGGCCCCACTTCCAAGGATTTTACTCTTCCCCCTCTTCAGGCCAGCAGTGGGAGTTGGGGTTTCTCTTTGGCAAGGTAGCCACGTTTCCGATTTCCTAAGGTGGCATTTGAAGTGGCTGTCCTGGCTTAGCCCGGCAGGGGGCGGTGTTAGCCTGTGGAAAAGGCCACTGGGGGGCTTTGCCACCACCAGCCTTGGGGGCTTGGCCCTGAAGGAAGGCATTTACTACCCGAAGGGCTTGGGGATAATCTGAGGAATCTGCATGTCAGAGCTTGTCCCTTCAGAGCCTCAGAATCCCACTCCCAGATGTGTGGACCCTGCCTTCAAGAAGTTTGGGGTCCTAAGCTGGACATTGCCCTTTCGTCCCCTCTCGCCACTTTCCAGATCTAGGGACTTGGGTTCTTCCATACTAATGCTTTCTGTGCCATGCAAGGGGAAGTGGTTGATTAGGGCCCTTGGGAAAGGTGGGGTGAGGGCTGGAGGGACAGGGGAAGTAGCTTTTGGGGAAGTTGGGAGGGGTAATGAAAGTCCTTAAGACAGTTGTTGAGAAAATGCTGATCATGCCATCAGGGTCGCTCTCAGAAGATTTGATCCAAGGGGTGTGCCACCCTCCAGAGAATGGTGTCAGTGCCACTACAGCCAGCCTCAGCTGCGCCATGGTCATCTGTAATGTGTACCTTCCTTCATTCAACAAATGTCATGGGCCAGGCATGGTGGCTCATGCCTGTAATTTCAGTGCTTTGGGAGGCCGAGGTGGGAGGATTGCCTGAGCCCAGCAGTTTGAGACCAGTCTGGACAACATAGGGAAACTCTATCTCTACAGAAAAATTAAAAATTAGCTGAGTATGGTGGTGCTTGTTTGTAGCCCCAGCTACTTGGGAGGCTGAGGTGGGAATACTGCTTGAGCCCAGGAGGTTGAGGCTGTAGTGAGCTGTGATTGAGCCACTGCACAGCAGCCTGGGGGACAGAGTGAGACCCTATCTCAAAAACAAAAACAACAAAAAAGCAAATGCCCTGGAGCATCTGTCATGGACCAGTCCCGCCTAGGAGCTGGGGAGCAGCACAGACCCATCCCACCCTCGAGGGGCCTACAGTGTGGAGTGGGCAGGCAGATGTTCACTGAACACAGGAATGAAGGAGCTTGCTTGAGGGATCACCCTTCTCAAACAGACACACGGTGGTGAGGGCCTCCTTGGAGGGTTCTTTTCTTTCTTTCTTTTCTTTTTTTTTGAGATGGAGTTTCGCTCTTGTAGCCCAAGCTGGAGTGCAACAGTAAGATCTCGGCTCACTGCAACCTCCACATCCCAGGTTCAAGCAATTCTCCTGCCTCTGCCTCCTGGGTAGCTGGGATTACAGGCACCCGCCACCACACCTGGCTAATTTTTTGTATTTTTAGTAGAGACGGGATTTTACCATGTTGGCCGGGCTGGGCTGGAACTCCTGCCTTCAGGTGATCCACCTGCCTCGGCCTCCCAAAGTGCTGGGATTACAGACGTGAGCCACCACGCCGGGCCTCCTTGGAGGGTTTCTATGCCACCAGGATGCTCAGGGGCAAATTCATATGTAAGGAAACAGCTGCCCTCAAAAGGGGACAGGGCAATGTCACAGCAAGTGATTGATCCACCCAGAAGGGCCTCTTGAAGGCTCCAAGGTCCGAAGTCAGACAGCTGTTGACACCATGAGGTTTGCTGTGACCAGGATTCTTATAAACTGGTTTCATTGCTAGTTATTATGCAGAGGTGACATCGGGGCAGGTAAGGATGGCTGCATGACTGGCATCTAGCATAGAGATGTGCGCACGCAGCACACAACATCATTTTTCCCGTTCCTTTTCTGCTCTGCTTCTCTTGCCTCCCCTTGGATTTTCTTTTTCCAAAGCAGAGAAGTGGGGTGTGTGTGTGTGTGTGTGTGTGTGTGTGTGTGTGTGTTGGCCTGTGGTCCATGGTGTAAGCCTGTGACAGTGGGGGTGGCCAGGCCGCCCCCCACTCCCCACCTCGTGAGTTCTCCCCCTGGAGCTTCAGAATCTACAAAGGCCCAGCTCCTTGGCTCTCTCTGCTCCCGCAGGCTCCTCCCTGACGACTCCAGTCAAGTTTTTGCTGTCACTGCCTTTCATCCGTGATGCTAACCAGCCTCCTGCCTCCTGCCTCGTGGGTGCAGACTCAATTAGCCAAGGTGCCCACAGCCTGCAAGGGCCATTTATAAAACCAGCTGGGGTGGCTGGAGACCTCAGGCAGGACAGGGCTGGGAAGTAAGTGCGGGAGGTCCGTGAGCTGTGAGGAGGAGGGAGAGGAGCCAGAGGAGCTGGGAGGGGGTATCTGATCTGATTAGGCCTCAAGCTGGTTTCCCCATGGCAGGAGGCTGTTCATCATTGCCCTGCTCCCATCTTCAGCTCCCGGGCGGATCCAATGCCGGCCAGCATGGAGCAGAACCCATCAATCTCCAGGCTCTGGCCAGGCCTGCTTCTCTCCTCCTTGCCTCCCTGCCACCTCTGGAACCCTGTGCTTTTTTTTTTTTTTTTTTTTTTTTTTTTTTTTGATGGAGTTTTGCTCTTGTTGTCCAGGCTGGAGTGCAATGGCATGATTTTGACTCACCGCAACCTCTGCCTCCTGGGTTCAAGTGATTCTCCTGCCTCAGCCTCCCGAGTAGCTGGGATTACGGGCATGCACCACCACGCTCGGCTAATTTTGTATTTTTGGTAGAGATGGGGTTTCACCATGTTGGTCAGGCTGATCTCGAACTCCTGACCTCAGGTTGTCCACCCACCTCGGCCTTCCAAAGTGCTGGGATTACAGGCGTGAGCCATCGCGCCCGGCCTGCTTTTTATTTTTTTGAGACAGGGTCTCGCTTTGTCACACAGGCTGGAGTGCAGTGGTGTGATCTCGGCTCACTGCAACTTTGACCTCCGGGGCTCAGGTGATCCTCCTACCTCAGCCTCCCAAGTAGCTGGGGCTACAGGACAGACCTGCCAACCATACTCAGCTATGCACCACACCCAGCTAATTTTTTGTATTTTTTTGTAGCGACGGGGTTTTTCCATGTTGCCCAGGCTGGTCTCAAACTCCTGAGCTCAAGCCATTCACCAGCTTCAGCCTCCCAAAATGCTGGGATTATAGGTGTGAGGCACTATACCTGGTCAGAACCCTCTTCTTGACTCTAGCTCCTGGATCCCTGAGCCAGAGATGGCTGGTCGGGGGCGGAGTAGGGCAACAGACTGGGAAGCACTGGGTTCTGACAGACTTGTGAGGGAGATGGGGTCTCAGTGCTCTGCTAAGTAATTCGGGGACCTGCATCCAGGGCGGGGTTGGCCTTGTGCGTCCAGGTGTTTGATCGGGGAGGGGTGGGTGGGGTGGAGTGAAAGGTGTGCCGGAGGGGGCGCCAGCATTTAGGATGATAAGAATGTTCTTGAGTTTATACAGCGCTTTCTGTTTCCAAACTGCTTTGGGGGCAGTTGAGCGTGGACTGTTAAGCACACAGACCATAGCCTGACTATCTGGGTCCAGATTCTGCTTCTGCAACTTGCTAGCTGTGTCTCTGGGTAGCTGCATCTGTTTCCACATGTGAAAAATGGAGATGATGATAATATGTGTCTTGAAGGCTTGTGGTGAGGATGAAATTGAGTGAATAAATGCCCAGCTCGGAGAAGAGTGCCTGCCACACACAGAGCTCCGGGATTATCCATGATCTCATTTCACCTTCAACAGCTCTGCCAGGTGGGCAAGGCAAGAAATCCCTGTCTTACCAACAAGGCAATGGAGGCATAGAGGAGCAGAGACCTCCTTGTCTTTGGAGGGTGAACTGAGGCTTTGCGGGTGGAAGGACTTGGTTGGGAAGGAGCTAGGCTTTTGATAGGAAAGCACAAAAGCGGAAGAGTATTTCAGGAGAGGTGAAGAGAGCAGCATGAATAGCTTTTCAGCTGCTGGACATGGGGGCTTTAGCGGGGGCAAATTTGCACACCAGGGCAGAGCAATGCTCGAGTGGCCTATTATGCCCAGGAATGGGGGAGCCGGGAAGGGAAGATGCTTCGTAGACTAGAAGACCTTTGGCTTCAGGCAAGGCTGGAGAACAGGCAGCCACAGCGGGGGCTTTCCTCCTTTCATCTGAGCTGCCACATCCATGCACGGTGCAGCAGGTGGCTCATCGGGGTGCAGAGGCAGGTTCCTTGCTGGGCAGAAGTACCTGGTTCATTTGGCAGGGCTCACCAACTGATGTGATCAATGCAGACCCCTGGGGCCGCTGCCCTGCAGCCAGCCAGAGGAGCCCTGGGAACAGTAACAGTTCTGAGAGGAGGAAGCTGGGGAGGGGGTGGGCAGAAAGGAGCCAAGAGAACATTCAGAAGGAGTTTGCCATCTCTCCTACTAGACTGCAAATGTTCAAAGGGCAGGGTTCATACTTTACCCAGTCCATTGTTCTATCCTTGACACTTAACACAATGCCTGGCACTAGGTAGGTACAAATAACTGTTTCTTGATTGGAAAAATAAACGAAGCCCACTTTGCCTTTGAGGAACACAGGTGATCTCCAGTGTGTAATGAGCTGTGGTGCTCTGGAGGACTCTCTCTCCATAAATACACCCCTACAGATGCCAAGAATCCCACCATTTACATTTTGGGAAGAGTGCCTTCCCTCTCCTAGCAGGCTTCTTTTAAAATGCAGATGCCGTGGGGTGAGGCATCACTGGAGTGAATGAGGTCTCCAGGGCCCCCAGAGGGTGAGAATGGTCTAGAGCAGGACCTGCAGTTGGGGCCTGCTTGGTGCTGCATCTCTGATGCACTCTCAGAACCTGGGAGCCAGGCTTGCGGATGGAGGCACAGACAGGGCATGGACACTTTTCCCACCTCTCTCCCTGTTCCTATGTCCTCACCTCGGCCCCCATCCTGCAGTGGCTGGGGCCTTCTGGAAGCCCCAGGGGCTGAGAAACTCCTCATCATGGAGATTTCAAGGAGCATGATGTCTGATCCAGAAAGGTCCTAATAGCACTTCAGCCTGAGGCCTTATTTTTGTACTTATGGAAACTGAGGCCAAGTTGATTTTTAAATCCCTCTCAGGTGTTTTACATTTTATGAGAATTTGTTTATGGTTGTGCTTCAGGGAAAGGACTCAATCACCAAAGTCAAGGCTTCCTGCATCCACAGGGAGATTTTTTTTTTTTTTCCTTTTTCCTTTTTTTTTTTTTGAGGCAGTCTCACTCTGTTGCCCAGAATGGAATGAGGTGGTACAATCTCGGCTCACTGTAATCTCCGCCTCCCAGTTCAAGCAATTCTCCTGCCTTAGCACCCCCAGGTAGCTGGGATTACAGGCATGCACCACCACACCCAGCTAATTTTTGTGTTTTTAGTAGAGAGGGGGTTTTGCCACGTTGGCCAGGCTGGTCTCGAACCCCTGACCTCAGGTGATCCACCCACCTCGGCCTCCCAAAGTGCAGGGATTACAGGTGTGAGCCACCATGCTCAGCCAGTGGGAGATAGTTTTTGATCTTTTATGCAAGTGAGGGAGAGCAAAAGGGAAGGAGATTTCTGATTCCCTGTTCTACCTTCCTGCAAGGGCTACTATCACTGAGTAAGGGTTTCTTCCCCTCCCTAAGATCATCACTGCATGGCTCTGAGCAAATTCATTGGGGAGTGAGTTAATTACAGGCAGCTGAGGCTGAGCTGCTCTTTTCCTGCTGGTTACCTTGCTGCCCATGGTGGAAGGAAAGCTCTGCGGACTTATTCTCTTTCCATCCTCCTCTGATGACTACTCCCCCTATGTTACCATTGACGTTGATCCCTGAGGGGTAGCTTTCCCTAGCAGGCAACTTCAGAGTAAGGTGCAGTGGCCAACTCTGGGCTCCAATTCCTGCTTCCACCTACAAATAAGAACCATTTGGCCCATGAGTATGCACAAGGCCATACAGGCTCAGGGCTGATGGGATGAAGAAGTGAACTGGGATGGGTCTGGTTGAAGGGGAAGGAGTGGACACACAAAAGAACAACCAGAGATGGCGTCTAGGAAAGGAACCAGAGGTTCCATGGTGATGAAGGGTCATCTAGAAATGGCTCGAGGGAGGGCAGCTGGGACAAGATGATCCTGCTGGGTCACAGGGCAAGGAGAAGCCTCAAGAGGTTGCTGGAGTAGTTACTTAAGCCAGGTTCCAGCCCTGCCAAACTGCCTGCAAGACTGATTTGTCTGGCTGGGTGCAATGGCTCATGCCTGTAATCCCAGCACTTTCGGAGGCCAAGGTGGCCAGATCACCTAAGGTCAGGGAGTTCAAGACCAGCCTGGCCAAGATGGTGAAACCCCATCTCTACTAAAAATACAAATTAGCCAGGCGTGGTGGCGCATGCCTGTGATACCAGCTACTCTGGAGGCTGAGGCTGGAGAATCGCTTGAGCCTGGGGAGTGGAGGTTGCAGTGAGCTGAGATCCCACCATTGCACTTCAGCCTGGGTGACAAGAGCAAAACTCCGTCTCAAAAAAAAAAAAAATCGGTTTGTCTGAACCTGGGGATTATGGCTAAGAAGCAATGAGAAAAAATTTGGTTTTCTCAAAGACTGTTGGCTGAAAGAGAATGGGAACTTGGCTAGCTCTGGGGTAGGAGGTGGGGATGGAGGAGGGGTTGAGGACTCACAGAAGCATGGCCAGCCAGGGTGGACTGGACACAGAGCACTCAGTAGGCTTTTGTGGGCAGGCCTGGCAGGCTGGAGATGAGCCTTGCGGGAAGTAAGGACTGGTGTCCAGAGCCAGACATTCAGGGTCTGGGGCCCTCAGGGCCACTTGGGCCGAATTGACCAGCCACACTCGGCAAACCCAGCCTGAACCTATAGCAGAGACGGGGCCAGCTCTCTGCAGCGCATTCGGATCTTCAGTTATTATCAGACCCTCCAGACAGCCAATCTCTCTTCTCTTGGTCCTGACTTCTGGCTTGGCTGGCCCAGCACAGGGCCCTGTTCCCCAGCAGACAAAATAGAGCTGCCTCCTAAAAAGAAAGTCACCTTTGACATTTTTTTTTTTGTTAGATGGAGTCTTGCTCTGTCACCCAAGGCTGGAGTGCAGTGGTGCGATCTCACTCACCTCACTGCAACCTCCACTTCCCAGGTTCAATCCCAGATTCTTCTGCCTCAGCCTCCCAAGTAGCTGGGATTACAGGTGCCTGCCACTACGCCTGGCTAATTTTTGTATTTTTAGTAGAGATGGGGTTTCACCATGTTGGCCAGGCTGGTCTTTGACTTCTTTGATGGGGAAGGCAGGTGAGGCCAGCAGTAGGGCAGAGGGCAATGTGCTTGGACATTGTGGCTTGTTCATCAACCCATAACCTCTGCAGGTCCGTGACAATGGACACTAGACAGGGAACTAAATTAGGAGCTCTAATCCCAGGTCTGCCACTAACTGGCCATGGGCCGTCCAGCAAGTCTCTTCCGTCTCTGGGCCTTATTCTCCCATCTGCAGAATGATAGGCCTGGATCAGGAGACCTTCAAAATTCCCATTAATGCTATATAGTCTTTTGTTTGGGGGAAATTGTCAGGATAGCAAGTCAGCAGGAATGACTTTGCCAAGAGGGAATGAGGAAAATATAGGTTCAAAGGCTTAACTGAAACCTTGTGGGGCTCTCTTCTGGGATTCGGCTATGTCCAGAGCAATGGTAGGGTGGGTCCAGTAGCATGAGGGGCAGTGGAGCTCCCTGGGACAGAACTTACCCTAAAGCAAGGAGATAGCACTGCAGGTTTTCTGTGCAAGCTTATGCAGCTTGAGCAATGAGTAAATTTAGGAGACACCATTTATAATGAGGGCTTAGGCAAGCATGAGAAACTTGACCAAGGCAAAAGAGCAAGCTGTCAGGTAGATGAGGTGCTTTGAGGATGGTATAGTGTCTACTGGGACACCATGGACAGCTGCACAGGCTGTGCACTGCACGAGTCCAGGTGGCACCATTAGAGCACAGTGGAGTTACCTCTGGGCATCTATCTCTAGGACTTATCTCTCAACACGCCTCTTTCACTTAGAGTTCTTAAGGCCTTTGGGCACACACTGCACATTTGGGCATTCATCTAGTTGAGGTTGAAACAGAGCAGGGAATGGGACAGTTTCATCACTTTGCTACAGGGTGCCAAGCACTGTCAGCCTCAGGAGTTTGGGAGTTGGTGGCGCCCACTGAACACCCAGTGAAGTGTAGAAGCAGTGGTCTCAGTGGACATGGCACCAGTGCCAGAAGACACAGAGCCAGCCCCTGGGGACAGCCACAAATACCTGGGAGGCATTTTTCATGGACTAGTTTCCTTCATTAGCAGGCGCCTGCAAGTGGCTGTAAAATCCAGCTTCACTCTTCCTGGGAAGCTGGTCTTAGAGCCATCTCCCAGTTCAGCTGCCTCTTCTCCCTCCCGTCCTCACTTGGCTGTGTCTCACCTGGGCTGGGTCCCAGCCAGGCTCACCTCCTTCAGCTACCAGAAACGTCTGTCTCCAAGCATGAATCATCCCTGAACTGAGCCCTGCCCGCTTCATGTAGCTTTCTTCCTTGTCTCTCCTCTCAGCCATTTGGCCTGGTCCTCTTTGTTACTTTTTTTTTTTTTTTGAGATGGAGTCTTGCTCTGTCTTCCAGATTGGAGTGCAGTGGCACGATCTTGGCTCACTGCAACCTCTGCATCCTGGCTTTACGTGATTCTTCTGCCTCAGCCTCCCGAGATCCTTTGATTACAGGTGTATGCCACCATGCCCACATAATTTTTGTATTTTTAGTAGAGACGGGTTTCACCACATTGGCCAGGCTGGTCTCAAACTGCTGACCTCAAGTGATCCGCCCACCTCGGCCTCCCAAAGTGCTGGATTACAGGCGTGAGCCACCGCACCCATCCTCTCTTTGTTCCTTTTACACAGGGAGTCATGGACATAGGGGTCTCCGTTACAGGAGGAAGTGAGAAAGCAGCTTCTGTTTACGGAAACCACAGTTAGCCGCAGAGACTGCCTTGTTACAGCATGTCACATTGTCCCAAATACTGGGTATGGGGATCTCCTGGGGGTGCAGTGGTCTTGACCCCTCCTGGGGCACTGGACTTCTTAGGATCCAGAACACTCCATGTTTTCCTTTGTTCCTTTCTGGAAAGGCATGGATGTTCTTTGTGTTCTGCAGATGAGGAAACTGAGCTCGCAGAAACTGGATGACTGGCTCCAGGCTGCCGGGGCTCCTAAGTGGCTGAGCTGGGACTTGGCCAAGCCCTTCCCAGCATGCCAGGCTGCCTGCTGGCCATGCTGCTTGTTACGGTCCCGAGGGGAGATTCCTTCGTTTGTGACATGAAGACTTCCAAGGGACAGTGGCAAGAGAACTAACTCCAGGGACTCTTCCCTGACAGCTGTGCTACGTTAGGCAAGTCACCTCACTGCTCTGAGCTGGGGTCTCTCATCTGTCACATAGGTTTAGAAACATGGGGTAGACCTTATGGGATTGTCACATGGCTTAAAATAAGATCCTGGGATGAGAGTGGAAGTCGTGTACCTCTATTGAATCGTAAGTCTTGATCATCCTTCAGAGTCCTGCATGGCAAGCAAATGTCTACATTTTCCTCAGCTCATGTCTCAGGGGTCATCGGAGTTTCCACGAGGCATCAGAATGAGAACAATGAGGATAGGACACAAGACAGGCCCACTGAGGGAACCAGGTCTAGAGACCCTTAGATCCACGTGCTGTGAGCTCAGCCAGCTCCCTTTAGGGCTTGCCAGAAACTGCACAAACAGCCAGTACCAAGCGCAAAAGTCCCAGGGCAGAGGGAGGCTTTGGTACCTGTGGGCAGCTGACATGACACCTGAGGGTTGGGCCCTGGCTCCTTTAAGAGGCCCCTGCCAGCCCCTGATGTGATTCAGGCAGGTGGACAGATGATGGATGGTCTGAGGAGGAGGGGATTGGAGCCGGAAGAAGGATGGGATGAAGAACTGACCAGTCGGCAAAATCTCCAGCAGATCAATGGAGACCATCTGGATGGAGAGGCTGCACTTAGGGGCCTGGCAGGGAGCGCAGGGGCTCCCTGGAGCCTGTTATATGCTGCCCTGCCCCCAACAGAAGAAAGCAGTTCCAGTTGGAGTCTCACCATGACTCTAGGGCAGCCCAGAAACCCTCCTTGCCGACTCTACCCCAGGCGAGGCTCTGTCTAAGATCCTGGGAGAGGTTGTGTGATCGGAGTGGATGTGCTGGCAGTTGAGGGTGTGCCCCAGCAACACTGAGCAGGTGGGATTGGGAGGGTGTCCTCCCATTGCAATGTCTGGATGCAGTCACATCTGAATGTCCCCTGGCTTGTCATTGCTGGTGTCCGTGGGCACCCTGAGGTCTCTGCTGGCTTGGGCCTTCAGGGTTTCCTTCTGCCCCCAGGAGATGAGGCTCAGAAGGAGGTCCAGGAGCATCAGCTCCAGGAGGTCCGGACCCGGGAGCAGCATCTGTTCAGATTGTCCTCTCCCCTGTGGCTGGGCGCGGTGGCTCACACCTGTAATCCCAGCACTTTGAAAGGCCTAGGTGGGTGGATCACTTGAGGCCAGGAGTTCGAGACCAGCCTGGCCAACATGGTGAAACCCCGTCTCTACTGAAAATACAAAAAATTAGCCGGGCATGGTGGTGCGTGTCTGTAATCCAGCTACTCAGGAGGCTGAGGCATGAGAATCACTTGAACCCGGGAGGCGGAGGTTGCAATGAGCCGAGATCGCGCCACTGCACTCCAGCCTGGGTGACAGAGCAAGACTCTGTCTACAAAACACAAAAAAGGCCGGGAGCGGTGGCTAATGCCTGTAATCCCAATACTTTGGGAGGTTGAGACAGGCGGATCACAAGGTCAGGAGATCGAGACCATCCTGGCTAACATGGTGAAACCCTGTCGCTACTAAACATACAAAAAATCAGCTGGGTGTGGTGGCGCTCGCCTGTAGTCTCACTTACTCTGGAGGCTGAGGCAGGAGAATCGCTTGAACCCTGGAGGCGGAGGTTGCAGTTAGCTGAGATCACACCACTGCACTCCAGCCTGGGTGACAGAGAGAGACTCTATCTCAAACAAACAAACAAAAAAGGATGTTCTGTACCCTGCTTCCCATTCAGAAAACCCCTTCCTCCTGTTCGGAATACTCCCAAACAGGGACAGGATTGGCTGAGCAGGCTGAGGTCCCCCCATGGAAAAGCCCCACCACCACTTTGCACATGGGACCTTCCTAAGTAGAGGGGCAATCTGACCACTGAAATCTCCATCACGCTCCCCTTCCCCAGCCTAGCCCCTCCACATAAGGACTTATTTTATCTTTGTCTCAAAAGCCAAGTGGAGCTGCTGGGCCTGGACTTGGAGCTCTGGGAAGCATGGCTTTCTAGAACAGGGGTTCCCAACTAGTGCCAGGGGTGGCCCAGTCCTCAGCTCCCAGAGGCCTCCTGGCATTTCATGGAGGCGTTACTAGGCCCATGGGTTCAGCACCCTCTGCTTTCAGAGGTCCCCCAGGCTAGCCTGTTGATTGGCTCCCTCAAAGCAGCCTACATCCTGGCCAGACCAGAGCTGATGAGGGCTATGTGGGTAGGAGATGGTGACTTGCGCCATGGGATGTTCCTTTGCCTGGGGCCCAACCACATTCTTTGCATGAACTAGATGCTCGGTAAGGATGACTTCATCGATCAACCCCTGACGGCCTTCACTCTGTAGAGTCCCCTGCTTCATCCTTAACCATTCCATCCTTTGCTATGGGGTCTGATGCCCAGAGTGTCAGTATGCTGGCTCTTCCAGGCAGGCACCTGAGATTCCAGGCCTAGTAACGCCTCCATGAAATGCCAGGAGGCTTCTGGGAGCTGAGAACTGGGCCACCTCTGGCACTAGTTGGGAACCCCTGCTCTAGAAAGCCATGCTTCCCAGAGCTCCAAGTCCAGGCCCAGCAGCTCCACTTGGCTTTTGGGACAAAGATAAAATAAGTCCTTATGTGGAGGGGCTAGGCTGGGGAAGGGAAGCGTGATGGAGATTTCAGTGGTCAAGACAGCTGATACGTCTTCCCCAGGAATCAGGGAGAGCTGAACTGGGCTGAGGGGTGCAGCTGGTGGCTGTGTGATGTAGGGACCAGACACCTATGTGCTGATCTGCTTTGAGGCACTCTGAGCAGGGTGGGAGAGGGTTCCCCAAATGCCTCCCCATATAATTCACCCATTATAACTTTAGTCTGTTGGCTCGTGAAAGATTTTACTATTTCCAAAATCTTCCCTTGTAAAATGCAAATACCTCTATAAAGTGGTCATGCCTTAAGTTCATTATCAGCCAACTCAATTTTTATTGTTTGAGCAGAAAATAGGTGACAGCCAGAAATTTGATCTGGATAGAAGAACCAATGTGTGTGTGTGTGCACACACGTGTGTGTGTGTCTGTTTTTGGGTTGAGGGCAACAGATGTAGTTTTTCATTCATTCAATCGATATTGATCAAGCGCTAATGAAACACTAAACAGTGTTCTTGGTTCTGGGGATAGAGAGTGAAAAAAAGAACAAAAACCTTTGCCCTTGTGGAATTTACCTTCTTTTGAGGGAGGAGGGCACTAAACAAAAAACAAATAAAATTTATGATATGTCAGATGGCAGTAAATGCTATGGAGAAAAATACAGCAGCGGGGAGGGATAGGGTTATGGCTGGGGGAGGGAGCAGACCTTCCAGTTGTGGGCTTGGCTACCAGGGGAGGACAAGCCTCTTTTTCTCTGCAAGCGCCAGGACTAGGGTACAGTAGGCAAGGTGTTCAGGACACAAAACTGAAGGGGGTCCTTGCTGGCCCTCAGAGGCTGCAAGTGCCCTGGGGCCTGCCCTCTGAGTTTGCCCATCCCCTTCCTCCGCCCAATGCCCCAACAGCCAGAGAACTCTCGGAGCCCAGTGGAGCGGGCTGTGGGGAGCCAGCCCCCTGGCAGATCACCAGCTGGAGATGTTCCCTGGGCTGGCAGAAGGAGGGAGTGAGTGGAGCTGGCAAGCTCTGGACTAGCCCAGATTATAGGGGAATGTGGTGCTGGCTCCCATGCATGGCTTATTACTCAGCCCTGTTCTGGGCAATTGCTCTTTTGTTTCACATCAAGATGGGGAGGGAGCGGAGCAGCACAGCCTTGTGGTGGGGCTTGGGTCACTCTGTAGCAGAAAGTCGAGGCTTGGGATGGTGTTGTGGGGGTTGCAGAGGGCATTTAGAGTGGGAAGGGTACAGGCTAGGTGGGTAAGGGCGTGTTTCAGAAGGTGCCTGGCCTCTTTCCCTTCCTGATTCCACTACTGAGGGTTTTCTTTGGGAAAGGGCAAGGGTCTTCTCCAGGGAAGGGGATAGAGAAGAAAATAGAGGCTTATCCCTGCCTCGAGGAGTCCAGTGGGGAGGTGGGCAGGTATTCAAGGTGTGGTATGTTAGGTGCTGAGGGGCTCACAGACACAGTGCTGGGATGTGGGGGCCCAGAGGAAGGAGGCCTGACTCTGCCAGGGCACCCAGGAAGGCTTCCCAGGGGTGGCGACAAAGGAGAATCCTTCATGAGAACCCACAGGGTCAAGGGACTGGAGTGCTGGACAAGGGACGGGAAGGGCTGGAAGGATCCTGGTGATGATCTGCCCCAATCCCTTTCTTTACTGGTAGCAAAACAGGCCTAGAGCAGGAAAGAGGATTTTTCCAGATCCCACAGCTACAGAGGGAGGACCAGAAACCTGGCCCCCAGGACTCTCAGTGCAGTCTTACCCTGTGGTTCTAGTAAAAGAATAACAATAGCAATTGCTTACTGAGCATTTGATCATGCCAGACGTTTACTGTTCTAAATGCATCCTATGTGTTAACTCGTTAATTTTCACAAAAACCCCTTGAGGTAGGGATAATGGCTATTACGTCCCCATTTTCCAGATGGGGAGCCTGAGACATGACACTTCAGCAACTTATTGAAGGTCACAGAGCTTCTATGTGGGCAGCAGGGATTTGGAAACCCTGCAGTTTGCTCTGGGGTCAGTGCTCTTACCCTTGGAGGTGACGTGGACTGCTGGGGTCTACTGATTTCCTGGCTAAGGTAGGGTGTGGCCCAGTGGCCCCTGTCTGAGCAGGGTTCTGGCCTGTGTGAGCTCTTCTCACTCCCAGAACCCTTCATGCTCCCCGACAGTCCTGTCAATTCTCCAGTGCTCCTGTTGCTTAAGACTTTTTTTTTTTTTTTCTGAGATGGAGTTTCGCTCTTGTTGCCCAGGCTGGAGTGCAATGGCGCGATCTCGGCTCACTGCAACCTCTGCCTCTTGGGTTCAAGCAATTCTCCTGTCTCAGCCTCCTGAGTAGCTGGAATTACAGGCATGCACCACCACGCCCGGCTAATTTTGTATTTTTAGTAGAGATGGGGTTTCTCCACGTTGATCAGGCTGGTCTTGAACTCCCGACCTCAGGTGATCCTCCCGCCTTGGCCTCCCAAAGTGTTGGGATTACAGGCGTGAGCCACTGAGCCCGGCCGCTTATGGCTTTTTGTAGATCCTCGGGGAGCGATGTGATGGCAGCTGAATACTGGTGAACAACTGGCTCTGGGTGTGGGAGATGGGAATGCTATCACATGTAGCATTTACTGATTTCCATGGTGTAAATATTCCCACCGTGGCCTATTTCAAGCTATCAATGGGATGTCAATTGGCTTACAAAACTCCTAAAAGATCTTGCAGTCGGCTCTCAGTACAGGCAGACTGTAGTATACCACTGTGACAGCCTCCCCACTTTGCAATACTGCCTGAAGACCCCCTAATCCCTTCCCATTGCTGCCTCACTCACCGCCTCTGATTAGACTGCATTCACATAAACGGGTATGATTTGAACATTCTCATCTTGGGAGGTCTGAAAACGGTTTTATTTCCTCTGCTCAAAAAGAAATAATAATAAAAGACTCATGGAGTGCTTCCCACTGTAATCATTTCCTGGAAGGGACTTTGGTGATTTAGTTCAAATCCTGGCTTTACAGATATGGAAAGTCCGCCCATAAAGAGTCTTCTCCAGGGAAAGAGTCAAGGGACTTGACCAGAGGCAGACAGCCAGTAACTCACAGAGCCACAGCAAGAAACCAGGGCTAGGGACCCATGGTCCCCTGGCTCACTCTTTTGCTACATCTTAGCGCCGTTCTAGGTTCATGGGGACGATTTGAAGGCAGATAAGAAATGCACCACTCAATTGGGAATATCCCAAACATAAAACAATCAGAAAAAAATGCAAGATGGTATTTCGCCCCTGCCATACCAGCCTAGGCTTTAAGCCAGTATCTTAAATGCTTCGAGTCTTAGCTCTATCATTTTAAAATGCAGATATTATTAATACTTACCTCACATTTCTCACTGGGGGATTGCGAAGATAAAGGAGATAAACGGCTAGCAAAGTACATTTAGGGTAAGGAAATACAAATAGCTCTTAAATGTATATAAGCACGCTGAACCTCATTGAAAATAAGAGAAATGTAAATTAAAATTACACCAATAAGCAACTTTTTCACCTATCCAATTGGAGAAAGTCCAGGAAGTTGGTAACACAGTTATAGTGGAGTTGTAAGGAAATAGATAGTCTCCTATCTCTCATGGGAAGATAAATGTGTATAACCTCTAGGGAGGGCAGTTTGGCAATATCTATCCACGGTTTAAATGTACATATCTTCTGACCTAGCAATCCATTTCTGGGAAATTGTCCTATAAATACATTTGCGTAAGTGCAAAGGATTTGTTTATGGCTACTTGTTACAGAATGTTTGTGATGGGAAAATATTGAAAAGAACGTAAATGCTGGGTAAGAGGGTTCTCTTTAAGATATTTTGTTTTCCCACACAATGGAGTATTATGCAGCTATAAAAAGGAAGGAGACAGAAAGCTTTGTACTTGTGTATAAGACATACCATCAAATGAAGAAAAGCAAGGCACAGAACAGTGTGTATAGATAGCATGCTACATTTTGTGTTTAAAAAGCAGAGAGGCCAGGTGCAGTGGCTCACACCTATAATCCCAGCACTTTGGGAGGCTGAGGAGGGAAGATCGTTTAAGGCCAGAAATTGGAGACCAGCCTGGGCAATGTAGTGGGATTCCATCTCCAAAAAAATAAAATAAAATAAAAAGAGGGGAAATAGAAATATTTACTCATGCATACAGAATGAAACTCTAGAAGGATCTCTGAGGAAGTAAAAACAGTGGTTACCTGTGGGTGCCGAGGCTGGGGTCGGGAAGGATAGGAGATGAGAGTAACAGGGAGACTCTTAACTGCCTTTTAATACAGATTTCTAAATTTTGAGCCATGTCAGTGTACTAACAATTCAAAAATGTAAACTAAACATTCCTTTGTAAACTGCAAAGCACTGTGCAGATGCTAGTTACTTGAACTATTACTAATATAAAAATGAGCTAAATTGTATGGCTAAGATTACAGTCTGTAGGAGGCCAAAAGGAGAATGCTTGTGGGTTCTGGAGGGGCAGAAGTTAGAGTGGGGATCTCAAAAGAAAAGTGGTCCTCGGTGTTTTACTAGAAAGTGATGGTCAGAATGCAGTGGTGGGCCAGGTGTTGGTGGCCATGACTGCTTCTCCTGCCCAGCTCGATCACTGTGATGGCTGCCTGTCACAGCTGAACTGTCTCACGCATGACATGCAGCTTGTTTGGGTGATGGTGCTGAGACTCCACAGTTTGCCCAGGAGTGCTGGCTCCAAAGCTCTGGCAGCTGTGCTGAGCTGAAGAGCTGTTACCATTAAGTCTCCTGTTGGGCATGAGTGTGTGTGGCTGCTGCACCCTGATTAACCCATCTGATCCTCTCACAATGCATTCAGGCAGGTGCTGTGATGGTCTCCTTTTCACAGATGATAAAACTGAGGCACAGAAGAGTCAAACACTTGACCCAAAGATCAGCAGTTGGTGGTGACTCTAGGCAGCCGGGCTGGGGAGCGATCCTCTCAACCACCACACACCACCACCTCCCCCACGTGCTTTCCCTTTCTCCCACTGTGCCTGGATTAGGGTACCACCGGGGATCCAAAGGGAGCCTCCTGACTTGCTGTTAGGTGGAAAGCAAGCATCACTAGTCAGGGGGGACCCCTTTGTCTCTGCAGGGTCTCACGTAGGGCAGGCACAGCGTAGGGCAAATCTGTGACTGCTCAGCCCATTGGGCTGTCTGCCTTTGGGACACAAATCCTGCTATTTCACCTCTTCTCTCTGAAGGGCATTAGAGCACCACCTTCACCCCATCCCTGGGCCTCTTGACATCCCAGAGGCAAATCCTAGCAGACAGAGGCCTCTTGTCAATTAGAGGAAGGCAAGGGCTTTGCTATCTGTGGAGGGATCGGGAGAGGTGGGGGTGCTGGCAAAGTGAGAGCATCATGTCTCCAATTAAAGTTCTGAGGATTCATCTTCTAACTCAGCCCCCTTCAGAAATTGACATTTATTAGGTTGTCAAAGCTGATTTTTCTTCTTGGCCCTTTCCTGTCGCCAACTGTGTTTGTGTGTGTGTGTGTGTGTGTGTGTGTGTGTGTGTGTGTATACACGGACATGAATGTAAATAAATACCTATATTTTGCTTTTCAAAAATTAAAAATGCAGTATTTATCCCTATCAGAGATATGATTTCCTGATTCCTGATGGAATGGAAGGCCACCCAAGGGGTCAGGGCAGGCCTCGTGGGGCCCGAGGGGGTCTGAGACAGCGGTAGGCCTACCATCTGGAGGTGAAGCCGGCCTCATGCAGAGGCAGCAGTTACTGGTTGCTGACTGTGTGATTTTACAACTGCCTCACCCAACCATCCTAAAAAATCTCTCTCCCCCACATGCCACTAAACCTGGAATTTCACTTTTGGGGGCTCATTCCTCTGAATTTATTCATCTTTTTACTAAAGTCTTTTTTAAAGTGTAATGTGAGTCCCTAAGAGGGGAACACATTAAATTGCTAACATCCCAGAAGCATAGAATTCTGAGCAAAAAGATACCCTGTTGTCTTATCTTCTCTTGTAGAGAGGAAACTGAAGTCTAGAGAGACTAAGGGATTTGCCCAAAGTCACTCATCACGTTAGTGACAATGATGGGGCTGTCACTGAGTTCTCTAACTGCAAGCTCAGTGGAGGCTAGTTTATCAGATTTGCTTTCCTTTTCTTTTCCTCTCTCTCTCTTTCTCCCTTTCTCTCTCCTTCCTTCCCTCCCTCCCTCGCTCTTTCTTTCTTTCTCTCTTTTTTCTTTCTTTCATTCTCTTTCTTTCTTTCTTTCTTTCTTTGTCCTTCCTTCCTTCCTTCCCTCCCTCCCTCCCTCCCTCGCTCTTTCTCTCTCTTTCTTTCTCTCTTTTTTTCTTTCATTCTTTTTCTTTCCTTCTTTCTTTCTTTCTTTCTTTCTTTCTTTCTTTCTTTCTTTCTTTGTCCTTCCTTCCTTCCTTCTTTCCTTTCTCTTTCTTTCTTTTTCTTTCTTTCTTTCCTTCCTTCTTTCTTTCTCTCTCTCCTTCTTTCTCTTTCTCTCTCTCTTTCTTTCATTTCACTCTGTTGTCCAGGCTGGAGTGTAGTGGTGCAGTCATAGCTCAATGCAGCCTTGGAACTCCCTGGCTCCACAATCCTCCTCCTATCTCAATCTCCTGAGCAGCTAGGACTTGCAGGTATGTGCCACCGTGTCTGGCTAATTTTAAAATTTTTGGTAGAGAGAGGTCTCCTTGTGCTTCCCAGGCTGGTCTTGAACTCCTGGGCTAAAGTGATCCTCCAGCCTTGGCCTCCTAAAGCGCTGAGATTACAGGTGTGAGCCACAGTGCCCGGCCATATCGGTTTTCTTTGGAGACAGGAAGAAGCCTGGCTGGATGCAGGTCCTGGGCCTCCAGGTGAGGGAAGGCAAATGAGAAGGGGAGAAGACGGGAAAAAGGTAAGACCAATGTGCAAATAATTTTGCCCACTTTGTACTTTTTCTAATCATTGTATATGTTGTCATTTTCATTTTAATCTTTTGCATTTATGATCTGGGACATGAAAGGAAGAGGCGCAGTGGCTATCTGGTCTTGGATTTCTTCAAGATGGCATATGAAAAACTTTAGTTACCTTCCCCACATTCACTATTTTTGCCATGTTTTCTCGCCAGTTCTATTAATGTGACATAATATTTTTTCATTAAATTAACTCATTTTTAAACTTGGTTTATTTCTTTGAAAAGGAAATTTGTTTTACTGTTGTGCAAGGAAAACCTGTTATCACTTGTTAGAAATCGATGGTAATCATACAAATACATACAATGGAATCCAAACAAGGTTATTAAAATTTAGTTTGGTGCCTCTCTTGCTGAAAGCTCTTAGCCTGTGGACTGTTTTCTCTTTGCAAAAAGGAAAATTAGCAAGTATCAGAAAGGCATGAAAAACCCGCAAGCCCCCAAGTGAGACTTCCTCCCTGAGGTCATTAGGGTCTGTATTGGCTTCCCAGGTTTGCCATGGACTGGGTGGCTTGAAACTACAAACATTTGTTGTCTCACAGTTCTAGACACTAGAATTCTAAAATCCAAGTGTCAGCAGGCCATCACTTTCTGAGAACCGTAGGAGAGAATCCCTCCTTGGCTGTCACAGCTTCTGGTGTTTGGTTGACAATTCTGTGTGTTCCTTGGCTCGCAGCCCCTTAGCTGGAATCTCTGCCTTCCTGGTCACGAGCTCTCCTTGAGTGCTTTTGTCTTCACAGGGCTCTCCTCTCATTATAAGGACAATGGGCCTATTGGCTTAGGGGTCTACCTATTCCAGTCTGGCTTCACCTTAACTAATGACATCTGCAACAATCCTATAATATTTCCAAATAAAGTCATATTCTGAGTATTAGGGGTTAGGATTTCAACCTCTGTTTTTGCGGGGGACCCAATTCAACCCATGACAGGGTGTTTGAAAAAGCATTGAAAAGGGAGAACTTTTTCATGGTGTGGACAATGCCACTGAATGCCTGTCCAAGGGCCACCAGTGAGACCTGACTCCTTGGGGAAATACTGCATTATGGGGCTACGAGGAGGCTGTGAGCTCCCCTCATCTCTCAGAGGCAAGTGGCATCCTTCGGGCCTAAATGGGCCTTTGGTAACTTGGTTCTGGGGCCAGTAGGTGCCCTGAAGTGGGGGTGGGTGCACTTGAGGAGGAGCAAACAGCCCCTCATTGACCACAAAATCAACACCGCAGAGATTCTTTACAAGCAGCCAACATTTACTGAGATCCTTTTGGGGACAAAGACTCCTGTGTCCCTGGTTGTCTGCTCTCTTCAGTGTCTGGTCTCACAGGCTCGTCACTGGCAGCACAGGCAGAAGAACAAAGGGAAAGGGTGGGCCAGGTGTGGGGACTGGGGAGGAGGAGGAAATTCTGTACTCCTGAGACAGTGGGGCAGCTGCAGCTCCAGGAGGACCATGTCAGAGGGACAGGCAGGCCCTTGTTGAGCACGTTCATGAACAGAAGCAGCAGAAGTCCCTGTTCTCCTAGAGCTGTGCTAGGGTCGGGGGAGGGGAAGCAGATGATATGCCAGGTGGTGAGAGTGATAAGAAGAAAAATAAACCAGGCTGAGGGGAGAGAGAACATTCCCTGCGGAGTGAGCGGCGAGTGGACAGGAGGAGCACCTCACGCTTCCCTTGCAACAGGGGAGGAGGCCGGCGAGGCTGGGGCAGAGTGGACGAGAGGAAAGAGGCAGGAAAGGAATGGAGAGGCAGGGGGTCCTGGCAGTCCCACCTGGGTAAGAATGATTTATTCCATATTAAATGCCTAGGCAAGAGTTTGAGTAGAGAAGCCAGGAATCTGACTTATTTTTTTTCCATTATTTTATTGTAATAAAATATGCACAACATACAATGTACCATCCTGACTTTTTTTTTTTTTTTTTTTTTTGAGACTAAGTGTCGCTCAGTCACCCAGGCTGGAGTGCAGTGGCACAATCTCGGGTCACTGCAACCTCCGCCTTCTGGGTTCAAGCAATTCTCCTCCCTCAGTGTCCCGAGTAGCTGGGACTACAGGCACGTGCCACCATGCCCAGCTAATTTTTGTATTTTTAGTAGAGACAGGGTTTCACCATGTTGGCCAGGCTGGCCTTGAATTCCTGACCACAAGTGATTTACCTGCCTCAGCCTCCCAAAGTGCTGGGATTATAGGCATGAGCCACTGCGCCCAGCCCATCCTGACCATTTTCAAGTGTTCAGTTCGGTGGTATTAAATACATTCATAATGCCCAGCAGTCACCACCATCCATCTCCATTACTCTTTCCATCATATCAAACTGAATCTCAGTACCCATTAAGCAACAACTCCCATTTCCTTCCCTCCAGCTGCTGGTAATCATCATTCTACTGTTTGTCTCTGTGAATTGACTTCTGTAGGGACCTCATATAAGTGGAATCATACAGTATTTGTCCTTTTGCATCTGGCTTATTTGACTTGGCATAATGTCTTCAAGGTTCATCAATGTCATGGCATATGTCAGGATTTCCTTTTTTGAAAATTTTATTTTTAGAGACAGGGTCTCACTCTGTCACTCAGGCTGGAGTGCAGTGGTGCAATCATAGCTCACTGCAATCTCGACCTTCTGGGCTCAAGCCATCCTCCCACCCCAGCCTCCTGAGTAGCTGGGACTTACAGGTGCACACCAGGCTAATTAAGAAAAAAAACTTTTTAGAGATGGGGTCTCACTGTGTTGTCCAATCTGGTCTTGAACTCTTGGGCTCAAGCAGTCTTCCAGCCTTGGCCTCCGAAAGTGCTGGGAGATGTGATCCACAGCACACAGCCCAGAATTTCCTTTCTTTTTTTCTTTTCTTTTCTTTTTTTTTTTTGAGCACAGAGACTTGCTCTGTTGCCCAGGCTGGAGTGCAGTGGTGCAATCTCGGCTCACTGCAACCTTCATCTCCCAGGTTCAAGAGATTCTCCTGCCTCAGCCTCCCGAGTAGCTGGGACTACAGGTGTGCACCACCATGCCCGGCTAATTTTTGTATTTTTAGTAGAGGCGAGGTTTCACCATGTTGGCCAGGCTGGTCTCAGACTCCTAACCTCAAGTGATCCATCCACCTTGGCCTCCCAAATACTTTCTTTTTTAAGGCTGAATAATAATATTCCATTGTAAGTATGGAACACATTTTGGTTACCCTTCATCCATTGTTGAACACTTGGGTTGTGTCCGCCTTGGGCTATTGTGAATCCTGCTACTATGGACATGAGTGTACAAATATCCTTTGATACCTGTCTTTCAATTCTTTCAGGTATATCCAGAAGTGGGATTGCTGAATCATATGATAATTTTCATTTTTGAGGAACTGCTATACTGTTTTTCTTTTCTTTCTTTCTTTTTTTTTTTTTTGAGACAGAGTCTTGCTCTGTCACCCAGGCTAAAGTGCAGTGGCGCGATCTCGGCTCACTGCAACCTCTGCATCCTGGGTTCAAGCAATTCTCCTGCCTCAGACTCCCTAGTAGCTGGGATTATAGGAGTCTGCCACCACGCCTGGCTAATTTTTGTGTTTTTAGTAGAGACGTGGTTTCACCATATTGGTCAGGCTGGTCTTGAACTCCTGATCTTGTGATCCACCTGCCTCGGCCTCCCAAAGTGACGGGATTATAGACATGAGCCTCTGTGCCCGGCCTGCTATAATGTTTTTCACAGTGGCTGCACCATTTTATATTCTCACCAAAGTGCACAAACGAGGGTTCCAATTTTTCCACATACTCACCAACACTTGTTATTTTCTGTTTTTTTGTTTGTTTTTTCTTTTTTTGAGACAGGGTCTCACTCTGATACCCAGGCTGGAGTGCAGTGGTGTGATCATGGCTCATTGCAACCTCAACTTCCCAGCTCAGGTGATCCTCCCACTTCAGTCTCCCAAGTAGCTGGGACTGCAGGTGTGCGCCAACACACCTAGCTGATTTTTTGTATTTTCTGTAGAGATAAGGTTTTGCCATGTTGCCCAGGCTGGTCTTGAACTCCTGGGTTGAAGTGATCTACCCGCCTTGGCCTCCCAAAGTACTGGGATTACAGGTGTAAGCCACTGCATCTGGCCCTATATATATATTTTTTTTTCATAGTGGCCATCTTAATGGGTGTGAGGTGGTATATCATTGCAGTTTTGATTTGCATTTCCTTAATGATTTGTGATATTAGTGTCTTTTCATGTGCCTGTTGACTGTTTGCATAACTTCCATGGGGGAGATGTCTATTCAAATCCTTTGTCCATTTTTGAATTGGGTTGTTTGCTATTTTGTTTTTGAGTTCAGTAATCTGACTTAGTTTTAAACAGATTACCCTGCTGCTGTGCTGAGAGTAACAGACTTTGAGAGGCAAAAGTAGGAGCAGAGAGAGGCTCCCACACTATCCAGACAAGGTGATGGCAGCTGAAGTGCAGGTGGCAGTGGTGAAGGTGGCGAATGGTGAGAAATGATCCAATTCCAGATCTACTCGGAAGGTAGATCCAGTGGGGTTTACTGACTGCATGAGCTGCCAGGAAGGTTTCAGGCTGACTCCAGGGTTTTTGGCCTGGGCTGCAAGAATGGAGTAGCCATTGACTGAGATGGAGAAGGCTTCAGGGTCAAGCCTGGAGGGAAGACTGAGGCTTCTGAGTGGAGTGCATTGAAGTGAAGATGTGACTTCAAAGTGAAGATGGTTGCTACACAGTGGCATGGATGTGTCTGGAACTCAGGAGAGGGTCTGGGCAGAGAGACACATTTATGAGTTTGTTCTGAGTGTTTACGTGGTATTTTAAAGCCATGAGAAAGAATGAGCTCATCTTGAAAGTGAGTGTTTACAGAAAAGAAGTCAAAGGATTGATCCCTGGGGCATTGCAACCAGCTGGGCTGTGAGGACAAATCAACAAAGACAGTGGAAAGGGAGTAGGTGGTGACTTGAGAGAAGAACTGCTAGAGTGTTGTCTGGAGGCTTCAGAAAGAAAGTGTTTGGAGGAGGAGGAGGGCATGCCTCATTCTGTTCATTAAATGTGGCTGATTGGAGGAAATGTGTCAAAAGGAGGAAGGGCAGAGAAAGTGGGCTCAGAGGCGGGTAGGATGACAGATACAGTGGTGGGAGCCTGCGGTGTTCATTGCTTCTCTTTTTAAGAATCATGTGCTGGGCTTGGTATGGTGACTCACACCTGCAATCCCACACTTTGGGAGGCTGAGGCAGGCAGATCATGAGGTCAGGAGATCGAGACTATCCTGGCTAACACGGTGAAACCCCGTCTCTACTAAAAATAAAAAAAAGTTAGTCCGGGAGTGGTGGCGGGTGCCTGTAGTCCCAGTTACTTGGGAGGCTAAGGCAGGAGAATGGCGTGAACCTGGGAGGTGGGAGTTTGCAGTGGGCTGAGATTGTGCCACTGCACTCCAGCCTGGGTGACAGAGTGAGACTCCATCTCAAAAAAAAAAAAAAAAGATTATGGGCTGAGACTGAGGGGTAGGGAGAAGGTGTTGGAAGTTTGAAGAGAGAAAAGAAGGAGTGAAAGTTGCTTCAGGAAACGTGGTGATTGTTGAGCTGCCCTAAGGGCTCCGTTGACCAGCGGCAACTCCAGAATTTCTCTCTATGAGGGCCTGAGGGGTCTAGTTGGAAGGGAGCTTGACAACGAACTCACAAAACAGCAGCATAAGGTTGTAGAAACGTCAGTCCTCCCATCAAGGAAAAGAGTAGAGGAAGGGGGAGAAGAATAACCAACCCTGAAGTAGCCCTGTAGGACCCCACAGGGTAGGTCTTACAGCAGTAGGGGAAGGGGGTGGGAGGGCTTTCCGGACAGGGTGAACCCTATAGCTGGGAGCCAGGTGTCCTCTCTGTCACAGGTGTCCTTTCTCTCACTAGCTGTGTGCAGTCACCAAAAACGCAGCCAGTGGGATGAGAAAGAAGGCCCAGAACCAGACAGACAGGTGCACCAGAGAGCCATGCCCCTGACCCATCAGGAAAGAAACTTCTGTGACACTTCCTTCTTGTCCCCTCTCTTCTCAAAGTACCAGTCAGACATTTAGGCAGATCTAAGTGTATAGTCTGTATCTCTAAAGCACTTTGGTTGATCCAACACACATGCACCCACACGTGCATCCACACATCAAAGCAGTCATCTTGGGAGGCCATGAACTTATTGCAAAGATGTTGCCATGGAACAAAATATTCCTGGAATTCCTTTATGGGAAATCCAACTGAGCGTGTGACATACTCTCTTGGCTGTTCTTTGTGGAGGTCACTTTTTGCATTTCAAGGGTAGACTGATTTCTGGGAACAGTCTAAAGTCATTTAGAGCCAAGTGTGATGACTACAATTAGGGATTAGAGTTTCTGTGGCCACTGATGAGATTTGATACAGATAGAATAAAACTAGCTTTGTCTTGTTGAAAAGGGGGCAATTGTTTTATAGGATTTAATAAGGTACAGTGTGTAAAGTGCCTGGCATAGTTTTTGATCTGTAGCAGGCATTTCATAATCGGTAATTATTAATATTCCTAAAACAAAGACCCTGAAATGAGTGCAAGAATTATTGAAATAAGTGACGTGTTCCCCAAGGTGATGGCTTTGAAGGCACAGACTTTATCTAGAATTAGAAATTTTGCTAAATGTGTTTAAAAGAGCAGATTCACAGTCTCTTTTTTTTTTTTAGATGGAATTTTGCTTTGCTGTGAGGGCCTGGAGTCAGAAGGGCCTGGCCTTGAGTTCACCTTCTGTCCAAGACTCATGGCTAGTCAGTCTCTGAGTTTGCCTTCCTGCCTGCCTGCCTGCCTTCCTTTCTTCCTTCCTGCCTTCCTGCCTTCCCTTCCTTCTCTTCCTTTCCTTCCTCTTTCTTTCTATTTCTTTTCTTTTCTTTTCTTTTCTTTTCTTTTCTTTTCTTTTCTTTTCTTTCTTTTCTTTCTTTTTGATGGAGTCTGGTTCTGTCGCCCAGGCTGGAGTGCAGTGGCACAATCTCGGCTCACTGCAGCCTCTACCTCCTGGGTTCCAGCGATTCTCCTGCCTCAGCCTCCCAAGTAGCTGGGGCTACAGGCCCCTGCCATCACGCCCAGCTAATTATTGTATTTTTTGTAGAGACGAGTTTCACCATGTTGGCCAGGCTGGTCTCGAACTCCTGACCTTAGGTGATCCACCTGCCTAGGCCTCCCAAAGCCCTGGGATTATAGGCGTGAGCCACTGTGCCTGGCCTCAGATTCACAATCTTATCTGTTATTATCTTTATCAACCTTGCAAGTAAGAGGGCCAGAGGATTCCATGTCAAAGAAGAGGGGATTATAAGAGAAGACTAAGGCCAACCCCTGCGTCACCCACTAGGATCACCCATGTTTCCTCCACTGTGGGCCTAAATGCCTTCTCTGCTGGTTTTCTGAAGCCAGGGAAAAACTCCATAATGAGAAATTCTTGTCTTTGGCTGAAACTTTCAGTCCTTCACGACAAGACCAAATAATCATGGAAAAGATAGCATGGGAGTAATTTCCAGCTTTGTGTGCAGAAGGTTACTAAATCCTTTCCTGATGCCAGGCCTTGGTAGTGGGAGAGTAGAGACAGCGGAGGGTAGTGGGTGCTTCTGCAGAAGGGGTGGGCAAGGAGAAGGCCCTACTGCGGGGTTGGAGGCACTGAAAGCAAACTGTCTAATGCTCAGTTTTGTACAGATCCAGACTCACTCTGTGGTTTCCCTCCTCCCTGACAAGAGGCACAGAGGGAGCATCCTGGCCCAGAGCTGTGCATGGTAAAGACTCACAGTGCCACCTTACCACCATGAGAGAAATGGCAATCATCTGGACTCTGGTCTAACCAGGTGACCAACTTTGGTTGCACTCTCTGTGGGCCTCAGTTTCCCACAAAAATATTGATGGGGCCGGGCGCGGTGGCCCATGCCTGTAATCCCAGCACTTTGGGAGGCCGAGGCAGGCAGATCACGAGGTCCGGAGATTGAGACCATCCTGGCTAACACAGTGAAACCCTGTCTCTACTAAAAATACAAAAACAAAATTAGCTGGGTGTGGTGGTGGGCGCCTGTAGTCCCAGCTACTCGGGAGGCTGAGGCGGGAGAATGGCGTGAACCCGGGAGACGGAACTTGCAGTGAGCCGAGATTGTGCCACTGCACTCCAGCTGGGCGACAGAGCGAGACCCCGTCTCAAAAAAAAAAAAAAAAAAAGACATTGATGGCTTGGGGTTTTATCAATGCTTCCTAGGCATTTGGTTTTTAAATTTTAATTAATTCATTAACTTTTTATTTATTAATTTTTTTGAGACAGAGTCTCTCTCTGTCACAGCCCAGGCTGGAGAGCAGTGGCAGGATCTCGGCTCACTGCAACCTCCACCTCTCTGGTTCAAGCGATTTTCCTGCCTCTGTCTCCTCAGTAACTGGGATTATGGGCGTGTGCCACCACACCCAGCTAATTTTTGTATTTTTAGTAGAGACAAAGTTTCACCATGTTGTCCAGGCTGGTCTTGAACTCCTGACCCCAAATGATCCACCCACCTCAGCTTCCCAGAGTGTTGGGAATATAGGTGTGAGCCACCACGCCTGGCTGGCATTTGATTTTTTACTTTGATCTGTAGTGAGACATGTGTTTTACATTGGGACCTAGTACATACATTCATATTTGTACATGTATATATGGATATATACACATATACATTTGTGTATATACATACACACATAGAGATTTATGCATATATATTTGTGTGGATATTATTTATTTATTTTTATTTTTATTTTTTTTTGAGACAGAGTCTTGCTCTATTGGCAGGCTGGAGTGCAGTGGCATAATCTCGGCTCACTGCACCCTCCGCCTCCCAGATTCAAGCAATTCTCCTGCATCAGGCTCCCGAGTAGCTGGGACTACAGGTGCGCGCCACCACACCCAGCTAATTTTTGTATTTTTGGTGGAGACGGGGTTTCACCATGTTGACCAGGATGTTCTCGATCTCTTGACCTCGTGATCTGTCTGCCTCGGCCTCCCAAAGTGCTGGGATTACAGGCGTGGGCCACCGCGCCCGGCCATGCATATTATTTATATGCTAATCTATCTATTGAACCAAAAGTTGCAAGACTTGCAGTTTGAAAAACAATAGATTAAGTGGTCGATAATGCCCTTTCCGATTCTGATATTTTAGGCTTATTGCTAAGCCAGTCAGTGATTGATTAGTTTCACGTGCAGTTAAAAGTTACAGAGATATGTTTATGTAAAGCCTTTAGCACAGGTCAAGCTCACAGTTAGTGTCCTGTGACTGTTAATTGCTACTTATACTCTCATTTCTCAGGATTGACTTCAGCAACTTCTTCCCTTTGGTTTTTCCCTGTAGGCACTTCTCATTTTCTGCCTGCTGTGTCCTGTAATTTTTGATTGTGAGACAAAAAATTCTCTCTTCAGTCTCTCATCTTTCTCTCCAGGTTTTGTCTTCTGAATCCCTTCCCTTCATGTTAATCCATATTAAAAGCCAAGCTCCAGGTCAACAGGGATCATCCAATCGCCTCTCACCCAACCACAGGCCTCACTGGGCACTTACCTCCTGGGATTGGGCTTTGCAATGATTTTTGACCTTTGAAGATTTTTCTTACTTTTCTACTAGCTCAGCTATGCATTTCCGAAATTCATTTATTTTGAATTTCAAAATTAATGAATCCTTACTGGGAGGATTTTCTGGACATCTAAATTGCCTAGGACCTGAAAATGACAGGTCCTGTAAGTACTTCTCAACAGAGAAATCCTACACACTGGAGGCCACCTCTCCTTCAACAGAGAAAGAGAAATGGACTACCCCCACTGGATAACTGGATGGCAAAGGTCTTCCTTTGAGGGCATGTTGGGGTGGGGAGCAAATTAGGTGACCTTTAAGCAGTGCCTTGATTGAGTGTATGGTGGCCTGGGCTGGGTGTGGTGGCTCACGCCTGTAATCCCAGCGCTTTGGGAGGCCAAGGCCGGTGGATCAACTTGAGGCCAGAAGTTCGAGAACAGCCTGGAGAACATGGTGAAACTCCAGCTCTACTAAAAATACAAAAAAATTAGCTGGGTGTGGTGGTGCATGCCTGTAGTCCCAGCTACTTGGGAGGCTGAGGCATGAGAATCACTTGAGCCTAGGAGGTAGAGGTTGCAGTGAGCTGAGATTGTGCCACTGCACTCCAGCCTGGGCAACAGAGCCAGACCCTGTGACAAAAACAAAACAAAACAGAGTATGGTGGCCTGAATTTCACCCCCAACTCTGTCTGCGATACTCACTGTGTGTCTTTGGGTAGACATAAGAACTGTAGCCTCATCTGAAGCCTCATCTGTGTAGTGGACATAAGAACTGTACCACCTGATAGAGCTTTTAGAAGATTAAATGAGCTTAAGTGCCCAGCATAGTGTCTGGCTCATACTAAGTATTCAATAAATGTTGGCTGCCATGTTTTATTTATTTTCTTCCTTGGCTGCCTTAAGGCCATGGCGTTTCCCATCATCTGAAAAAGCAGGAGTCTCTGCACTGGGTGTCTGGGGACCTGGGGCACTGTCTAGCTGGGAGAATTGGGGCATGTCACTTCATCTTGCTGTTTTCTCACATATAAACATCTCTCTCATCTGTAAAACGAGGGGGTAGACTAAGTGATTTCAAAGCATGCCTCTCGCCCTCATAGTCTGTGATTCGAGTAAGAGTGGTGTGAAAAGCAAAATGTGACCCTCAAAACAGAGCATTTTCCCAGGCAGCCTTCAGCCTATCAGAGACTGTGCTTCCCAGAGCTGATCTGTTAAAGTTAGATCTTTGGAATTTGGCATCTATGTTCCCATAAGAGTAGTCTTTTAAGTGACGGTTGGCTTTCCAGGGCTAGCTTATAACACCCTGCTTACTGCACAATGAAGCAGAAACACCGCACATTTGCATTGGAAATGGTGGGAAACAATACTGTCACAACACTAGTAATTAAACCAAACAGAAAAACAATCCCATTGAATAGGAACTCATTTTTTATTTATCTAGAATCCTGGTGCTTGAGGGAAACAGGTTAATTTAGAAGAGGAGGAGGTCTAGGAAACGTGTTGGGGAGAATCTGCAACTTCTCTTCTGGGCTTTCTCAAGGGATTTAGACTGAGGCTGGTGGTGCAGGTTCTTGAAATGTCTGATTTTGGTTAAAAATTCAAGGATTCCTGCTAAACCATTGTATTTTTTTCTTTGAGATAGTGTTGACCTATGTCTCTCATGTCTAAAGCCATTGTAATGATTTGAACTTACCGATAGAAAGTGGAGAAGGGGAGAGAAGAAGTGAAAATGAAAGCCGAGAGGCAAGAATTCTCCTAGACATCACCAGCTGGTGACCCTTGTGCATGTTTTGTTCGGCCTACCCATGCTGACCCACATAGCATTTTAAAGTATAAAAAAAAAAAATCACCTTCCAGGATATAAAAGTTTCATTAAAATATATCCAGGTCAGGTGAGGTGGCTCACACTTGTAATCCCAGCACTTTGGGAGGCCGAGGCAGAAAGATCTCCTGAGGTCAGGAGTTCGAGACCAGCCTGGCCAACATGGTGAAACCCTGTCTCTACTAATTTTGTAAAAATACAAAAATTAGCCAGGCATGATGGTGCATGCCTGTAATCCCAGCTACTCGGGAGGCTGAGGCACGAGAATCGCTTGAACCCGGGAGATAAAGGTTGCGGTGAGCAGGGATTGCACCACTTCACTCCAGCCTGGGCAGTAGAGTGAGACTCTGTCTCAAAAAAAAAAAAAGAAAATATTTCGTTTTTGGTCCCTGTAGGCATTTGAGTTTGAAAGCCCCAGGTGATATCATTTAATAAGAGGAAGAGATTAAAAAGAATTTGAGTGTGAGGCCAGGCATGGTGGCTTACACCTGTAATCTCAGTGCTTTGAGAAGCTGAGGTGGGAGGGTCCCTTAAGCCCAGGAGTTTGCGACCAGCCTGGGCAACATAGTGAGACCCTGTGTCTACAAAAAAAAATTTAAAAATTAGGCAGATGTGGTAGTGCACACCTATAGTCCCAGCTACTCGGGAGGTTGAGGCAGGAGGATTGCTTGCCCAGGAGTTTGATGTTATAGTGAGCTATGATTGCACTGCTGTACTCCAGCGTGGGTGACAGAGCAAGACCCTGCGTCTTACAAATGTGTGAGAGTGGGCTGGGTGCGGTGGCTCACACCTGTAATCCCAGACCTTTGGGAGGCTGAGACAGGTGGATCACAAGGTCAGGAGTTCGGAACCAGCCTGGCCAACATGGTGAAACCTCATCTCTACTAAAAATATAAAAAAATTGGCTGGGCATGGTGGGGCGTGCCTGTAATCCCAACTACTAGGGAGGCAGAGGTAGGAGAATCACTCAAATCCGGGAAGCAGAGGTTGCAGTGAGCCAAGATCACACCACTGCACTCCAGCCTGGGTGATAGAACAAGACTCTGTCTCAAAAAAAGAGAAAAAATTGTGAGAGTGATTGCATGAAATAGATTATCTAAAGGAAGTAATAGATAGGAACGGAAAAGGGAGGCAAGCCATGCATCGCCCCTGGGTCTGGAAGATGGTCAGGTTAGACAACTCCTTCTGTGGCCACCAGGTGGCCTTGCAGCTCCGGTACAGCTTGGTTGCTATTGGGGGTGACTTCTGGAGGGTAGGGAGAGGCAATGTGCAAATGTTTGGGACAGTTCTATGTACTTAAGGTTTCTGAGTTAAGAGGCAGTATTTCCATGCTTGGCGGTTACTACCATTCTCTGAACCGAATCCTGGGTCCTCCTTGAAAGAATGTGCCTATATTTCTGATATAAGGGCAATTTAGCTGCGGTACTTGATCACTAGGGTGGATGTGGCTGACCTTGATGAGTGGGTGGGGCCCCCTCTACCTACGCTGTTCCAGGTGTGACTGTTCCTAGCTCTCTGCTGGTTACTTGTGGGGACTGCCTCTCCTTGCGCATGTCATGGTGAGATGCTGCCTCTGGGTCTTCTTCCTCTCCCTGTCCCTGCATCACTTGGCAGTTTCTGAGTTGCTGCAGCAGACCAGACACCTTTGGGACATGGTTCTCAAGTTTTGGAGCATGCCAGTTCCACCTGGGGGTGGGGCAGATGCAACATGCAGATTCCTGGGCTCCATGTCAAACAGAATGAAACAGATTTGGATGGGCTCAGCTCTAGGTTCTCTTTCAGCTCTGCAAGCTAGAATTCAACAGCACTGCTTCTGTTTAGATTACTCTCCAGTTATGGTTATTCATGTCTCCTCTCAGGCTCACCTCTCGGCTAAAGCTGAAGCTGGTCACCCAGGGACTCGGAGGTTAATTCCCTGATGCTTCTGGACTTGTTTACCTAGCCCTGTCTTCTGATGCTGGAAAGGGGCCAGGAGCAAAGGCTCTGAGTACCCAGGGAAGAGTCTGCACTGTAGCCTTCCTGGATTCTGACAGCCTTTCTCCTCCAGGAGCACATGCTACAAGGCTCTGGTGCAGAAGGAACCTGCGTCTGAGATGTGCAGCGTTCAAGATCCTGTAGGGGCTGTTCATTTGATGAGTGTGACATGCATCTTTCTCTGTGTTTCTATGTTCCAATGCCCCAGAGCTTGCCTTTGGCTCACAGTATGGAGGGGTTATTGACTGAACGGTGACCCTTACTCCAAATTCGTATGCTGCAGCCTTCATACCTAATGTGACTCTATTTGGAGATAGGGCCTTTCAGGAGTTGATTAAGGTTAAATGAGGCCATAAGGGTGGGGCCCTAATCTGATAGGATCAGTGTCCTTATAAGAGGAGACACCAGAGATCTCTCTCTGAGCACATACACTGAGGAAAGATCATGAAAGGACACAGCGAGAAGGTGGCTGTCCACAAGTCAGGAAGAGAGGCCTCACTGGAAACTGAATCAATCAGAGCCTTGATTGTAGATTTGTTGCCTCTGGAGCTGTGAGAAAATAGAAGTATGGTGTTGAAGCCACCCTGTCTACAGTATTCTGTTATGACAGCCTGAGCTAACTAAGACAGGAGTAAATACTGATTCATTCATTCATTCATTCATTCATTCAAGCAGGAAGTACATTTGTACATAAGAATTACCTATAAGGAGTCTTTAAATTTATCTGGGCTTTGGGTGAACACATCGAAGTCACTGTGGGTCAAGTTTTCCCCATCTTGGTCCAGACTTCCCCAGGGGTCTCCTATCTAGCTCAGAATTTCAGGGTACAGTCCCTCCATCTCTGTTTTGGCTCTTCACTTGCTCCTTCCCAAATTACTACTCTTTGGCATTAAAAAAAAAAAAGCCCAGAGGTCCGATGCCATTCTGGAGCGTGGCTTGGGTGCATACATGGCCGTGAGGCTGTATCTGTGTGGGTTTGTGTATGTGGACACCAAACATTCATGCAGGTTTGAATGGTCTCATTGGAATCTGCATAATGAGGCTGTGGGTGTGTTCAGGAGTGTGAGACCACTTACATTTATTCACATACACAAGACTAGATTTGGAACCTGAAACCCAGGGTTGATACTAATTTTCTGCTTTTCAGCTATGTTATCTTAAGCAAGATACTTAATTTCTTTGGGCCTCAGTTTCTTCATCAGTGAAACAGCGAGGATGGACTCGTCAGAGGAGAGCAGTAGGATGACAGGAGACGACTGGGCAAAGCCCTGTAAAGGGTCCAGCTGCCCCCAGATGAGAGGATTCCAGCTCTTCTCCCCCTGAGGTTGTGTGGCCCTGGCCATGACCCTGGACAGTCCCCTGCTCTGCCCTTGTGGCTTGTTGACCCTGATACCCAGAGGGGTGGAGTGACCATGAAGCAGGTGCCCTCTGCCAGGCCTGGGTTCCCAGGGCTGTTGACCACCTCCGTTTTCTCCTCTTTCCCCATGGGCCTGAGCCTGGTCCATACTCAGCATCCAGTAATTATTATTGAATACATAAATGAATGAATGGCACATTGTAGACACTCTATATCCGATTTTTGAGTGGAATGAGGTGTCTTGGGCAGGTGGGGGTCTGCTTTTGTCAGCTGGAGTGAAGATGAGCAGATAAGGAAGGAAATGAGCATTTCAGGAGTAGCTTTTCCCTGAGAACAACACGAGTCGCTCCCCTACTGTTTGGGAAACAGAGGAAGGGCAAAGAAGCCCTCTGGGGGTGTTTGCAAGCATCCTCATGGCCCCAGAGCCAGGAGGCAGGAAAAGCATGTAATTAGAAAATCGTCATCTCTTTGCCATATGATGCTCAATAGTTTCCATTTATTCAGCAACTACTATGTGCCATGTACCGGGCTGAAATCCCAACCCAAATTCAACCATTATCTCCCAAGAGAAGTTATCTTATTTTTTTTTTATTTTTATTTTTCATTTTTATTTTTTTTGAGATGGGGTCTCGCAGTGTTGCCCAGGCTGGAGTGCAGTGGCTCAATCTTGGCTCACTGCAAGCTCTGCCTCCTGGGTTCACACCATTCTCCTTCCTCAGCCTCCCGAGTAGCTGGGACTACAGGCACCCGCCACCATGCCCAGCTAATTTTTTTTTTTTTGTATTTTTAATAGAGACGGGGTTTCACCATGTTAGCCAGGATGGTCTCGATCTCCTGAACTTGTGATCCGTCCCCCTCAGCCTCCCAAAGTGCTGGGATTACAGGCGAGAGCCCCCGCGCCTGGCCGAGAAGTTATCTTATTTAATCCCTCAAACAACTGTGTGAGGAACAGGTGAAATGTGGCACAAGAAAAGGGTTTATAAACTGTAAAATGTTATAAAATGTCAGGGATTGTTCCGAGAATGATTAGTTTCCCTCTCCCATCTCTGCAGTTTGCCTGGCAGCCACCCGGTGCAGGGTTGGCACCCACCTTGCCTGTCTCCTTCCCGGCTAATTGGGGAGGCTCTCCAGGCCTGATTTATGTGGACACTCACACATTCTCCCACTGAATATTATTCTAATCAGACACCTCACTATTGGAAGCCAGCCTCCTCGGGGCTGCCTGGACAGGGTTATTACAGGATATTATACAGACCATTTGCATGGCCACCTTCAGGTCATTTCCATCACTTTAAGCTACTTACAGGCCCATTTTCTTCTCCATAATATTTGCCTAATTTGATTACTCCATGGCCTTAGCTGGCTCAAAATGGAATCAAAAGTTACAACTGGGAGCAAAGTCAACTGGATCCTGACACCCCCTCAGTACTTCGGGGCCTACCTGGTCCCAGGTGACTGCTGGTGGAACCAGGCTTCCCATCGGAAGGGGAACAGCTGAGCCTGGTGAGGAGGGGGATGGGGTAGGAAAACGGAAGCTTGTTGGATGGGCTTAGATATATAGGTTGAGATGACACACAGGACCCCTTTCTAGCCCCTGAGTTCACCTTTAGTAAACTCATTTAGAGCCCCCTGTACTTCTCCATCACAACCCTTAACAGACTTTATTGTAATCCATCATGTAATATCTGTTTTCCTGCCAGGGGATAAGCTATATGAAGGTAAAGACTGCTTGTCTTTTCAATCTTTGATCTCCAGCGTCTAGCCCAGCACCTAATGCGTAATAACTGATTAATGAATGGACAAATGTTTGTTGATTGACTCATTGAATGAATGGCTCCTTATTGCTTTTAATCATTCTTTGCTAGGAATGTGTGTCTCTGTGACTGTTCAGTAATGAGTCTTGATGTGGTGTCAAAGCTCCTATTCCTTTTACATTGTTTGCCCTCCCCCTGTATCTGATCCTGAAGGGTTCAGTCTGATATTCCTACTCATGTCTACGCACTGTGCTGGGTGAGAAGTCTGGGAGGACAAAACTGCAGAGCGGTGGTTCTTAACTCTAGAGCAGGGCACTCCCAGGGAACTTTCGGCAAAGTCTGGAGACATCTGTGGTTGTCACTACTGTGGGGATACCAGCAGCATCCATTGGCAGGTCAGGGATGCTGCCAAACCTTCTGCAATGCACTGGAAAGCCCCTGATAACATAAAGGTATCCAGTTCAAAGTAGTGATGGTGCTGAGGTTGAGAAGCCTCGCCCTAAGTTAACCCAACACGTTTAACAGAAGGAGGGATGTCAGAGTTCCTCAAGGTCAGTTGAATTTTGCTGAGGTTTAAGGGGAATTTTTTTTTTCTTTTTCTTTTCTTTTTTTTTGAGACAGAGTCTCGCTCTGTCACCCAGGCTGGAGTGCAGTGGCATGATCTCGGCTCACTTCAGCCTCTCCCTCCCGAGTTCAAGTGATTCTCCTGCCTAACCCTCCAAAGTAACTGGGACCAGAGGCCAGGCCTGCATCACCACACCTGGGTAATTTTTGTATTTTTAGTAGAGGTGGGGGTTTCACAATGTTGGCCAGGCTGGTCACAAGCTCCTGACCTCAAGTGATCCTCCTGCCTTGGCCTCCCAAAGTGTGAACCACCACACCTGGCCAGTTTAAGGGGATTTTTAGATGACACTCTCTTTTCCCTGCCCAAGTTCTGATCATGAATCAGGTAGGAGATCAGAATACCTTTTAGTTGCTGAGAAAGCTGTTGGAGAACAGGGCTTTAAGTCTGCTATTTGGAGGAGATTGCTAATTCTGCACCCCTGAAATGAATTTATTAATCTCCCTTGAAAACACAGGCCTCTATCTGGGGCCTGGCATGGCAGATACAGGAAGAGGACACTCACTGCTCTGAGCCATGCACACCTAGCTTCTGTCCCCACTCTGATGAACTCTTCTTTTTTTTTTTTTTTGAGATGGAGTCTCGCTCTGTCGCCCAGGCTGGAGTTCAGTGGCGCCATCTCGGCTCACTGCAGGCTCCGCCTCCCAGGTTCACGCCATTCTCCTGCCTCAGCTTCCCAAGTAGCTGGGACTACAGGCGCTTGCAACCACGCCCGGCTAATTTTTTGTATTTTTAGAAGAGACGGGGTTTCATCATGTTAGCCAGGATGGCCTCGATCTCCTGACCTCGTGATCCGCCCGCCTCGGCCTCCCAAAGTGCTGGGATTACAGGCGTGAGCCACCGTGCCTGGCCTGATGAACTCTTCTTTGCCTAAAATGGCAGTGTGGCCCAGATTCAGGTGAGGTGAAATAGACCACCTAAAAAGATGACAGTTGAGGGTCCCTGTGCTGAAAGATGTGATCCTTGAGTGGTGATATCTACTGTGAGGGCCTGGAGTCAGAGAGGCTTGGCTTTGAGTTCACCTTCTGTCCAAGGCATGTGGCTAGTCAATCTCTGAGCTTTTCTGCCTCCCTCCCTCCCTCCCTCCCTTCCTTCTTTCCTTCCTTCCTTCCCTCCTTCCTTCCTTCCTCTCTTTCTCTCTTTCTCTCTCTCTTTTTCCTTTCTTTTAAGGAGTCTGGCTCTGTCGCCCAGGCTTGAGTACAGTGGCACAATCTTGGCTCACTGTAGCCTCCACCTCCAGGGTTCCAGCAATTCTCCTGCCTCAGCCTCCCAAAGAGCTGGGGCGTTCTCCTGCCTCAGCCTCCCAAGTAGCTGGGGCTACAGGTGTCTACCACCACGCCTGGCTAATTTTTGTATTTTTTATTAGAGACAGGGTTTCGCCATGTTGGCCAGGGTGGTCTTGAACTCCTGATCTCAAAGTGATTTGCCTGCCTTGGCCTCCCAAAGTGCTGGGATTACAAGTGTGAGCCACCACACCCGGCCAACCTCCCTCTTCTATTAGTAAATCTAATATTTCCTCCCTCCTTCTATTCCTGGGGTTTACTCGGACCAAAGAGGTCAACCAGATCCAAGAGTCTAGCAGTGTGAAAACTCCTAAGTCACAGCACAGGCGGACGGGGTGTCCCTTGCCTGGATTCGGGGCTTGCAGCTCTGTGAGCTCACAATCAGCCTTAGCCCTTTTTCCCAGAGCGTGACAATATGTCAGGGTAGGTGTCCACAGGGGCTGTTATCCTTGGTCTGCTTTGGAATTTGATTTGGGAAGTGACCCAGACCTTCCTGCAGTGGGCTTGGGGCACCAGGTTACTGTGAGTCCCAGGACCTGCGCTCCACTGACACAGGGCTGTGGGAGGTGGCTGGACTTCTGACAGGGCGGCTTCTAGGTCCCAGGAAACAGAATGCTAAGTGATGTGAACTTGGGAGCCCTCTCTGAGTATGGTATGGAGGGTGAGAGCCAGGGCCTTTGAAAGGATCATGGCCACTGACATGGTGGGTATATCATTGCTGCCCATACTGGACTGAATTGGAAATGTATCATTCTCGCAACACTTCAGTATGATCCTCGGGTGGGACAGGAACCCTCCAGAACATGACTAAGATTGAATTTTCTACTGATTCTGGAGAGTGGGGGCTTGTAGCCAAGTTCTGTTTGATTTAGACAAATGATAAAGTGACATTTCTTGCACCAGTGTGTTGCAGAAGAAATTCATACCAGTTATGTTGGGTTGTATCAAACATTTTCATCTTTGTCAGCCCAGTAGGCAAAAACTGCATTCTTTCCCGAGACAATGAAGGGGAGAGGAAATTTGTCTCAGTATATATTTTGAGGCCATGAAGACCAATTGAGGAAAGGATCCACAAGGGCCAGCCAAAGACAGGAGAGGGACAGGGAGACTGAGAGGAACCACACGCCCCACCTGCCAGCCTGACCTGCCAGCCTGTCTCTATCCAGCTGACACTCCCAGATCCCTCAGGCTTGTTAAGGAGGTGCCACCTTTGCAGGGGCTTAGGGAGTTGCAGCCACACTTGTCCCAGAGTGTGGCCTCTTAGTTCTAGAACCTTTGGTCCTTAGGACACCTTTGCTACCCACCCTCCTATACCCACCTGTGCACTAACCCTCTTACTTTTTTTTTTTTTTTAATTTGTTTGTTTTGTTTTGTTTTGTTTTGAGACAGATTCTCATTCTGTTGCCCAGGCTGGAGTACAGTGGCGCAATCTCGGCTCATTGCACCTCTGCCGCCTGGGTTCAAGCGATTCTCATGCCTCAGCCTCCCGAGTAGCTGAGATTACAGGCATGCACCACCATGCCCCGCTAATTTTTTATTTTTAGTAGAGATGGGGTTTCACCATGTTGTCCAGACTGGTCTCGAACTCCTGACCTCAAGTGATCTGCCTGCCTCAGCCTCCCAAAGTGCTAGGACTACAGGCATGAGCCACTACGCCCGGCCCCCCTTCTTTTTTTTTTTTTTTTTAAAGAAGATATTCCAGGTTCCACAGCCTGGCACAGTGGCTCGTGCCTATAATCTCAGTACTTTGGAAGGCTGAGGTGGGAGGATCGTTTGGGCTCAGGAGTTCAAGACTGGCCTGGGCATCATAGGAAGACTCTGCCTGTAAAAAAATATTTAAAAAATTAGCTGTGTGTCGTGGCATGTGCCTATAGTACCAGTTGCTTGGGAGGCTGAGGTGGGAGGATTGCTTGAGCCCAAGAGCTTGAGGCTGCAGTAAGCTATGATCATGCCACTGCACTCCAGCCTAGATGGCCGAGCAAGACCCTGTCTCTAAAAATAAATAAATACATAATCATAGATTAAATACAAGCCCCCTGAATACCCACCCCCAATCGCATCATCCCACCTTCTGCTGTGAGATAATTATTCTTCTGAATTTGGAGTTTGTCATCCCACTCATAATTGTATATTTTTGCTGCAGATATGTTTCCAGAAACTATATATAAACACATATATACATATATACATATACATACAAGTACGTAAATGTATGTGTATAAAAGTACATATAGTTTTGCATAATTAAAATGTATATGGACAGTATTATACTATATAAATCTGCAGCTTGCTTTCTCCCCCTGAACATTGAGACGTAGCCACGTGGTTCTTGTCATTTTGGTTCATTCATTTTCACTGCGGTATAATATTCCTTGTATGACTATACCAGAATCACTTGTTCATTTTTCTGTTAATGGTTGTTTAGATTTTTTTCCCATTTTCTTCACTGTTGTGCTTGAGCACCTGAGTATTATGTGTGCAAGGTGACAGGGATCTCCTTATACTATGGGTAGAGAGCTTTTCTGGGACACGTACATAGGAGCTGAATTGTGGGGCTGTGGAGGATATACATTTTTGACACTAGTGGAGATAGCTACATTGTTCTTCCAAGTGGTTGCTTATCAAACAGTGTATGAGAGCATCTGTTAGTCTATTATCACTTGACATTGTCAGACTTAAACTAATTTGTTTTGATCTGGTGAGTATAAAACAATACCTCATTGTTTTAATTTGTATTTCAACATTATTAGTGAGGTTAAACATGTTTTCATGATTACTGGCCATTGTGCTTCTTTTGTGTGTGTGAATTGTTTATCCATTTTCTTTGCCCATTTTCCTTTTGGGTTGTTTGTCTTTTTCTTATTGATATGTAGGAATTTCTTATAGGTTCTGACTGTGAATCTATTCTCGGTTGCATGCAGTCTGTGGCTTATCTTTTCATTTGTTCATGGAATCTCTTGCTCTGCATAAGCCTTTTTAAAAATTTAAATTAACTCTCTTTCTTTTTCTAGAGAAGCCAGGACTTCTAAGAGATGGTGTCTTAGTCCATTTGTGTTGCTATAAATGAATACGTGAGGCTGGATAATTTATAAAGAAAAGACGTTTATTTGGCTCATGGTTCTGCAGGCTCTACAAGAAGTATGGTGCCAGCATCTGCTTCTGGTGAGGCCTCAGGAACCTTCTACTCATGGTGGAAGGTGTGGGGGAGGAGGCATCACATGGGAAAAGGAAGGAAACAAGAGAGAGGAAAGGGAGGTGCCAGGCCTTTTTCAATGACTAGTTCTGGGAGTGGGGCGAATCTCTCTAGGGAACTAAGAGGGTGAGAGCTCATTAGTGGGAGGACGGCACCAAGACATTTATAAAGGATCTGCCCGCATGTCCCAAACACTTCCCACTAGGCCCTGCCTCCTGCACTGGGCCTCAAATATATTTATTTAAAGGTCCTGCTCTGTTGCCCAGACTGGAGTCCAGTGGTGTGATCATGGCTCACTGCAGCGTCCGCCTGCTGGACTGAAGTGATCCTTCCACCTCAGCCTCCCTAGTGCTGGGACTACAGGTGAGTGCCACCACTATTGTTTATTTTTACTTTTTGTAGAGATACGGGTATCACTATGTTGCCCAGGCTGGTCTTGAACTTCTGGGCTCAAGCTATTCTCCTGCCTCAACCTCCCAAAGCACTGGGATTACAGATGCAGTTCACCTCGCCCAGCAGCCCCTTGTGTTTCAGATGAGGATGCTGAGGCTGAGAGAGGACACGGCTGTCCAAGGTCACATAGCTAGTGTTGGGCAGAGCTGGGGCCAGGGCCTGGACCAGTCATGTGGACTCTCAGGCGGGGCATGTGCGGACACCCCTTCAAACAGGCTTTGCTAAATATTTGTTCCACGCTCTGTCTGTGGGTTTGGAATTGGTGCCTAATGAGAGTGTGTTGGTTCCTACCAACCCCTGTCTGTTTCTGTTGGAGTGGGGACCAAGTTGCTGAAGAAGCTGTGTGTAGAGGCCTGAGTTTGAGGCACCATATGACTTATTTGTTGCATTGATGTTTTGGTGTCCCTTACAGATTCATGGCCAGGGTGTGTGCCCTGAATAAGATTTTCCACATCTGGGCTAGAAAGTCTCCTTTGGGGAGGGGTGGGGACTGCAGTCTGTGAGAGGTCTGTGGGTAGAGCAGGTGGCTGCTCAAAGGTCCCGCCAACCAGAGTGACCATAGGATTTTTCGTGAGAGTGTGAGGGGAGACTATTAATGACAGAGGGACAAATAGCAGTGAACTGGGACTATCTCAGGCATTCCAGGACATCTGGTTACCCTGCTTCTAGAGTCTGCATTTCTGGTTGTTACATTCAGTCTTCCTCTGCTGGTTTCTGGCAGTCTCCACCCCACCTTCTTCCCACTGCTCTGAAGGGATTTGGGGCCCTTTTCCAATCACCCCAGGCCCTTAACACCACTCTCTCCTTTGCAAAACTGCTTTTACAAGTCCTGTCTCCTTCTTTCCAAATCCCATTCATCCTAAGTCCTCTGGTGGCCACCCAAGCTTGTAGTCAAGTCTATCCTGAGTTCCTAGAGCACTTACTCTGCATTGTTTATTTAGACATTGAACTTGGAACTTTGTGTGCCTTGTCTCTCCTAGTTAGCTTGTAAGAAACTCAAAAATAGAGGCATGCGTTACACTTCTCTGCCTCTGTCCTTCAAAGGGGCTGACTTGCCCTAAGCAAAATGTCCCCTCTCAGTCTGTGCTGCTGTTTGAGTTGGGGGAGGGAGTCTTTTTAGGAGAGTGGGTTCCTTTTTGTTTTTGGTTTTTGTTTTTTTTTTGAGACGGAGTCTGGCTCTGTCGCCCAGGCTGAAGTGCAGTGGCACGATCTCAGCTCACTGCAAGCTTCGCCTCCCGGGTTCACGCCATTCTCCTGCCTCAGCCTCCTGACTAGCTGGGACTACAGGCGCCCGCCACCATGCCCAGCTAATTTTTTGTATTTTTAGTAGAGACAGGGTTTCACCATGTTAGCCAGGATGGTCTCGATCTCCTGACCTTGTGATCCACCCACCTTGGCCTCCCAAAGTGCTGGGATTACAGGCGTGAGCCACTGCGCCCGGCCGAGAGTGGGTTCCTTTTTTGAAATAATTTGTCTCTGTAGCACATGGTGATTGCAACACTCCTTTCCATGTCTAATCTGCACTTCTGTTTTTGTGGCCTTCTCTCCTTTTTCTAGGCTACTTTCAAGGGTAGTTCTCTGGAACCTGGCACAGCAGGTGGTTCAGCACATCAGCATGTCAAAGTACATATATGAGCTTGGTGATAAACACATAGTCATAACTGCTGAGCAGGAGCCTCTAATTTCAGGGTTGAGTACCTGTGGCGTCATTAAGAGAGAAGGCCCGCCTCAGAAAAGATTTTCAAAAAAGCCTTCTCATTGCAAGGACATAGAATTAGTTTTAAGACTTCTTGACTTCTGTGATAATCTCTAGGGCTTCTTTATCAATGTGTGGCCAGATGAGGTTGCTCTCAGGTCATAAGCAATGAGCTTATCAGAACTCTCTGGCATCTTGTAGCTGTGCATAGCCCTAGTGGGGTGAGGTGGAGCACCACTGGTCAGAGATGGATTATGTTTATTATTACGTTCTGGTGCAGACTTAGAGGTCTATAATGGCTTGACATTCCTGGACGTGACCTCAGGATGGTGAGTCCAGTACCACGAGACATTTTCCTAGTAGGAGTTAAATTGGTTTTGTGATTGTTGCTTTTTGAGGAAGAAACACATGATAGAAATGGAGTTGCCACATGAAGGCTGAAAGCTATTGTTTTTTTTTTTGTTTTTTTTGAGACAGGGTCTCGCTTTGTCACCTAGGCTGGAGTGCAGTGGTGCAATCATAGGTCACTGGAGCCTTGACCTCCCAGGCTCGAGTGATCCTCCCACCTCAGCCTCCTGAGTTGGAAGCTACTGTTTTGTTTTGAGAACAAACACATCATGGGTTGTACAGACCCTGCTTCGTGGTGGGAGAGGCGAAGGGCTGGCTAATTAGAGTAACAGGGATGTGGTGGTCTAAGGAGGTGTCAGTGAGGTCCAATTGCACACTTATTTTCTCTTCACTGAGGAGAGCTGATGTGTGCAGATGGTGTGGGATTTCATGAAGGCCTCTATGAGTTTCTCTTCTCTTGATTTCAAGATCACAGCAATACAGTCTGGGCGTGGTGGCTCATTCCTGCAATCCCAGCACTTTGGCAGGCTGCAGTGGGAGGATTGCTTGAGGCCAGGAGACCCTGTTTCTATAATTTTTTTTTTTTAATTAGCTGGGCTTGGTGGTGCACACCTATTTTCCCAGCAACTTGGGAGGCTAAGATGGGAGGATCACTTGAGCCCAGGAGGTTGCGACTGCAGTGAGCTGCCATTGCTCCATTGCACTCTAACCTGGGCGACAGAATAAGGCTCTGTCTCAGAAAAACAAACAAAAAACCAGGGCATTTTCAAACTCTGATTCCACATCTGGAGCTCTGGATGTATGGGGAAGTCCTAGGGCACACAGGTTCTACAGTGTAAGGTGCTTGACTGTGGATGTCCCTCAATGAGTGACAATTATTTGAGTGTCCCTGGCAGTACTTCTATGGATTCATTCTGTTTTTTTTTTCTTTTTTTTTAGACAAATTCTTGCTTGGTCGCCCAGGCTGGAGTGCAGTGGTGCGATCTCAGCTCACTGCAACCTCTGCCTCCTGGGTTCAAGAGATTCTCCTGCCTCAGCCTCCTGAGTAGCGCCTGCCACCAAGCCCAGCAGATTTTTGTATTTTTAGTAGAGATGGGGTTTTACCATATTGGCTAGGCTGGTCTTGAACTCCTGACCTCAAGTGATCTGCCCGTCTCGGCCTCCCAAAGTGCTGGGATTACAGGCAAATTCACTCTTAATAGCCCTGAGCAAAGTCCAGCAGGAGGGGGAGTTGATTCACTGCTGGGTGATACTTGCTTAAATGCCTTAATCACAGGGCCCTGTGGTCTCCACAAAGTAAACCATGAGGCATCATTAGCATCAACAAGACTCATTGGGTTTCTGCAATATTTTCAGGTCACCTAACTTAAAGATATTTCATGCTTTATCTTTTCCAAACCACTTCAACATTCTGTATTCTGAAGATATTTATTTATTCATTCATCAAACATCACAGGTAAGTGCTGAGGATACAGCAAAGAACAAGTCAGACATGGTCCATGCCCTCACGGAGCTCACAGCTGATTGGTGGAGACAGGTCGTAAACAAGAAGGCTTGATGAATGTTATGAAAGGAAGGAAGATGAGCAGTGGGTGTCTACCGCAAAGCAGCCTTCGCCCTGACTTTCCTCCCAAATGCCTATTTTTTCAGAGGACATTTAAAGAAATCTGCTGGCATTGGCCCTGGCTGGGCTGTTGTAAGGCAAACCCACGCCTCTGATTTCTTCCCCAGAAGCTTTAGCCCTGCCCACATGGCTTCTCCTAGAGGGTGTCACCCTGCAGGTCTGAGGTTGCTGCTGGCAACGGGAGCACCTTGGGCACTGCAGTCTGGAATGTGCATGCTGGCCCTCAGCTGCTGTGCCAAAGGGTGGTGGGGAGAGCCCTGGGAGGGCATGCTTGATGATTCCTTTTTATTTTTATTTTTTAGAGACAGGGTCTCGCGCTGTAGCCCAGGCTGGAGTGTGGTGTAGTGGTGTGATCTCGGCTCACTGCAACCTCCGCCTCCCAGGTTCAAGTGATTCTCTTGCCTCCGCGTCCTGAGTAGCTGAGATTACAGCCACACCTGGCTAATTTTTGTACTTTTACTAGAGATGGGGTTTCACCATGTTGGCCATGCCGGTCATGAACTCCTGACCTCAAGTGATCCGCCTGCCCTGGCCTCCCAAAGTGCTGGGATTACAGATGTGAGCCACCACGCCCAGCCATGCTCGATGATTCTTGACGGGCCCTGGATCCAGCTGACAGCCACCCGGGAGCCGCACCACGGGGAATGCTGCGTAGGTTCTCAAGTGCACATCTCACAGCTTCGCTGACAGGTAAAAATAAAGACCTGGGAATTCCAGGTGATGTGGGCTGCACCTCCCTCATGAGGTCAGCACAGTGAGTGCACTTAGAGTTGTCCTTTCTCTGGAGGAATCTGCTCTCTGAGCCTCCAAAGCTGCAAGGAGTGTGGGTGTGCCCTGAGCTGGGGTTGCTGTCTTTGGATGCAGATGCAGACATCTGGAGCCGGTGCTCCCTGAGCCCTGCTGCCTGGGCCAGTCCATGCTCTCTGCGCACTGTGTCATGGGGACAGCAGAGGCCACTCCTGTAATACCTGAGAGCTGGGGTTGTCTTAAGAATAAAGCACAGTTGTTGAGGACTCTTCGTGTGCTGAGTGCTGTGCCAAAACTTCATGATTTCACCCCATTTCATCTCAATGTCTTTTGATGTAGGAATCGCCTGTTAGCTCCATTTCCTTTTTTTTTTTTCTTTTTTTCTTTTTCTTTTTTTTTTTGAGACAGAGTCTCGCTCTGTCACCCAGGCTGGAGTGCAGTGGCGTGATCTCGGCTCACTGCAACCTCCGCCTCCTGGGTTCGAGTGAGTCTCCTGCCTCAGGCTCCCAAGTAGCTGGGAGTACCACCACGCCTGGCTAATTTTTGTATTTTTAGTAGAGACAGGGTTTTGCCATGTTGGCCAGGCTGGTCTCAAACTCCTGGCCTCAGGTGATCGGCCCACGTCGGCCTCCCAAAGTGCTGGGATTACAGGTGTGAATCACTGTGCCCGGTCTTCCATTTTATACAGAGGAACCTTGAGGCTCGGAGAGGCTAAGTTACTTGCTGTAGGCCAAACAGCTGTGCACGGCTGAGATGGGACCTGAATGCAGCTTCTCTGAGTCCAAAGCCCAGGTTGTTTCTACCGCTTACATCATGGCATGCTGTCTCTTGCTGCATCCAGCAGCCTCCCATAGTGGGCCTTTCCTTGGGCTCTATAACTGTCAAGCTTGATTTAGGGAAGAGACAACTATGGAGGACTTTATTGTGAATTCCACATTAAAGGGGCATGGGCAATTTGTCAACCAGGAAATCCCCAGACTGCAGTGTCGAGACTGATGGCATGGCTCAGAGATGTAAGTGCTGCAGCTCTTCAGCCAGGTGCCAGGCCCTGTCCTTCCAACTGGATCCAGTCGCTGAATCTGGGAGCAACCAAGAACATTAGCAGCTCCTCCACTGTCAGCATGTGTGTCCTAGGTGGGTCCTTGGTATCCCCAGGTGCCCATGAGCTCTGGCCCTCCTGCAAGCTCGACTGGGCATAACTGGTCCAGTGGTCTGGCTGTGGTTCTTGGCTTGCAGTTCAGCTCCTCACTGGGAGGACGCCCTCCTGAATCCTAGCCTTGCTGGTTGGAAATCTGTCTCTCTGGGTAACTTTTGCTAGCTCTGTGAAAGCCAGGGCTGTTTTCTGCACCTGCAGGCACTGGCTAGGATTCTGCTTAAACACAGGCAGAGCTCTCTGAAATCAGTGGACTCCCACTGGGAGACCGGATCTGCTGGACTCATGTCTATCAGCTGTAGCTTGATTGGACTCAAATTGGGCTCTGTGATTTGAGCCCAGGAGTGGAGTAGTGGCAGCTCTACATCTGAGTCCCTTCTCTCAGATCCAAAATTGTCCTCCTCTCCCTGCTGGCCCGTGGGTAGGATTCCAGCATGTTTTGTGTCTGAGGCTCGCGGATTCTACCAGTTGATTCCATCATGAGGTCTTTCAAAGTTCATTGCAGTGAGTGATGGTACCCAAGAGAAGCATGATTTTAATCATCCCTCAAAAATGTGTCAATTGTCCTGGTTTTAGATAACGTGGGGCTGGGAGGGTTGGGGGAGAGAAAACCTGCAACAGCAAATGTCTGTACCTTTCTTGGGGTCGGGAGTACAACCTACTTCTTCTTTTTATTTTTGATTTTTTGAGATGGAGTCTCACTCTGTCACCCAGGCTGGAGTGCAGGGGGGCAATCTTGGCTCACTGCAACCTCTTCCTCCCAGGTTCAAGCAATTCTCCTGCCTCAGCCTCCTGAGTAGCTGGGATTACGGGTGCCCACCACTACGCCCAGCTAATTTTTCGTATTTTTAGTAGAGATGGGATTTCGCCATGTTGGCCAGGCTGGTCTCAAACTCCTGACCTCGTGATTCGCCTGCCTCAGCCTCTGGGATTACAGGCATGAGCCACTGCGCCTGGCCAGTGGTAGTAGTTCCAACCTACTTCTTTTCTGAACTGTGTCCTCTCTGAATGTTTAAGGCAGTGATTCTCAACTGGGGAAGATTTTGCCTCCCAGGGGACATTCAGCAATATCTGGAGACATTTTTGGTGTCACATCTGGGGGCTTGCTATTAGCAAGTGGGTAGAGGCCAGGGATGCCACTAAACATCCCACAGCGCATGGGATGGCCCTACAACCAAGAAATATCTGGCTGAAAACGTCAGTAGTGCCAAGGTGAAGAACTGTGGCTTTAAGGTGAGAGTGGAAAGTCTATGCCTGATGCTGGGGGCCAGCGTGAATCTGAATCACTCTCGTGCAGCAGTGCTTATGTTTAGAGCAGTGTCTTGAGCAACAGCTAGAAGCTTAGTGGGTGAGGTCTGTGGTTACCAGCAAGACAGGCTCCAGCTCACAGCAGTGCTGTGCTGCTGGCAGAGATAAGCCCCGTTGTGTGACTGGGTGGAGTTCTCTATTTCCACGCTAAGCTGGGGTGCTTGCATGGTGTCCCTTTAGTACCCCTAGACTGGGTCTACCAGACTTGGCATTTTCTGGACCACAGTCTATTCTGGAGCACTATGGGGGAGGGGCCCAGGGGTCCAAACGCATACCTAGCGTCCCTCCTCCCACTTCCTGCCTCCATTTCCCCCTCCTCTGCCTCTGTTTTTATCCCACCTTCTCCACAAGTGCCTGAAGCCTCCAGTTTTTCTCCCATGGCAGGATTTCAGAGCCAGACAGAAAGGACTCTGCTCCTGTGTCAATGACAAAGACCTGTTTACCCACTTTCCAGGGCAAGAAAGGCCCAGTTCTTAGAAGCACAAAGGCCCATCCTTCCTTCTTTGAGGGGGAAGTGAAAATGCTTCCCATTCCTCCATTTGAGAGGAGAATTTCTCGCTAAAGCAGCAGAAACTAAAACCAAACACAAATTGAGTCACCCAGCAACCAAGGGTTCAGCAGGAGTCTCTGCTATGCAGAAAAAGCAGGCCTCTGTAATGTGTGCTGGAGACCATCCAGTGCAACGTTCTCATTTTGCACATAGGACAGCAAAGGACCAGAGAGAGGAAGTAACTCACCCAAGGCCCTTCAGGTGACTGGTGCACAGCCTGGGCAGAAGCCAAGTTTCCTGATTCTGAGGCCATTCAGGGTTGACCTCGCCCCCAAATCATCAGGTATGGAAACTCAAGAGGTGGAAAACATTAGAAAGAAAGCACAGCACACCCCAACACACCTAATCACTGGGAGAAAGTGCTTCCCTTCTGGCCCCAACTTCCGAGTTGATTCCCCGGTTAGAAATAATGCATCGTCCTTTTTAAGGCCCTTTCACATCCATTATCTCATATGAGCCTTGGTTACTGTGTGAAGGATGTCCAGCTGGGATTTTTGTTTCACTCTTGTCGCCCAGGCTGGAGTGCAATGGCACGATCTTGGCTCACTGCAACCTCCGCCTCCCAGGTTCAAGCGATTCTCCTGCCTCAGCTTCCTGAATAGCTGGGATTACAGGTGCCCACCACCATGCCTGGACACTTTTTTGAATTTTTAGTAGAAACAGGTTTTCCCCATGTTGGCCAGGCTGGTCTTGAACTCCTGACCTCAGGTGATCCACCCGCCTCAGCCTCCCAAAGTGCTGGGATTACAGCTGTGAGCCACTGCACCCAGCACTCTCCTTCTTTATAGATACTAAAACCAAGGTTCAAGCGGTTAAGTGATTTGCCCAAGTTCACACACCTATTGCAGAAACAAGATTAGAACCCATGTCTTTCTCTTTCTATGCAAAATCCCTCTGAGATGCTGCACTACAAGCAAGCTGGTTTACCTGAGACACTGCTCTAGGTGCCTCTGCTTCTTTTGCCTGTCTCCATCCACTTCTTTGTTATCTTTTACTACTTTATTCCTTTCTTTCTTTCTTTCTTTCTTTTTTTTATTTCTGATTTCTTCCTGGTTCCTCTTCCTGGTCCTTGCATTCTTCAGGTCCCACACTCCTGCAACCTAATGCAGGCCTGGCCCTTTAGGTAGGTGCTCATCTGTATCCACGCATCTCAGGCTGAGAGCAGATTCCTGATGGAGGTGGGGAGGCTCTGGGATGGAGTCTGGATTCCCTTGAGCTCGGGTACTTGGTTGCTTTCCTGTAGCCCACTTGGGCTGTCTCAGTTTCCCATTTGAATGGAGAGCACTGCTCCCTGCCCCCTTCGCTTGAGGATGAATTCTGTCAAAAGGGGTTAAAAAATATAATTGAGCTTAATGTGGATGGAGGTTGGGTATGCTCATTTGCATATAAGCATCTCCTTCACTCCTAGCCCTGGCAATTTGCATCTTATTATCCAGGTGCATCCTTGGTGATTTCTCCCTAGAATGCTTGGTTGCATTCGGCTCTATCTTTCTTTGGCCCTAAGAGCCTTTCTCCTGCCCTCCTGGCCCCAGTACCCTTGACCTGTTTCTGCAATCATGGCTGCAGGCTGTTTCCCAGGTGCTCAATGGCCCCCTCTGCGGAGCTGTTTCCAGGACTGACCAGGTAAATTGGAGAGCCAGAACTGGGGGTGAGGGTATGAACACAAAAGGCCTAATGTGTGTTTGTATGTGTATGTATGTGGACACTCGTGAGGTATGTACTTATAGGCATTTGCCTTAACTCCTCTATCCCCTCGTCCCCATCCCAGGTCATCCTTGGGCAGATCCTCTTTTGCTTTGAGACAGAGTTTAATACTCCCTTTATATGATGCCACTGAGGCAAAAGGTTGGGGAGGGGTAAGAGTGACAGGGACAGGTTTAGTTTTGTGCTTTATCCCCCATGGCTGCTCCCCAGGTACAGACCCTGGCTCCGAGCCCTCCCGGTGCATCTCTGCTTTTCCTGGTAGTGGTGTCTTCCTAGGGAAGCCAGCCCTGCACCCCTCCCCTTCAGTCCTACCTCTGAGGTCCCGGGCAATTGTAATAGGGGACTGGCCACATCCAGGGATGAGCAGAGGGATCACCTGGAGGGAGGAGAAGATCTTTTGTGGAAGGTAGTCAGGGACCTGCCTGTACTGCAGCTGCTGGGTTGGATTCCCTCCCCTTCACAGCATTGCCTGATGAAGTGAATCAGAACCAGCTCTGCTACTGTAGAGAGTTGTACGAGAGGGGGTGAAGCACAGCAGGTGGGAAACAGGCCACCCAAGCCAGAGCCTGTGCTGCATTCACCCACGGATACAGGGGAGGAGGAGATGGACAGGTGTCTACTGCATGGAATGCACAGTCTGGTGGTACTCAGAAAAGTCCACATGGAGGAGTTAGAAACAGGTGAAGAGGGAGAAGCTCAGGGCCCTCTGGAAGGCTTCCTGGAGGAGATGGGCTGAGCCATGACAAGCCTGCAGTTAGAGACGAGAGAAGGACCTGGAGGCAGGTGCATAGAGGAGGGAAGCCGAGCTGTTTGCATTGATGACAGTGGGCCAGGATGGCTGCAGTCTACAGCCTGTGCAGTGACTAAGAGCTTGGCGGCCTCGGGCAAGGCTCTTGGCTTCTCTGAAGTCAATGTCCTCTATTATGAAATGGGAATGATAGTCACAACAATCCCTTTCAAAGAGCTTTGGGGAGAATGCAAATGAGACAATGGAAGTGACCCCGGCTGGAGATGGGAAGGAACTGAGAAGCTGAGGGCTGTGTGGAGGCATGGCAGAGGTCATGCAGGTGCTTGCTTTGGGCCTGGAGCATGGGGCCTGGCTTAGGAGGCAAGGGGAAGGAGGTTCTTCCTAACTGGCTGCAGGGCCTTCCGGACCTCCGTGTTCCTATCTGTCATATGGGGTGGACAATCCCTGGGGTTGTCATGAGAATTTAATTAGATAATGTGTGGGATGCTAATATTGAAAACGAATAAAGTGATAGAATGCAACGTGTTATGTTTGTCAGTGGTCTGGAGCAGGAGGTGGGGTGAGCAGGGCTGTGTCAGGGCTGGGGGAGGCACTCGAGACCTCAAGGGTGTAGCATTTAAGGAGCAGGTGCAGACCCTGCGCTGGCACAGCCCTCAGAGGGAGGGCCTCCTTCACTGCTGCTCTCTGGCTATCCTGGTCTGGGCCCTGGAGGTGCGAGCTGGCCTTCATTCAGGTGCAGAGATGGGGACTTTGGGTGGCCAGTTGGATTTAATGTTCTTTGAAAAGCTGGATTTATGTTTCTGCAGCCAAGCCCTGCCCAAGGTGATGGCACCATTCTCACTGGGGTGGTGAGTCGGTTTCATGTGGCAGTTCTCAGAGTGGGTCCCACAACTTGTAGCATGAGCACCTCCAGGGAACTTGCTAGAAATTCAAATTGTCCACCCCACCCAGACCCACTGAATCAGAAACTGGGGACAGGGTCCAGCAAGCCATTTTTTTTTTGTTGTTCTTGTTGTTGTTGTTGTTTTGAGGCACAGTCTTGCTCTGTCGCCCAAGCTGGAGTGCAAGTGGTGCCATCTCGGCTCACTGCAACCTCCTCCTCCCAGGTTCAAGCGATTCTCCTGCCTCAGCCTCCCAAGTAGCTGGGATTACAGGTGCCTGCCACCATGCCCAGCTAATTTTTGTATTTTTAGTAGAGATGGGGTTTTGCCATGTTGGCCAGGCTGATCTTGAACTCCTGACCTCAGGTGATCAGCCTGCCTTGGCCTCTCAATGTGCTGAGATTACAGGAATGAGCCACCATGTCTGGCTGCAAGCTGTGTTTTAACAAGTTCCAGGTGGTTCTGATGCCACGAATGTATGGGAAGTACTGCTATGGACTGGTGGGCAGTTGGATCCTTTGTTGATGGACTGAAACAATATACCAGCATGGAAAACCACTTTCTCCTTCCTCCTCCTCCTCCTTCTCTGTCCCCTCTTCCTCTTTTTCACCCCAAGACATGAAATCAACCTCCAACACGTGTGGTCCCAAAGCTGCTTAGATTCTCTACATCACCTCGGAGAATAGAAACATATTTCTAACACTGCTTCCACTTCAGAAAAAGACTAAATGACTAACAAGTGTTTGAAGAGAGGTTCAAATACTATTAGTATGAATACATCGTCTGATAGTAATATCAGAGAATGTCAATGGAAACAATTGAGATATGACTTTGCCATCATCAGAATAAAGTCAGAAAGGTGGACAAAACACCTTTCTGAGGGTAACCTCAGGGTTACCTTTCTGAGGGTAACCAAGAACTCTACTGAATTGCAGGGAGAAGTGCAAACTGGTGGACTGATTTTGGAAAGCAGTCTGGCAAATCCAGTGCTGTTCATTTTTAAAAATTAATTTAACATGCCATGTATAGGGCTTACTGTGTTTTAGACACTGTTCTAGGCAATTTACAAATACCAAGTCAAACAATTACTTATTTGAGTACCCATGGCTTAGAAATCAATGATCCTACTCCTAGGAATGGATCCCACAGAAAGTCTCCCTAAAGGGACGTGTGTAGAGTGTGTTGTTTGTGGCACAGGGTGCTGGAGGCCCCTTGGTGTCCATCAATGAGGGGACAGAAAAGCGAACTGTGGTGGGTGCCCTCTGGGATCCTACACAGCTTTGGAGTCATCCAACCAGATACTGACAGCAACAAGGACAGAGCTGAAAAAAGTAAAACGCAGAATAGCATTCAAAATACAATACCATTTATGAAAATTCAAAACACATATTGAAAACAATGCTCCATGATGTATGAGGATATGTGCATACTGAAGACATGCAGCAAACACATAAGAAGAGGCGCCTATAGTGCATATGGTTTCTTTCTTTCTTTTACTTATTTACTTATTTATTTATTCTTTTGAAATGGAGTCTTGCCCTGTCGCCCAGGCTGGAGTGCAATGGCACGATCTCGGCTCACTGCAACCTCTGCCTTCCGGGTTCAAGTGATTGCCCTGCCTCAGCCTCCTGAGTAGCTGGGATTATAGGCACCCGCCATCATGCGTGGCTAATTTTTGTGTTTTTAGCAGAGATGGGGTTTCTCCATGTTGGTCAGGCTGGTCTTGAACTCCTGACCTCAGGTGATCTGCCCGCCTCAGCCTCCCAAAGTGTTTGGATTACAGGCGTGAGCCACCGTGCCCGGCTACTTATTTATTTATTTAGAGATAGAGTCTCACTCTGTCACCAGACTGGAGTGCAATGGCATGATCTCAGCTCACTGCAACCTGCGACTTCCAGGTTCAAGCGATTCTCCTGCCTCAGCCTCCTGAGTAGCTGAGATTACAGGCATGTGCCACCATGCCTGCCTAATTTTTGTATTTTTAGTACAGACGGGGTTTCACCATGTTGGCCAGGCTGGTTTCGCAATCCTGACCTTGTGATCTGCTCACCTTGGCCTCCCAAAGTGCTGGGATTACAGGCGTGAGCCACCATGCCCAGCCTATTTATTTATTTTTGAGACAGGATCTTGCTGTGTCACCCAGGCTGGAGTGCAGTGGTGCGATCATTGCCCACTTGCGGCCTCGACCCCCTGGGCTCCAGCAATTCTTCTGCCTCATTCTCCTGAGTAGCTGGAACTACAGGCATGTGCCACCATACCTGACCAGTTTTTTTATTTTTTGTAGAGATGGGGGTCTTGCTATGTTACCCAGGCTGGTCTCAAACTGTTGGGCTGAAATGATCCTCTTGCCTCAGCCTTTCAAAGTTCTGGGATTACAGGTGTGAACCACCATGCCCAGTCCTCCTGTGTTTTAGACACCCTTCTAGGCAATTTACAAACATCAATGTATGTCCAGAAAGGAGATAGATTCAGGGCATGGACAGTGATGAATGGAAAAAAGACAGAAAACACGAGGGGTCTTGCAGGGACCAGACACAATCTAACAACACGCTGTGCACTGAAGAGTTTGATGGCCCCGACTCACTGGAACTGTGCTCAGACACAAAAAAGGGAAAGGAAACTGGTCTTTCGCTATAGGTGGCTTCAGGCTGGAGAAAAGCCAGGCCCACTGGGAGTGGGCTAAGCACACAGGGCAGAGTGTGGAGTTTGGCCAGAATTTGACTCTAAAACTAGTCCTTCGGTCTTTGTGAAATGGGAAGACCAGGCTGGGCACGGTGGCTCACGCCTGTAATCCCAGCACTTTGGGAGGCCGAGGCGGGCGGATCACGAGGTCAGGAGACTGAGACCATCCTAGCTAACATGGTGAAACCCCGTCTCTGCTAAAAATACAAAAACAAAATTAGCCAGGCATGGTGGCGGGCACCTGTAGTCCCAGCTACTAGGGAAGCTGAGGCGGGAGAATGGCGTGAACCCGGGAGGTGGAGCTTGTAGTGAGCTGAGATCGCGCCACTGCACTCCAGCCTGGGCAACAGAGCGAGACTCCATCTCAAAAAAAAAAAAAAAAAAAAGAAATGGGAAGACCACACAGTAGTTCTGACAGCCACGTCCCACGTGACACAGTGACAGGCCACCCCAATGACTTGTTTTCTTCCTTTCCTCGAGGGTGGCACTCTGGAAGCCATCAGTTCCCTTCAAACATGTGTGCGTGTTTGTGTGTGTGTGTGCCCCTGTGTGTGTGCATGCGTGTGCATGTGCAGCCACAGATCGGGGCCAGAGTGGCAGTGTGAGTAGAAATTCAGAAACATAGCCTTGTGTCTGTGTTGACATTTTTTTTTTGAGACAGAGTCTCACTCTGTTGCCCAGGCTGTAGTGCGGTAGTGTGGTCTCGGCTCACTGCAACCTCCGCCTCCCGGGCTCAGGCAATTCTCCTGCCGACCTCAGTCTCCTGAGTAGCTGGGACTACAGACGCGTGCCACCACACCCAGCTAATTTTTGTATTTTTAGTAGAGACATCGTTTCACCATATTGGTCAGGCTGGTCTTGAACTCCTGACCTTGTGATCTGCCCACCTCGGCCTTCCAAAGTGCTGGGATTATAGGCGTGAGCCACCGCACGTGGCCGACATTTTTTTTTTTTTGGACAGGGTCTCACTCTGTCACTCAGGCTGGAGTGCAGTGGTGCGATCTCAGCTCACTGTAGCCTTGAATTCCTGGGCTCAAGAGATCCTCCCACCTCAGCCCCCCAATTAGCTGGGACCACTGGTGTGCACCACCACGATTGGCCGATTTTTTTGTATTTTTTTGTGGAGATGATGTTTGCCGTGTTGCCCGGGCTGGTCTCAAACTCTTTTTTTTTTTTTTTTTTTGAAATGGAGTCTCACTCTGTCGCCCAGGCTGGAGTGTACTGGCGTGATCTCGGCTCACTGCAAGCTCTGCCTCCCAGGTTCACGCCATTCTCCTGCCTCAGCCTCCGAAGTAGCTGGAACTACAGGCGCCCGCCACCTCACCTGGCTAATTTTTTTTGTATTTTCGGTAGAGGCGGGGTTTCACCGTGTTAGCCAAGATAGTCTCTATCTCCTGACCTTGTGATCCGCCTGCCTCGGCCTCCCAAAGTGCTGGGATTACAGGCGTGAGCCACCGTGCCCGGCCGCTGGTCTCAAACTCTTGAGCTCAAGTGATCCGCCTGCCTCAGCCTCCCAAAATGTTAGGATTACAGGCGTGAGCCACCGCGCCCTGCCGACTTTCTGTTTTGGAAGATTTCGCACATAGACAAAAGTAGAAAGAATAGTATCACAAACCCCCACCCTGTCTAATTCCGTTAGGGCTGCTATAATAAAAATACCGTAGACTGGGCGGCTTAAACAACACATTTATTTCTTACAGTTCTGGAAACTGAAAGTCCAAGATCACAGCTCCAGCAGAACCAGTGTCTGGTGGGGACCCTTCCTGGTTCATGGACAACTGTCTTCTTGCTGTGTCCTCACGATTAAAAGAGTGAGAAATATCTCTGAGGCCTATTTAATAAGGACACTAATCCCATTCCTGAGAGTTCATCCCTCATGACCTCATCACCCCCCCAAGCCCCACTTCCTAACACCATCGCCTCAGAGGTGAGGATTTCAACATATGAATTTTGGGGGGACAAAAACATTGAGTCTTTAGTGCAACCCCACCCTACTTTAGCATTTGTCAGCACATGGCCAGTTTGGGGTATCAACAGAAGACCATGGCTTGGAATAATAAAAGTATCTTCCATTTGTATGGAATATTCAGTCTTGCACACGAACATCTTTTACAGACGGTGTTTCATTCAGTTCTCACAACAACCACGAAGGAGATATTCTTATTTCCATTTTAGAGATGAAAAGACTGAGGCCTCTGCCCATGGCTGATCCTGGTGGTGGCCTGGGTGTTGTGGCTTCCCAGCCAGCTCTCTCCTCCACGTGCACCAAGAACGCCAGAGCTGTGTGCAGTGGTCGTTAGCCCCGCTCCCACCACGCATGAGTGCGGTGGCCCAGGACAAGCCCTCTCCCTTTCTGGGTCTTGCCTGAAGGATTCTGCCTCTAGATGACCCCAAGAGACCCTTTCCTAGCCTGGAGTCCTGAGGTTCCTGTCACCGTCTCTGTGAGTCCTGCCCTGCCCCTCCCGGAGCTCAGCGCCCTCCTCCCTGGTGTGTCCTACTTAACAGGAATGGAGCAGTTTAGAAACAACCTAGAAAGCCGAGAGAGGCAGCCCACACAGCCCCACAGCCCCTCTCCAGGGGCCCAGCACTCGCTCTGGGTGACTGGTTGGGTTGCAGCAGGCAGGGAGAAGGGCTCTCAGGTGTCCCCCGTTTCCACTCAGGGCTCACTGTGGCTGTGGGGGTCCCGGGCTGGAGACCTGATGGTTTATGAGATTCTGGGAGAGAAAACCACGAGATTCTGGAAACTCCCTCAGGGGACCCTATTCAGCTCCCAGCCAGCACTGAGACCAGGTTCCAGAAACAGATCTTTTCTTTTTTTAACCACTTTTCCCCCCCATAGTGACCCATTTTTTGTTGTGGAGGCCCCCAGGCGCTGTGGCCACCTCCCTGAGTCATTTTTCTGAAGGACAGGCTCCCTAAGGAGTCCTAGCTCCCTGCACTGTGTTTGGGAAGGCCCAGACGGGGGCACAGGGTGCCTTCTGGGGTGAGGATTTCCCCCTCCCAGGGTCTCAGGGCCAGGAAATAAGTGTTCTAGGTTCCTGGAGCCACCATACAGCCCTCTGGTCTGGAGCCCTTGCTTGGTTTCTGAGACACAGATGGAAACTCAGTCCCTGAGTTCTCTGTCCGTCCGCTGGGTGCCTTCAGGAGGTGGCAGGGGATGGGGAAAGGAGAGATGGACAAGGAGGTGATGGTGCCAGTCAGTGATACAAGAGCCATTAACACAGGACTTAAGGATCATTTCACATGTAGATATTGACCACTTCCTAAATATCCAGACTTGGAGAATGCAGGCTTAGGGAGCTCTAGGTCTAGCAGGGAGCCCTTTGGGGGCAGCGTGGGAGTTGGAGGCTGCAGCCACAGGGATACACATAGAGAATTCCTGTTTTGTGACTGGTGTGGACTGGGAAATATGGGATGCTTGATGGGAACAGGGGCATGTTCCTGCTCTCAGGGATTGGCAGTTTAGTTGTTTACACATACACACACACACACAGAAATCATTGAAGAACAATTAAGCACTTGAATTCTGTGGGTGTATCCAAGGCAGTCTGAAAAGAGATTAGTCCAGGTGGGAACACACTAATACAGTTCTACGGCGGAGGTGGTGTTTGCATCTTCTACTTTGCACATAGAGCTGTGCAGGAGCAGCACCAGGCAGGGGAACAGCATGAACAGAGAGGGTGGAAGTGCACATGAGCCTCGTTTGTTCAGGGGACTCTGAGGGAGATCCATCTGCCTGGGATGGCATGGAGTCTAGAATACTTCATTCCATGTGTGTGGTGTCTGGTCATGGAAGGTAAAGGGAGGCCAGTGGAGTCAGGAAGCCTGGAAGACACTGGGTTGGGAATGCACCTTGGTTAGTCCAGGCATTGGAGCCGGTTCTGAATGATCTTCTCAAGCCCAGAGGTGGAAGCAGGTGTAGGAGGGAGACCAGGGCACTGCAGGGGCCTCAGTGGAACCAGCAGGGCCTCTTTCCCCGTTGCTGTGAACCAAAATGCCTCTTCCCAGCTCCTGTTCCACTTCCCATGCTTGCCAATCTATCCTTTCCCATGGAATAGGGATAATGATGGTTGTACCTTGGCAAGCTGATATTGTACCTTTGAGATTAAATGAGGAGGGATCTCACGTCTTAGTGAGGGCGGCTCAATGCTGGCCTGCAGATGCTCCTTGATACAAGCAGCCTGGGTGCCATGGAGGGTGGCAGCAGGCAAACAGGTTCCTGGGTGGAAGGGGCTGGGTCCCCGGTGAGACCCTACCTTCAGGCTGCCAGTCCTGTGGACTGGATGGGGAACTCGTGGTGCTTTTTCCTGTGCCCGCCCATGGCTGCCCATGAACAAATCGGCATACACTATCCTCCTCTGGGGCCAGTTCAGCCAGAGCAGGGGAGATGACTGGAGGACCAGCTGCAGAGAGGAGCTACCCTCTCTGCTGATAGCTAGAAAACGTCAGAATGACCAACAGTAGGGAGGAGCTTCCCACTCCAGGGATGACCTACCTGGAGATGGGAACAATCCACTCCAGGGCCTCCTCTCTGCTAAGAGCTACAGAGAAAACTGGATGACCTGCCAGCAGAGAAGAGTCACCCACCCCAGGGCCTCTTCTTCTCTGCTGAGGGCTGAACACTCATTGGGACACTCTGGCTGTAGAAAGGAGCTACCCGCAATGAGTCTCTGAGCTGTTCTACTGCTCAATAAAGCTCCTCTTCGTCTTGCTCACCGTCCACGTGTCTGTGTGCCTCGTTCTTCCTAGTTGCAGGGCAAGAGCTCGGGGCCTACCAAATGGTGAGGCAAGAAAAGCTGTAACACAAACAGGGCAGAAACTTGCCCCTTGTTCACCACATTGTGGACAAAGAGAAGGAGAGAAGAGCTGTGGTCCTTCAGGGGGCCCAAACCTGGCAGCTCTCTGAGCCAGGGCTGTGACTCCCTCTTTGAGGCCCTGTGATTCCTGGCATCTCTGAGCTTCCAGGTGCCACTGCATTCCAGGCTGGCACCGGGGAAGCTGCTTGTGGTGTGCCTGGTCTAGCTGCAGCCTCACAGAGAGCCGGCGCCCGTGCCGGCACCTGGAGCTGCTCGCCCCACTGAGCAGCCGGCATGCCTGACCGTGCACAGTGGCCGGACCCCACGCTTGCTCGCTCACACACCAGTCCCCGCTCCACGACTGGGTTGTTCTTGGCAGGTGTGGGATCCAGGCCGGTAGTGTGAGCCGAGCACAGGATGAGTGGGTGGAACAAGCTGAGCAGGCCTGAGAAAATGTTGGGCAAAGGTGCCACTGGCCACAGAGGTTTCCAGCCAGAAAAGCGACACCTCAAAGATCCTGTAACATTAGCATAAGGCCTGGCCCTCTGAGGATTCTGGTGGCTGATTGCTCTTCTGTTGATGGAGCACCTTCCTTCTTCATCTGGTTGAAGTCTTTGCTTTCTTAAAGCCCAGCAACACCACCGGCCTGGGACTGGGGCCTCTCTGCGCTCTGTCTGGCCCCGGGGACGAAGCACCAACATGGCAGGCAGAGGCCTTTCCCCCCCGTGCATGGGGGCCTCCTCCCAGGGCCACCGACTGCAGCTTCTTTAGCCTCTGTCTCCCCAGCACCTAGTGCCTGGCTTGTAGGAGAGGCTCAGAACATTTCTGAAGGAATGAATGAATGCAAGAAAATGTGTAAGTGCTCTGCAAATTGGCAAGAATTCACAAAAGTTAGTTAATATGCTTCTCTAGAGACTGAGCCTTGGGCAAACACTTAATGAAATAAACAGGGCTGGATTTCAAGGTGAAGGCCAGATTGCAGCAAGGCCTGTGGGGATGGTTTTGGGGATGGGGGTGCACATCTGCCTACAGCCTCTTCTCGTCAGCCCTTCCACCAGCCCAGGGGCCCAGATTCTCGTGGCTCCTCAGTCGCACAGCCGGGTGGCAGCAGTGCTGTCATCTTTTCATGGGAAATTTACTCCCCACAACCCCACTGAAATGGTGTTTCTTCCTGATTATAACATCAATCGTTGTAAAACACTCAAATTTCAAACAGCAAAGATTCAACACGTAAGGTTAAAAAAAAAATCCCTTCTCTGGTGGGGCGTGGTGGCTCATGCCTGTAATCCTAGCACTTTGGAGGCTGAAGTGGGCGGATCACCTGAGGTCAGGCATTAGAGAGCAGCCCGGCCAACATGGTGAAACTCCGTCTCTACCAAAAAATACAAAATTTACCAGGGTGTGGTAGTGTGCACCTGTTAGCCCAGCTACTCGGGAGGCTGAGGCAGGAGAATCGCTTGAACCTGGGAGGCAGAAGTTGCAGTGAGCCAAGATCGCGCCACTGCACTCCAGCCTGGGTGACAGAGTGAGACCCTATCTCAAAAATAAAATAAAATAAAATACATAAATAAAAAATGATCCCTTCTTATCCATCCCTGTGACCCGTGAGATAGGCATTGTTTAGACTATGTCCTCCCAGATGTTTCTCCTGGTGCATTCACTAATTTACTTACTTGCTTAATCCATCCATCAATTTATTTATTTATTTTACAAAGGCAGGACTCTGCTAAGCAAAGCTCTGCCATTTCCTTCTATCACCTGGCAACACAGAGTGGACATTGTTATTTTAAAAATCTATATTGCACTCTTGTTAATGGCCATATAATGTTCTGTGCTATGCGGGAGGCATCACTTATGTGACCAGTCCTGGACTGATGGACATCTGAATTGCGCTAAATGGAAATTGCATTTTGCAGGAGGCCTGAGTGGCAAGGGCGATGGTTGGCTGGAAGAAAGGTTCCTTAATGGTAGAGTTTCAGGCATAATACTAAGAAGCATTTCTTTCCTTCTTTCGCCCATATCTTTCTTTTGGTGCTGCCTTTGACAAGATGGCAGCATGACCTATGCCTGAGCTCTCCCTTGTGTCCTGCTCTCCTTTCCCAAAGGGGTGAGGGGACACCACAGGTCCCAAGCACACCCCTATCCACCTTTCTTCCTGTATGGCATTGCCAGCCTGGTTTGCTTGTCTTCCCTCGCAGGGATCTGGCAGCCCCAGCCTGGCTCAGACATCCTTATTTGCTCAGCTTGGGAATTTGGCAGTGGAAGATCTTGACACATGCTGGGGCTTTGGGGAGGGCCTGGGTTAGGGCACACGGTGATGGTGAGGACAAGATGAGGTGAGGGAGGTGGGCGGGTTGCAGGAGTGACAGTGACTAGGGCAGCAGGTTATTCTGTCCCAGGAGATGGGGAGCCAGAGACGACAGTCACTGCTGTTTGTTATGGCACTTGGGAAATTCGATGATGCAAACAAGACCTCGTCCTCTGGTGACTATGCATATTCCTTAGAGGCTCTTCTCTGAGCAGCTGGGAATTCCTCCAGGCTTGCTAATGGTGGGCTGTGTTCCTTCTTCATCCTATCTTTCCTCCCTCTCACCCTCCTCTTACCCCCGCTGACCTCAGGAGTATGGTGGAGGTAGAACCAGGAAGGCAAGGCCTGGGGTCTATATTTGGTCCCCAATTTGCAGGTTTTGCATCTGACCTTTCTGGAGCTTGAATTCCTCTCTGTGTCCTTCTCCTCCCCTGTGAAAATCCACAACCAAGGCTACCTCTAAAAAAGAGCCTGAGAGAGGCACATAGGGAGCTGGATGGAATGGTGGAGATGGTTTAGAATAGGTGGGGGAATTGAGGCTAAGAGCCGAATTAGCTTGCCTGAGTCATGTAGCAATTAGGCAACAGAATTGGAGTTGAACCCAGGCATCTGAATCAGAGTCCTGACATTTTAGCTTTCTGTTCACCCCTGAAACCAGATTTGACCATCGGCTGTACCCCCAGTGAAATCCCATTGTGGAGTCTTTGTGTATCTGGACCTAAGCCACCTCGTCCATGAGGCCTGCCCTCTGCACCACAACCACCTTTGCTTCCTGGACTCTGCAGCTCTTCTAGGCTAAAACACTCTGCACTTGGCAGAGATGTCCTGGCTGGGTCATTTATCTTTATAGGAGGCACCTGTTTCCTGAAGCGGAGGGTGGGTCCCATGTCTTATACATCCAGCCAGAAGTGTGGGGACCTACTTTCCAATCCCAAATCAGGACATGAGGCCTGGTGACTATGACCATTTTGTAGGAACCACAGGAAAGAATGTGTGAATCAGGACTGTCCAGATTAGGATAGCCAGGAAAAAATATGTGTGCACGGACTGAATCGCAGACGAAGACTGAAAGAAGAAAGGAATCTCAGAGTTTATCTTGAGGCCAATGCATTTCAGCTTTTTTTTTTTTTTTTTTCCTAGATGAAGTTTCACTCTTGTTGCCTAGGCTGGAGTGCAATGGCTCGATCTCAGCTCACTGCAACCTCTGCCTCCTGGATTCAAGTGATTCTCCTACCTCAGCCTCCCGAGTAGCTGGGATTATAGGCACGCACCACGACGTCCAGCTAATTTTTGTATTTTTAGTAGAGATGGGGTTTCATCATGTTGGCCAGGATGATCTTGATCTCTTGACCTCGTGATCTGCCTGCCTCAGCCTCCCAAAGTGCTGGGATTACAGGCATGAGCCACGGCGTCTGGCCTTTTTTTTTTTTTTTTTAAACAACCGCTAAACCTTTTTTCTAAGTGCAATCTTACTGGAAGCCTGACAGATAAAACAGACAAAAGTCAGGCTGCTCAGGTGCAGGATGAGATGAGGGGCCCAGAGTCCCCCCTGCTTACTCCTCAGCAGCAACTTCTGACCAGGATGGTTTCAAAACCATGATCTCTCCAGCTCACTGGTTACACAGATTTAAAAAAACCCTGAGGCTCAGAGAGGTATAGGATTTGCTGAAAGTCACACAGCTCCGTATAACAGGAGCGGAATTAGAAACTGGGTCTCAATTGTCCTGTGAGGGACTCTGCCCAGCATGGATCCTGAGTCTTCGAGGTGTCCTGGTCTAAATTCTGGTGGTCAGCCAGACAAGTGGGTCTCCATTTCCCTCCATCAGCCCTTGACAGTTGAGGCCTTTTTGATACCATTGAGTTTGGAAGGATTGGCATGGGAGAGGGGGTGGGCTTAGAAGGAGCTAGGTGGGCAGAGAGAAAGAGAGAGAATTGTTCCAAGTGGAATTTGATTTGGACAGCAGTGCTTAGCGTGGGGGTCTCATTTGGTTCAGGATGAGGGGTGGGGAGAGGCAGGGAGGATACTGCTGCTGCTTTATCTCATTGAGGGAGGGGAGGGAATTGAGAATGTTTAGGGAGCGTAAGCCTAGTCCTGTGCCTCTGCAGACTTTACCGGGGCTCTTGGTGCAGCTGCAGCCTGTGGGACCAGCCCGTCTTGTGGCTTCTGTCATTATGTTCTTAGCAGGTGCCCTGGACATTTCCAGCCCTGATGGCTGCTGGCTCTCCTGGTCCCACTGAGCTGCTCTTTTCTCCTCTCTGTGCTTTCCATGTCTTCTTCCTCGTTCAGGACCTTTGGAGCCCTTCCTGGCTGCTTCCTCTCTTTCAGGGCTTGTAGAGAATCCCCTCTGAAGCTCCTTTATGTGGTACTCAGGGACAAAAAGAAGTAAACAGGAGGATGCGGAATAAAAGAGGAGGAAGGGCAAATATTGTCCCTCAGGGGAGGATTTTCATTCATTTCCAGCTATGCCTCTGGGGTTTGCCAAGACTCAAGAGAGCAGGCAGGGTTAGGTCAGCTGGGACCGATCAGCTGGTGGCTGATTGTGTTACTGGAGTGGTGCCCAAACCCTACTCTGCAGATTGCCATGGCCTTTCCAAGGCACCTCTGCCTTCTCAGTTGGAGATGTTGTATTCTTCTATCATGGATCCATGCATCCATCCATCCATCCACTCATCCATCCATCCATCCATCCATCCATCCGTCCGTCCATCCATCCATCCATCCCTCCACTCATCCATCCACTCATCCGTCCCTCCATCCATTCATCCATCCATGCATGCATCCAGTAAATGGTTCTTAGGAGTGCCTACCAGAACCAAGCACTCTGCTAGGTGCTGGACATACAGAGATAAGAAGGCATAGCCCCTACATCAAGAAACTCAGTGCACAAGAAATTGTGAATGGGTAATAGACAGCAACTATAATACAAAGCATAACAGGGATTTTGAGTTAGTTCTAGATTGGATTTATGCCTCCACTACTCATTTGATAGTTAATGGTGTGATTGTGTGTGAATTACTTAACCTCTCCGAGCCAGGACCCTCAAGGAAGGCCTCCCAGAATACTGACACCTGAGAGAGGCACTGAGGCAAGAGGGGTTCCAGTGAGCCAATATGGGAGAGTGCAGGGTGTCACCCACAGAAAGGAGTAGAGCTTGGTTAGGGATGTGTGGGAGCACTAGTGAGGAGCAGAATGGAGAGGCTGGGGGCTGGAGCCAGGTGGGGAGGGCATTGACTGCCAGGCCAGGAAGAAGTTGGTTCAGGAGACCAGGAGGGTTTTTGAGTAGGACAGTGAGATGCAGCTCCTTGGCTCCCAGGGCAGAGCTAGTCTCTCAGTCCCTTGGTGCCTAAGCCACGAGCTTCCTCTTGGAACCATAAATCAGGATCTGATGATGAGATTCCTAGGGGAGGACCCGCTCAATGTCAGGACTAGCTAGGCGACCTTGGTGAATCACTTTGCCTCTTTGGGTCTCAGGGTCATTATCAGGTAAAAATAGGAACTTGGATGCAGTCCTTCCTCCAGCACTGGGCTCCATCACTAGCGTCTCTTCTCCAGTCTGTTTGTGCCTGCGTCTTTCTGCCTGTCCTCCTTCCTGCTTTGTCTATCCATGTCCTGTGAGCAGGGTGGAGAAGCCGATTTGCTTTCGCTCTCTGTTGTACCAGGGCGGGGTGGATCGGCACCTCCTTCCTGGGCACTGAGTTTCCCAGCTTTGCTGTTAGGCAGCTACTGCCCGTGAAGGTGAAACAGCTCTCACCTTCCTTCAGGGCTCCTGGGCACAGCTGTCTATAAGCTGACGCTGGCACTTCCTCTCACCTCCCCAGGGTGCTGGGGAGGCAGTGGGCAGGGCAGCAGGCCTGGCTGGGTCAGAGAGTGCACAGCAGCCACCTAGATGGGTGATGTCCCAGCCTGAAGCCCCTCTGAACCCTGACAGCTGGCAGCCAGGGAGGACAGGGGAGCTTCTTTGGGGAATGGGAGCAGTTGCTTGGTGGTCCCCACCCAAGGCAAGGTCCCTGTTCCTGGGGAGAGCTTGGTCTGGCTGGCAGAACTTTCCAAGTTGGTGCCTGTGGCTGGGAATATTCCATGGGAGTTTGGATAGGGTTCACAAAGGCAATGGGTGGCTGGGTGCGGTGGCTTATGTCTGTAATCCCAGCACTTTGGGGGGCCAAGGCAGGCTGATCACTTGAGGTTAGGAGTTCGACACCAGCCTGGCCAATATGGAGAAACCCCGTCTCTATTAAAAATACAAAAAAAAAAAAAATTAGCGGGCTGTGGTGGTGGGTGCCTGTAATCCCATCTACTTGGGAGGCTGAGGCAGGAGAATTGCTTGAACCTGGGAGGTGGAGGTTGCAGTGAGCTGAGATTGTGCCACTGCACTCCAGCCTGGGCGACAGAGTGAGACATGATCTCAAACAAACAAACAAAAAACAAAGGCAATAGGTGATGGGTACCCAGACATCTTTTCTCCCTGCTTGGATGAAGCCAGTCACACAGCCAGGACTGGCTTGATGAATCAGTACAGGAGGAATCTTCCCACATTGGATTAGAAAGGTACAGGGAAGGCCTTCCTGCCCCCTCAAATGTCTCCCCTATTACACCTGGAGACCCCAATTAAAAGTAATTACCCATGGCAGAGGCCATACTTTAAAGTGACATTAGTGCATGCATTAGATTCCCCAGTGGCTGACTGAGTGTTGGAGAGGCCAGTGCAGGTGGTAAGGGGCAGTGCCAGGGGCCCTAGGGGTAGGGAACTGAGACCAGAAAAGGTTAAAAACAAACAAACAAACAAACAAAGACCAGGTGCAGTGGCTCACGCCTGTAATCCCAGCATTTTGGGAGGCCAAGGCAGGTGGATCACAAGGTCAGGTGTTCGAGACCAGTCTGACAAACATGGTGAAACTCTGTCTCTACTAAAAAAATTAGCTGGGCGCTAATTTTTGTATTTTGTAAAAATACAAAAATAAAGTGGTGCACGCCTGTAATCCCAGCATTTTGGGAGGCCAAGGCAGGTGGATCACAAGGTCAGGTGTTCGAGACCAGCCTGACAAACATGGTGAAACTCTGTCTCTACTAAAAAAATTAGCTGGGCGCTAATTTTTGTATTTTTGTATTTTGTAAAAATACAAAAATTAGGTGGTGCACGCCTGTAATCCTAGCTACTCAGGAGGCTGAGGCAGGAGAATCGCTTGAACCCTGGAGGCAGAGGTTGCAGTGAGCCGAGATCTTGCCATTGCATTCCAACCTGAGCAACAGAGTGAGACTCTGTCTCAACAAAACAAAACAAAACAAACAAACAAAAAACCAACCAAACAAAACAAAAAGAAAAAAAAAAGACAGTCTTCTGACCACTTGAACTCCCACAGCCACCAGGAAGTCCTCTGTATCCATTCATCCTAGGGAGGCGGCTAGGCTGAGAGATTCCTCTGCAGCTAAACCAAGAAAGACTTTGCTGGTGCAGGGCAAGGGTGGGGCCAGGAAACCAGCTCCAGTGGGGCTCACCTTCTGTCTCCTTTGTTTTCTAGCTGGGTGGCCCTGGGCAGGTGACTTATCCTCTCCAGCCTCAGTTTCTCCATCTGTAAGAAATCATTACCAATTCCGTAAGGGTGCTGGGCAGATTCAGTGAGACAATGTGGCATATTCAGAATAGTGCCCCGTAAGTGCAGAGAAGGTGTGGCTGCCCCGGTCAGGGAGGGTTCAGGCCTATGTTCCATGAAGCTCCTGTCTCCCTGTCTGCCTATTCCTCGGGCTGCTGATCAGTCTTTCTTAATAAGCCTCTCTTTATCTGCCCCTCTTCTTCGCCATCGCTCAGCTCGTCCTGTGTGTCTGGCCGCTGTCATGTTATCTCCCTGTCTATCTTGTTCCCATCTCTGCTGTGTGCCTGGCTCCATCTCTCCCCGCCTCCATCCCATCCTCCCTCCTTGCTCTGGGTTTCTCCTTGCCATCTGTCTGGCAAACGCTAGTCCTATGGACCCCCGCCCCCGGCCCATCACTATCACCCCCTCCCCACAGACCCCCGGGACTTTCCCGCCTGAGCCCGGCTCCTTGTGCCCGTCTTCCTGTGCCCCCTCTTTCCCACAACAGACCTGGCCTGAGCCGTTTCCTGGCACTCCCACCCCACCCTGAGCAGGCGGTGTGGAGTGGAGCAATGCAGGCAGATGAGGGGGAGTGCGGTCTCCCGAGGCGAGGGTCGGGCCTGCTAATTCCCCCGCTCTGGGTGGAAGACGCAGAGGCCTCATTCAATTATGTCACATCCACTCAGCCGCTCCACCCAGATGATACAGACCAGCCTGCTCACCCTCCCCTGCCAGGACCTAATGGAGAGAGATCTTCTTCTGCCTGGCCGACCACAGGGTCCTCCTGGACCTGGATGGGCCCAGCCTGTCTGACCTCAGGGCTCTTGGCCAATTGCGATTTGCTGTTCACTCCAATTACACCCAACAATTGGCCTCTGGAGTTTGTCCCTCTCACCGTAATCATTATGGAATTGGATCTCGGGGCCTCTCATTCCATTACTGCCCCCTCCCCATGTGTCCAAGGCCTGCAGGAGCCAGGCCGGCCTTACCCCTCCCTTAAGGCCCCAGCCCGTGGGTAAGCAGACCAGGGAGGTGACCACAGGGACACAGGGCCTGCTTCTCCCATTTGAAATACACACCTAAGGGCATCACCATGGTGTTCGTTCCAGGCATCAGTTCTTTACTGACTCAAAGCTGTGCCAGGTGCTGTGGGAGATTCCAGAGAAACCCCAAACCCTTTCCATTGCTCAAGAAGTTCAGTCTGGGGAGACGAAGCCAACAGAATGAAACAATTACGCCCAGTGCCGGCCATAAATAGAAGTGGATTCAGGGAACAGAAGATCAGATATCTGGAGGACACACATTTATTGGGAGTTTACTGGGTGGCAGATTCTTTCATGTGCCTGATATCATTTAATCCTCACCAATCTGGGAGAAAGGTATTGTCTCCATGTTTGAAGGGTCTGGGGGTAGAAACAGGCCCAGAGTCATTGAGAGGCTTGTCTGAACTCAAGCCGCTGTTAAGTGACACAGCCTGTGCTCAGCGCCTTGGAGTGAAATCATTTCTTTCCCGGCGTCCTGTAGGAGCTGCTGTGTTTAGGGCAGGCTCTGAGGCAGGATAGGGTGGGCAGAGGGAAGGAGGGAGGACCTCAGGTGGGGACAGCTGGAGCGAGTTTAGAAATAAGGACATTTCAGCTGGGTGTGGTGGCTCACGCCTGTAATGCCAGCACTTTGGGAGGCTGAGGCAGGAGGATCACGAGGTCAGGAAATCGAGACCATCCTGGCCAACATGGTGAAACCCCGTCTCTACTGAAAATACAAAAATTAGCTGGGCGTGGTGGTGTGTGCCTGTAATCTCAGCTACTCGGGAGGCTGAGGTGGGAGAATCGCTTGAACCTGGGAGGCAGAGGTTGCAGTGAGCTGAGATCTTGCCACTGCACTCCAGCCTGGCGACATAGCGAGACTCTGCCTCAAAAAAAAAAAAAAAAAAAAAAAAGGACATTTCAGAAAACAACAGATGCTGACAAGTCTATGGAGAAACAGTAATGCTTTTACACTGTTGGTGGGAGTGTAAATTAGTTCAACCATTGTGGAAGACAGTGTGGCGATTCCTCAAGGATCTAGAACTAGAAATAGCATTTGACACAGCAATCCCATTACTGGGTATATACCCAAAGGATTATAAATCATTCTACTAGAAAGACACATGCACACGTGTGTATTGCAGCACTGTTTACAATAGCAAAGACTTGGAACCAACCCAAATGTCCATCAATGATAGACTGGATAAAGAAAATGTGGCACATATGCACCATGGAATACTATGCAGCCATAAGAAAGAATGAGATCATGTCCTTTGCAGGAACATAGATGAAGCTGGAAACCATCATTCTCAGCAAACTAACACAGGAACAGAAAATCAAACACTGCACGTTCTCACTCATAAGTAGGAGTTGAACAGTGGAGAACACATGGACACAGGGAGGGGAACATTACACAGTGGGGCCTGTTCGGGGGGTGGGGGCAAGGGGAGGGAGAACATTAGAACAAATACCTAATGCATGCGGGGCTTAAAACCTAGATGATGGGTTGATAGGTGCAGCAAACCACCATGGCACATTTACAGCTATGTAACAAACCTGCACGTTCTGCACATGTATCCCGGAACTTAAAGTAAAATAAAAAAAAGTTACAAAAGAAAGAAGGACATTGATGGGGGTAAAGTGAGAGGGCTGCCGGCAGGGTGGGGGATATGCTGTGGGGAATATGAGAAATGCGGCTGGCTAAGGAAAGTGGGGGCCTTGCATGGCTCACAGAAGAGTCTGGGTCTCGAAATTCGGCAGAGAGGATCACTTGCAAGGGAATGAGTAGCAGACCAGTGCAGTGGGATGGTTTGTCCCCCAAAAAGACATGTGCACATTCTGGTACCAGGGATTGTGAAGTTATTTGAAAATGTTGTCTTTGCCGATGTGATTAAGGATCTCTAGGTAAGATCATCCTGGATTTAGGGTGGGCCCTACATTCAATGACTGCTGTCCTTCTAAAATTAAGGACAGGGAGATTTGAGACACAGAGGAGAAGGCCATGAGAAGACAGAGGCAGAGACTGGAGTGAAGCAGCCACAAGCTAGCCAATGCTGGCAGCTGCCAGGAGCTGGGAGAGGCAAGGAGGGATCCTCCCCTAGAGCCTCTGGTCCTGCTAACACTGTGACTTCAGACATCTGGCCTCCAGGACTGTGAGAGAATAAATCTTTGTTGTTCTAAGTCACCCAGTGTGGGGTAATTTGTTGCAGCAATCACAAGAAACTAATACAGGCAAGAAGGAGTCTATTTGTCCCACAGAAGGAAAGTGACAGGCAGAGACAGCAAGCAGGGAGCTGCTTTGTCAGGGCAGTTTGGGGTCCACCCTCAATCCACGGTGATGGTCTTCTCCCCACCGATGTCCCCTGAGGCCTTGTGGAGTCCCCCCGACATGGCTCACGGCAACAGGACTGGACAGGGGATTCAGCCCCCTGCCCCTTGCCATTGGCCGGGGAGGACATGCTGAATCCCAGAACGGGGGCCCTCAGAGAGGCCGGGGGAAGCAGTTTTAGGCCACACAGAAAGGCCCTCCTCACACTGTGGGTAGTAAACATAGGATCGCACCAGCCCTTGAGAGATCTGCTAGAAATAGAAACAGGTTCCCTAGGGGCTTCGTTGACTTGGCAGACGATGGCTCTGTGACAGGGTATTAAGGGGAATGAGGGATGCTTCAGGATAAGCATACGGAAAGACAACTGCACCAACTCCCTCTCTCCCCACCGGCCCTCGGTGACACATGGGGTACATGTCTACGAAGAGGAAGCCTGGTCTCCTTCAGTGGCTCCTGGACTCCATTCCCAGCGTGAACTTAAAGAGAGCAGAATTCAGGGAGATAACCTGAGTTTGGTCAAGTGTGAGTTTCGTTTTGAGAGACATTTACAACGCATTGAGAAATATCCGTGGAGATTGAAAACAGAGAGTGAGGTCAACAGCAGGGCTGGAAGTTAAGTGAAAAGCATCTTACAGCAAGGGCTAGGGCTGCACATGGTGGCTCATGCCTGTAATCCCAGCACTTTGGGAGGCCGAGGCAGGTGGATCACTTGAGGTGAACTCCACAGGAGTTCGAGACCAGCCAGACCAACATGGCAAAACCCCGTATCTACTAAAAATACAAAAGTCAGTTGGGCGTGGTGGCACGTGTCTGTGGTCCCAGCTACTCAGGGGGCTGAGGCACCAGAATCACTTGAATCCAGGAGGCGGAGGTTGCAGTGAGCCGAGATCACACCACTTCACTCCAGCCTAAAAAAAAAAAAAAAACAGGGGCTCGGAATAGAGAGCTGTGGGGCTTGAATGTTATCAAATGCTCCTCTGTTTGGAGGCTGGCTTATGGGCAAGGGGAAGGATAAATGGAAAAGCACATCGAGGATGGAGAGGAAGTCAGGTTGGGGCCACTTATCTGACCACAGGCCTCAGAGCCCAGAATGTTCCTTTCTTTCCTCCCTGCTGATCGTAGCTGTTTGGCTGTGGTTTTTTCCTCCATCGAGGGTGAGGTATTTTCCAGCACCACCCTCTACCTGAGCCGTCCCGTACCACACTCCCCTCCCTGCCTGCCTCCCTCCCTCCCTCCTGGCCAGCACTAAAAGGGAAACCCAGATAGTTGTCAGCAGCCGAAGCCTCCGACTTGCTTCCAGTCTGCTGGAATGCTCTTAGTGAGACTGCCTCAGTTTCTCTTTTTAAAATGGGGGCAGTTATTCTGGGATTCGCTGTGTGCAGAACTGAAGCAGAACAGGATCTCCTGGGCTGGGTGTGGTCACTCATGCCTGTAATCCCAGCACTTTGGGAGGCCAAGGTGGGAGGATTGCTTGAGCCCAGGAGTTCGAGGCCAGCCTGGGCAACACGGCGAGACCCTGTCTCTACAACAAATACAAAAATGAGCTGGGCATGGTGACATATGCCTGTAGTCCCAGCTACTTGGGAGACCGAAGTGGGAGGATTGCTTGAGCCCAGGAAGTTGAGGCTTCAGTGAACTGTGATTGTGCCACTGTGCTCCAGCCTGGGTGGCAGAGCGAGACTCTGTCTCAAAAAAAAAACAAACAAAAAAAAAACGGTATCCCTATCTGTCCCTCTGTCCCTCTCTGTGGCTCTAGTTTCTTCCTCCTCAGCTAGGAGCATGCCAAAAGCTGACTCTCTGTGTGTATGTGATGTGTGTAGTGTGTGTGTGTGTGTGTGTGCTCTCCTGTGTACTCTCACACAGCTGAGCTCTGTGTGCTGAGCACAGGTCTGCCAGCAGGCCCCATTTGCTAGGTCAATGTCCTTTCTCCTTGCAACACGCCCTTACCAAGCTTTCAAACAAACCACAGTGAGGGGTTCTGGGCTGTGTCCAACCAACACTCTTGCTCCCCCAGCCTCCACCCACATTTGCTCAGGCTTCCCCAAGGCCTATATTATGCTTAATGTCTTAAAGCCATCCCTCCCAGAACATTACTGCTGCAAGGGTCTGGAAGAACCTAGCCCAGTCCCTTGAGTTTCAGATAAGGATGCTGAGGTTGAGAGAGGACATGGCTGTCCAAGGTCACATAGCTAGTGCTGGGCAGAGCTGGGGCCAGGGCCTGGACCAGTCATGTAGATGTTCAGGTGAGGTGTGTGCTGATGCCCCTTCAAACAGGCTTTGCTAAAAATATGTTCCACTCTCTGTCCATGGGATTGGAGTTGGTGCTTAAGGGGAGTGTATGGGAGGATTCCTACCAACCCTGTGTATTTTAGTGGAAGTGGGGACCAAGACACTGAAGAAGCCAAGTGTAGAGACCCAAGTTTTGGGCACCATATGACTTATTTGTTGCACTTTTTTTTTTTGAGACAGTGTCTCGCTCTGTCACTCAGGCTGGAGTACAGTGGTGTGAACTTGGCTCACTGCAACCTCTGCCTCCCAGACTTAAGTGGTTCTCCTGCCTCAGCCTCCCGAGTAGCTGGGACTACAGGCATGCGCCACCACGCACGGCTAATTTTTGTATTTTTTGGTAGAGATGGGGTTTCACCATGTTGGCCAGGCTGGTCTTGAACTCCTGACCTCAGGGGATCTACCTTCCTTGGCCTCCCAAAGTGTTGGGATTACAGGCGTGAGTGCCACAGGCATGTGCCTGGCTGCACTGACATTTTTGTGTCCCTTGCAGATCTGTGCGCAGGATGTGTGCCCAGGTGTCCTGCCCCTTAATGCAGCCTGCTGGTCTGGAGCTCTGAGCCCTGCCTCTCCTCTCCAGCCTGCTTTCCTTCAAGCCCCAGTATCTTGCTCATTGTACAGGGATGTCGTGTGCTACGGGGGCTCCCCTCTCCAGGAGATGTCACGAAGACCCTGTGCTCCCTTTGAGCCTCCTTCCTGGTCTCTGTTCCCTGGACTTCCTCCTCTTCTGGCTCCTTCCTTCCCAATTCTCTTGTCTCCATGGCCTCTTTGACACCTCCCACTTCTCCAAGCTCCCTGGCCTAGACTCATCTGGCACTTTTCCTTCCCACAGGTCTCTCTAAAGCTCATTCCTCAGATACATGCATTCTCAGAGCCGTGACAGCTTCATCCCCACCTAAGTCCCAGCCGTGTTTCCTGTTGCCCATGCGGACTCTCTGGCCTGTCCCCTCCAGCCCTGGCACCTACCTTTGTGTGAGTGTGAGAGGAGCGACTGTCTTTCTGCTCGATTTCTCTGACCTCTCTGACCACCTGAGGGTGTCTCATCAGAGACTGAGGTCTTTGGCTTACTGCAGGTGCCCCTGGGAGTGGCCCCATAGGACACTATTGTCAGTTCTGCTGTCTTAAAGAGTAGGAGGGGCTTTTTGGGGAAAATGGGGCGTCTAAGTTTCAGTGTGAACTCATATCCAGCTGTCAGACAATGAGGAATGGTGTTTGGGGGGATGCATAGCAAGTGCAGATTGTCTAGGGCAAGAGTGGGTAAACCTTTTCTGTAAAGGACCCCAGAGTAAAGAGGCTATTGGTAGTAAAAGCCTATCTAGAATAGTCTCTGTGGGCCCATATGGTCTCTGTTGCAACTCTGCAGTTCTGCTGGGGTGGCAGAAGAGCAGACCCAGCAGTGTCATGAGTGAGCTGTGCCCCCAAGTTCATATGTTGAATTCCGAGCCTCAGAATGTGACCGCAAGTGGAGACAGGGCCGTGAAGGAGGTTATTAGGCTAAAATGAGGTCATTAGAGTGGGCCTTGATCCAATGTGACTAGTTGACTGGTGTCCTCATAAGAAGAGGAGCTGAAGACACTGACACACACAGAGGGAAGACCACGTGAAGACAGGAAGATGGCCGTCTCCAAGCCAAGGAGAGAGGCCTCAGAAGGATCCAACCCTGGCGACAGCTCCATCGAGGACTTCCAGACTCCAGAACTATGAGACAGTAAGTTTCTCTTGTCTAAGCCACCCAGTCTATGCTACTTTGTTAAGGCAGCCCTCACAAAGTAATACAGGCAGTTATCAAACAAATGAGTGTGGTCGTGTTCCAATAAAACTTTACTATGGGCTGGGCGTGGTGGCTCGCACCTGTAATCCCAGAACTTTGGGAGGCTAAGGTGGGCAGATTACTTGAACCCAGGAGTTACAGAACAGCCTGGGCAACATGGTGAGACCCTGTCTCTACAAAAAGTTATTAAAAAAATTATCTGGGCATAATGACACATGCCTTTATTTTTATTTTTATTTTTTAATTTATTATTATTATACTTTAAGTTTTAGGGTACATGTGCACAATGTGCACGTTAGTTACATATGTATACATGTGCCATGCTGGTGTGCTGCACCCACTAACTCGTCACCTAGCATTAGGTATATCTCCCAATGCCATCCCTCCCCACTCCCCCCAACCCACAACAGTCCCCAGAGTGTGATGTTCCCCTTCCTGTGTCCACGTGTTCTCATTGTTCAATTCCCACCTATGAGTGAGAATATGCGGTGTTTGGTTTTTTGTTCTTGCGATAGTTTACTGAGAACGATGATTTCCAATTTCATCCATGTCCCTACAAAGGACATGAACTCATCATTTTTTATGGCTGCATAGTATTCCATGGTGTATATGTGCCACATTTTCTTAATCCAGTCTATCGTTGTTGGACATTTGGGTTGGTTCCAAGTCGTTGCTATTGTGAATAATGCCGCAATAAACATACGTGTGCATGTGTCTTTATAGCAGCATGATTTATAGTTCTTTGGGTATATACCCAGTAATGGGATGGCTGGGTTAAATAGTATTTCTAGTTCTAGACCCCTGAGGAATCTCCACACTGACTTCCACAATGGTTGAACTAGTTTACAGTCCCACCAACAGTGTAAAAGTGTTCCTATTTCTCCACATCCTCTCCAGCACCTGTTGTTTCCTGACTTTTTAATGATTGCCATTCTAACTGGTGTGAGATGGTATCTCATTGTAGTTTTGATTTGCATTTCTCTGATGGCCAGTGATGGTGAGCATTTTTTCATGTGTTTTTTGGCTGCATAAATGTCTTCTTTTGAGAAGTGTCTGTTCATGTCCTTTGCCCACTTTTTGATGGGGTTGTTTGTTTTTTTCTTGTAAATTTGTTTGAGTTCATTGTAGATTCTGGATATTAGCCCTTTGTCAGATGAGTAGGTTGCAAAAATTTTCTCCCATTCTGTAGGTTGCCTGTTCACTCTGATGGTAGTTTCTTTTGCTGTGCAGAAGCTCTTGAGTTTAATTAGATCCCATTTGTCAATTTTGGCTTTTGTTGCCATTGCTTTTGGTGTTTTAGACATGAAGTCCTTGCCCATGCCTATGTCCTGAATGGTAATGCCTAGGTTTTCTTCTAGGGTTTTTATGGTTTTAGGTCTAACGTTTAAGTCTTTAATCCATCTTGAATTGATTTTTGTATAAGGTGTAAGGAAGGGATCCAGTTTCAGCTTTCTATATATGGCTAGCCAGTTTTCCCAGCACCATCTATTAAATAGGGAATCCTTTCCCCATTGCTTGTTTTTCTCAGGTTTGTCAAAGATCAGATAGTTGTAGACATGCGGCATTGTTTCTGAGGGCTCTGTTCTGTTCCATTGATCTATATCTCTGTTTTGGTACCAGTACCATGCTGTTTTGGTTACTGTAGCCTTCTAGTATAGTTTGAGGTCAGGTAGCATGATGCCTCCAGCTTTGTTCTTTTGGCTTAGGATTGACTTGGCGATGCGGGCTCTTTTTGCTTCCATATGAACTTTAAAGTAGTTTTTTCCAATTCTGTGAAGAAAGTCATTGGTAGCTTGATGGGGATGGCATTGAATCTGTAAAGTACCTTGGGCAGTATGGCCATTTTCATGATATTGATTCTTCCTACCCATGAGCATGGAATGTTCTTCCATTTGTTTGTATCCTCTTTTATTTCCTTGAGCAGTGGTTTGTAGTTCTCCTTGAAGAGGTCCTTCACATCCCTTGTAAGTTGGATTCCTAGGTATTTTATACTCTTTGAAGCAACTGTGAATGGGAGTTCACTCATGATTTGGCTCTCTGTTTGTCTTTTGTTGGTGTATAAGAATGCTTGTGATTTTTTACATTGATATTGTATCCTGAGACTTTGCTGAAGTTGCTTATCAGCTTAAGGAGATTTTGGGCTGAGACAATGGGGTTTTCTAGATATACAATCATGTCATCTGCAAACAGGGACAATTTGACTTCCTCTTTTCCTAATTGAATACCCTTTATTTCCTTCTCCTGCCTAATTGCCCTGGCCAGAACTTCCAACACTATGTTGAATAGGAGTGGTGAGAGAGGGCATCCCTGTCTTGTGCCAGTTTTCAAAGGGAATGCTTCCAGTTTTTGTCCATTCAGTATGATATTGGCTGTGGGTTTGTCATAGGTAGCTCTTATTATTTTGAAATACGTCCCATCAATACCTAATTTATTGAGAGTTTTTAGCATGAAGGTTGTTGAATTTTGTCAAAGGCCTTTTCTGCATCTATTGAGATAATCATGTCGTTTTTGTCTTTGGTTCTGTTTATATGCTGGATTACATTTATTGATTTGTGTATATTGAACCAGCCTTGCATCCCAGGGATGAAGCCCACTTGATCATGGTGGATAAGCTTTTTGATGTGCTGCTGGATTCGGTTTGCCAGTATTTTATTGAGGATTTTTGCATCAATGTTCATCAAGGATATTGGTCTAAAATTCTCTTTTTTGGTTGTGTCTCTGCCCGACTTTGGTATCAGGATGATGCTGGCCTCATAAAATGAGTTAGGGAGGATTCCCTCTTTTTCTATTGATTGGAATAGTTTCAGAAGGAATGGTACCAGTTCCTCCTTGTACCTCTGGTAGAATTCGGCTGTGAATCCATCTGGTCCTGGACTCTTTTTGGTTGGTAAGCTATTGATTATTGCCACAATTTCAGATCTTGTTATTGGTCTATTCAGAGATTCAACTTCTTCCTGGTTTAGTCTTGGGAGGGTGTATGTGTCGAGGAATTTATCCATTTCTTCTAGATTTTCTAGTTTATTTGCGTAGAGGTGTTTGTAGTATTCTCTGATGGTAGTTTGTATTTCTGTGGGATCGGTGGTGATATCCCCTTTATCATTTTTTATTGCGTCTATTTGATTCTTCTCTCTTTTTTTCTTTATTAGTCTTGCTAGTGGTCTATCAATTTTGTTGATCCTTTCAAAAAACCAGCTCCTGGATTCATTAATTTTTTGAAGGGTTTTTTGTGTCTCTATTTCCTTCAGTTCTGCTCTGACTTTAGTTATTTCTTGCCTTCTGCTAGCTTTTGAATGTGTTTGCTCTTGCTTTTCTTGTTCTTTTAATTGTGATGTTAGGGTGTCAATTTTGGATCTTTCCTGCTTTCTCTTGTGGGCATTTAGTGCTATAAATTTCCCTCTACACACTGCTTTGAATGCGTCCCAGAGATTCTGGTATGTTGTGTCTTTGTTCTTGTTGGTTTCAAAGAACATCTTTATTTCTGCCTTCATTTTGTTATGTACCCAGTAGTCATTCAGGAGCAGGTTGTTCAGTTTCCATGTAGTTGAGTGGTTTTGAGTGAGTTTCTTAATCCTGAGTTCTAGTTTGATTGCACTGTGGTCTGAGAGATAGTTTGTTATAATTTCTGTTCCTTTACATTTGCTGAGGAGAGCTTTACTTCCAAGTATGTGGTCAATTTTGGAATAGGTGTGGTGTGGTGCTGAAAGAAATGTATATTCTGTTGATTTGGGGTGGAGAGTTCTGTAGATGTCTATTAGGTCCACTTGGTGCAGAGCTGAGTTCAATTCCTGGGTATCCTTGTTGACTTTCTGTCTCGTTGATCTGTCTAATGTTGACAGTGGGGTGTTAAAGTCTCCCATTATTATTGTGTGGGAGTCTAAGTCTCTTTGTAGGTCACTCAGGACTTGCTTTATGAATCTGGGTGCTCCTGTATTGTGTGCATATATATATTTAGGATAGTTAGCTCTTCTTGTTGAATTGATCCCTTTACCATTATGTAATGGCCTTCTTTGTCTCTTTTGATCTTTGTTGGTTTAAAGTCTGTTTTATCAGAGACTAGGATTGCAACCCCTGCCTTTTTTTGTTTTCCATTTGCTTGGTAGATCTTCCTCCATCCTTTTATTTTGAGCCTATATGTATCTCTGCACGTGAGATGGGTTTCCTGAATACAGCACACTGATGGGTCTTGACTCTTTATCCAATTGCCAGTCTCTGTCTTTTAATTGGAGCATTTAGTCCATTTACATTTAAAGTTAATATTGTTATGTGTGAATTTGATCCTGTCATTATGGTGTTAGCTGGTTATTTTGCTCGTTAGTTGATACAGTTTCTTCCTAGTCTCGATGGTCTTTACATTTTGGCATGATTTTGCAGTGGCTGGTACTGGTTGTTCCTTTCCATATTTAGCGCTTCCTTCAGGAGCTCTTTTAGGGCAGGCCTGGTGGTGACAAAATCTCTCAGCATTTGCTTGTCTGTAAAGGATTTTATTTCTCCTTCACTTATGAAGCTTAGTTTGGCTGGATATGAAATTCTGGGTTGAAAATTCTTTTCTTTAAGAATGTTGAATATTGGCCCTCACTCTCTTCTGGCTTGTAGAGTTTCTGCCGAGAGATCCGCTGTTAGTCTGATGGGCTTCCCTTTGTGGGTAACCCGACCTTTCTCTCTGGCTGCCCTTAACATTTTTTCCTTCATTTCCACTTTGGTGAATCTGACAATTATGTGTCTTGGAGTTGCTCTTCTCGAGGAGTATCTTTGTGGCGTTCTCTGTATTTCGTGAATCTGAATGTTGGCCTGCCTCGCTAGATTGGGGAAGTTCTCCTGGATAATATCCTGCAGAGTGTTTTCCAACTTGGTTCCATTCTCCTCATCACTTTCAGGTACACCAATCAGACGTAGATTTGGTCTTTTCACATAGTCCCATATTTCTTGGAGGCTTTGCTCGTTTCTTTTTATTCTTTTTTCTCTAAACTTCCCTTCTCGCTTCATTTCATTCATTTCATCTTCCATCACTGATACCCTTTCTTCCAGTTGATTGCATCAGCTCCTGAGGCTTCTGCATTCTTCACGTAGTTCTCGAGCCTTGGTTTTCAGCTCCATCAGCTCCTTTAAGCACTTCTCTGTATTGGTTATTCTAGTTATACATTCTTCTAAATGTTTTTCAAAGTTTTCAACTTCTTTGCCTTTGGTTTGAATGTCCTCCCGTAGCTCGGAGTAATTTGATCGTCTGAAGCCTTCTCGCAGCTCGTCAAAGTCATTTTCCGTCCAGCTTTGTTCCGTTGCTGGTGAGGAACTGCGTTCCTTTGGAGGAGGACAGGTGCTCTGCTTTTTCGAGTTTCCAGTTTTTCTGCTCTGTTTTTTTCCCATCTTTGTGGTTTTATCTACTTTTGGTCTTTGATGATGGTGATGTACAGATGGGTTTTTGGTGTGGATGTCCTTTCTGTTTGTTAGTTTTCCTTCTAACAGACAGGACCCTCAGCTGCAGGTCTGTTGGAGTACTCGGCAGTGTGAGGTGTCAGTCTGCCCCTGCTGGGGGGTGCCTCCCAGTTAGGCTGCTCAGGGGTCAGGGGTCAGGGACCCACTTGAGGAGGCAATCTACCCGTTCTCAGATCTCCAGCTGCGTGCTGGGAGAACCACTGCTCTCTTCAAAGCTGTCAGACAGGGACATTTAAGTCTGCAGAGGTTACTGCTATCTTTTTGTTTGTCTGTGCCCTGCCCCCAGAGGTGGAGCCTACAGGGGCAGGCAGGCCTCCTTGAGCTGTGATGGGCTCCACCCAGTTCGAGCTTCCCAGCTGCTTTGTTTACCTAAGCAAGCCTGGGCAATGGCGGGCGCCCCTCCCCCAGCCTCGCTGCCGCCTTGCAGTTTGATCTCAGACTGCTGTGCTAGCAATCAGTGAGACTCCGTGGCCGTAGGACCCTCTGAGCCAGGTGTGGGATATAATCTCCTGGTGCACCGTTTTTTTAGCCTGTCGGAAAAGCGCAGTATTCGGGTGGGAGTGACCCGATTTTCCAGGTGCCGTCTGTCACCCCTTTCTTTGACTAGGAGAGGGAACTCCCTGACCCCTTGCGCTTCCCCAATGAGGCAATGCCTCGCCCTGCTTCGGCTCGTGCACGGTGCGAGCACCCACTGACCTGCGCCCACTGTCTGGCACTCCCTAGTGAGATGAACCCGGTACCTCAAATGGAAATGCAGAAATCACCCGTCTTCTGCGTTGCTCACACTGGGAGCTGTAGACCGGAGCTGTTCCTATTCGGCCATCTTGGCTCCTCAGTCCGCATGCCTTTAATCCCAGCTACTTGGGAGGCTGAGGCAAGAGGATTGCTTGAGCCCAGGAGGTCGTGGCTGCAGTGAGCCATGATAATGCCACTGCACTCCAGCCTGGATGACAGAGTGAGATGCTGTCTCAAAATCGAAACAAAACAAAAATGACTTATGAACATTGAAATTCAAATTTCATATTATTTTCACGTGCCATAACATATTATTTTTTTGATTTCTCTCCCACCCCACCACTTAAAAATTCAAAAAAACGCCAGGCATGGTGGCTCATGCCTGTAATCCCAGCAATTTGGGAGGCCGAGGCGGGAGGATCATGAGGTCAGGAGATCAAGACCATCCTGGCTAACATGGTGAAACCTCGTCTCTACTAAAAATACAAAAAATTAGCCAGGCATGGTGGCGGGCACCTGTAGTCCCAGCTACTCAGGAGGCTGAGGCAGGAGAATGGTGTGAACCCGGGAAGCAGAGCTTGCAGTGAGCCGAGATTGCGCCACTGCACTCCAGCCTGGGCGACACAGCGGGACTCTGTCTCAAAAAAAAAAAAAATTCAAAAAAACATTCTTAGCTTGTGGACTGTGCAGAAACAGGTAGGGTGAGCTGCATCCGGCCTGCAGGCTGCAGCCTGCCATCCCCTGGCCTGGAGCTGTGAGATGTGGAGGTCAGGGTGAGCTGAGGCTCGGAGGGTAGACCAGGTCCACATGGGCAGAGCCTTGAGGGTTTCTTGAGCTTTAAATTTCATGGTGAATGAGAGTCACTGAACATTTTAGAGCTGGGAAGTGCTGTGACTAAAACAGGATTTCAAGGCAAAGCTAATTTTCGTTGATGTAGGAGATGGTAAGAGCTAGGATGTCTGCTTTCTTGCTGGAGCCAGAGAGGTGCTAGTGCAGCTGAAATTGTTATTATCTTTTTAAGATTTCTTTCTCCTTTCTCCCCCAGTGAAATATTTTGCAATTGTGTAGACAGAACCTTGTCTCCAGAAACTGCTACGCTTCGTTCTTGAAATATCTTCCCCTGTAGAGACTCTGGTTACTGGATTGTAGCTACCTTTTCTCCAAATGTCTGGAAATTAGACTTTCTAAAGTCTTTGACACATGTCTCTCTACTATTCTCTTTCTGGGCTGCTCTGAAGTCTAAGATGACATGTTCACTTTCTTCTAATATCCTGTCTCTTCTGTCTGTGGTTTCTGTCATTTCAGATTCCCAGTAATTTCTTCCTGGTGGATCAGAATTAATCCTGAAAAGGCTGTTGCCTTTGTTACTTCCTAAATCTTCTGGGGATGAAATTGTGATCAAGGTGAGTTGAGAGGCTTTGAAATGCTCTGTTTCTAAGACAGTGAGGTTCATGTGTGTTTGAATCAGTGCTAATGTGTCTTGATTCTCTGCTGGGTTTGTGATCTGTATCAGGAAAGCATCATTTTGTTTTGATGCCTCAAAATCGGAGGAAGAGAGTGGCGTCTGGGGTCCAAGGACACTTTCTGTAATCCGAAACCTGGTACATGGAACCATTTAGCACCGCTCTAGTCCTGAAAGGCAAGTGGCAGAGAAGCAAGAATGAGGGTAGTCCTACCGATTCATAGGGGATGAAAATCCAGCTCAGAGAGAGAGGCAGCCAGTACCCAGCAAGTCAGAGAAGCAACACAGTCTCATCTGCTGTGATGCTCCACAGTCACCAACACCCCTAGAGTTCCTGTGGGGCCTAGATGATTCCTGCTTGCAGGAGGAAGTCCAGACTCCACCTCCAGCTCCTGCTAGCTCATCAACAGGCATCTGTACCCCATTTCCTGATCCTCCATTCTAGGCAGAAAGGGGTTCTTACTCTTTCCTGTTCACCTCCTGTTTCTAGACCTTCACATGTACTGTTCTCTGTCCCTGCACCTTTCCTCTTCCTCTCATCTTTCTAAGTCATGGCGGTCTTGGAGGTCCAGCAGGAGTCCTGATCCTCAGCAAGGTCCTTTCTAACTACTCAGGTCTCTCCTTCCTCTGACCTGGAAGCTCCTGTTGCCTGGACTCTTCGTTGGCACACATTGTCTTATTATATCTAATATAGATATTAGGCATTTCATAAATTGCTTTGTCTCCACCAGAAGATCACAAGGGCAAGAGTTGTTTTATGGATCTTTGTGTGCCTGTAACATTTAGCATGGCACTAGAATGTGGAGGCTGCTCAGTGCATCATGTGGGCAGTCAGGAAGGAAGAAGGGAAGGAGAGAAGGAGGGAAGGAGAGAAGGGAAAGAAAGTGGGAAGGAGGAAAGGAGAGAAGAAAGAAGGAGGGAAGGACAGAAGGAGAGAAGGAGGGAAGGAGGGAAGGAGGGAAAGGAAGGAGAGAAGAAAGGAAGTGAAGGAGAGGAGAAGGGAAGGAGGGAAGGAGAGGAGGAGGGAAGGAGAGAAGGGAAGGAGGGAAGGAGGGAAGGAAGAAAGAAGAGAGAAGGAAGGAGGGAAGGAAGAAAAAGGGGAGGAAGAACAGAAGGCAGGAAGGAAGGAGAGAAGAAAGGCGGCTCAATGCTGAAACCCTTCATGCTCTTGGAACAGAGAAAAGTGCAGTCTCTAGGAAGGGAAGTGAGTGGGGAATTGGGGTTGGGTGACTTCCTGTATGGGTGGCCAGGAGGGAAGTTAGTGCTGGGTGGCATGGAACCTGAGAAGGACCAGTTCCACTCTGGCAGTGATGGCGTCTGAGTATGTCTGTGGAGGCGATGAGGGGAGTGCAGGAGACGGGGAACACACTTCCCCAGTCATGCCTCTGTTGTATTTCTACCAGTGAGTAAAGCTGGGCTGGGGGAGGTCAGTGTTGATGGCTTTGGTAACAGGAGGTAAATGAATCCATCCTAAAGAGCGGCTCCTTTTCCAGTACTGTAGCAGTTCAACTCTTGACTTCGCTGCCTTGGGGTTTTAATTAAATGTCAAATATAATTTAGGGCTGGAGTGTTGATGGGTGTGTGAACATGAAGTCCAATGTCTCATCTTTATGGGTCTCCCTGGTACTTGCCTAATTTGGGGGGTTAATTGGTCACTCTTTGAATGCCCAATGAGAAAACACTTGATTTCCCCTCTCCCGTCATCTTTGGTTTTGAAATAATAGTTGGGTGAGAGAAAAAAATGAAAAAAAGGTGGCTCACGCCTGTAATCCCAGCACTTTGGGAGGCTGAGGCGGGTGGATCACCTGAGGTCAGGGCTTTGAGACCAGCCTGACCAACATGGTGAATCCCCGTCTCTACTAAAAATACAAAAATTAGGCTGGGCACGGTGGCTCACGCCTGTAATGCCAGCACTTTGGGAGGCTGAGGGTGGGGCGGATCACGAGGTTAGGAGATCAAGACCATCCTGGCTAACACGGTGAAACCCTGTCTCTACTAAAAAATACAAAAAAATTAGCCGGGCCTGGTGGCAGGCGCCTGTAGTCCCAGCTACTTGGGAGGCTGAGGCAGGAGAATGACATGAACTTGGGAGGCAGAGCTTGCAGTGAGCCGAGATCGTGCCACTGCACTCCAGCCTGGGCAACAGAGCAAGGCTCTGTTTAAAAAACAAACAAACAAACAAACAAACAAAAAATTGGCTGGGTGTGGTTGTGGGTGCCTGTAATTCCAGCTACTCGAGAGGCTGAGGCAGGAGAGTCGCTTGAACTTGGGAGGCAGAGGTTGCACTGAGCCTAGATCGTCCCATTGCACTCCAGCCTGGGCGACAAGAGCGAAACTCCATCTCAATACAAAACAAAACAAAAAAACCCTTACTTGCATATGTGTTACATATAGAGAAAGAGCCAGATTGGGACCTGGGTCATTTGGGACCTACAGAAATATTACATTTGATCTGCAATTTTTCTTCCTAAATCAGGCTGGGGGTGGCGTAGCTATTGATCCATTTTCTCTGCTCAGTGCTTGGGGTCTGATCAAGCGTCCCTCTGCTCAGTGCTTGGGCCTCGATCAAGCGTCCCACCAGCTTTCCCCTGCCAATTTTGTGAAAGTGTGAAGTGGACGGAAGCCAGGACAGGCCTCCTTGTTGTTGGAGGGAGTCAGCCACAGGCTAAGTTCTCTCATTGTGCAGTGAGGACTCTGATTCCCGGGGAGGGGAGGGAAGGGACCCAGCTGATGTCTTAGCTGGGAACATGGCTGCAACCTTTCTAAATAGTGATTGATTGAAGCACTGTGGGTCTCATGGAAATAATTAGGGTAACATCATTTCAATTCAATTCAATAAATATTAAATGGTGACTGTATTAGAGGCTGTAGACACTACAAAATTGTACCGACATCATCTATGTCTGTAAGGGGGTCAGGGTCCTTCCTTTATGTGATGGATACAATTATTTCCTGAAACCCACATATGATGATCATCTGACGTCGTTGTTTGAAGCTTTGTGAACCTCTCCTTTGAACTTTGCATGACAAAGTGGGTCTTTTCTATTCTCCTCCTAATGCTCCTGGGTGGCCTCTTTCCCTCCACTGTGTAATGCACAGTCCATCCTCCAGCCAAACCAAACCTCTCCCAGATCCCAGGCATGGCTGATTGCACATGGCTTATTGCACCTGACTTCTCCCACTTGGGTTGGTTGGCATTACCTTGGGTTGCGAGTAGAGGATACTGGAGTAAGTGGGCTTAAACATATAGGATTTTATATGTCTCATATGATAAGAAAGCAGGCAGTGGCCAAACATTGGCTGTTCAGGAATGCTGCCATAATTCCAAATTCCATGTCCCTTTCCACTCTACTGTCTTTAGCTTGTTGACTTTTTGTCCTCGTGCTCAGTACCTGATGGTCACAAGATGGCTATAGAGACTTTAGGCATCACGTTTGCATTCAAGACAGGAGGAAAGGAAAGGACAGCAGCAAATCCATCTGCTCTTTAGCTCAGGAAAGCAAATGCTGCCACAGAATCCTCCCTGGCAGACCCCCTCTTATTACCTTAAAAAAAAGAAATCTGGGGTCTTGCTGTGTTGGCTAGGATGGTCTCAAATTCCTGGCCTCACGTAATCTTCCTGCCTTGGCCTCCCCAAGTGCTGAGATGAGATCACAGGTGTGAGCCATTGCACCCAACCCCCTCTTACTACCTTTATTGGCCAGGGCCAGTTGACACGCCCACTGCCAGGTGCAAGAGAGGCTGGAAAACCAAGACTCTGGCAAATGGGCATAAGGATTTTGCAACAGGTGCAGACCAGTCCTAGAGAGGTACCTGGGGCTGAGCACAGTGCACCCTAAGCAGAACTGGGTCAGCTGGGAAGAAAGGGACAATGGAGGTGATGGGCAGGCAAGCAGTCCCCATTGCATCTCTTCTTCCTCTTCTCAGAGGTAACTCCTACTTGGCCTTCAGGATTCAGCCCAGATTTGATCACTTCTAGGAAGTCTTTTTCCATCCTTGGGAGGATCAGCTGCTACCTCCTCTGTGCCTGGACGCTTTGTTGCTTCCTCAATTGTAGCATTTTCTCCTTTGCTAATGTTTATTTGCATATCTGCCTCTTTCTTCTCCTGCCTGGTAAGTTCACCTGTGTGGAAGCTGGGGCTGTCAGTTTCCTGCTCATTTCCCTCAGACCTTACCCTTACTGAGAAGTTTGCTCTGGGAACTTCACCTGCCTTTGAACGAGGGATTTTTCTGGAAGGTTACTCCACTCCCCTGAGTGAGTGGAGCAGGCTGGAAGGGCTGGGGCACTAACATCCCTCAGGAGCAGCTTGAATCAGCGCTGATGGGGAGCGGGTTGAGGGAGACTTCAGCTTCCTCAACCCTAAAGTGGGGATAATTTTGAGGTGCGCTTTACACTATTTTCCAGACCTTCTCCATGGGATTGGGCTTCAGACATCCACTGAGGTAACAGGCTTAATAAAATGCATCTCCTGGATCACTTCCCTTTGCCCTGCTGGTGTTCTCTGCACTTCCCAGGTTAACCAGGGACACTGTGATCCTCAGCTCAGGATTGCTTCTGGTGCCATCCAAACTGGGACAGTGTCTCAGTTACTTCTCTATTCCCAGATATTAGCATAGGGCTTGCTTTACAGAAGACCACCAGAAGTTCTGTGGAATGACTACCTGAGGAGCTGGGGAGGCAAGTTACATACATAGAGTTTTGAGGCAAAACACCTCGGGCAGTGTTACTGTAGAGACATTTGGCTGGGACCAGAGGCTCATACCTGTTATCCCAGCACTTTGGGAGGCCAGGGAGGCAGGAAGATCACTTAAGCCTAGGAGTTTAAGACCAGCCTGGGCAACAAAGTGAAACCCCATCTCTACAAAAAGATCAAAAAATTAGCCAGGTGTGGTGGTGCATATCTGTGGTCTCAGCCACTTGGGAAGCTGAGATGTGAGGATCACTTGAGTCCAGGAGGTTGAGGCTGAAGTGAGCTGTGATCATGCCACTGCACTCCAGCCTTTTTTTTTTTTGAGACAGAGTCTTGCTCTGTTGCCCAGGCTGTAGTGCAGTAGTGCAATCTTGGCTCACTGCAACCTCTGCCTCCTGGCTTCAAGCAATTCTCTTGCCTCAGCTTCCCGAGTAGCTGGGACTATAGGTGCCCGCCACTACGCTTGTCTAAGTTTGTATTTTTAGTAGAGACGGGTTTCACCAAGTTGGCCAGACTTGTCACAAACTCCTGACCTCAGGTGATCCACCCACCTTGGCCTCCCAAAGTGCTGGGATTACAGGTGTGAGCCACCTCGCCCAGCCCTTTGTTTGTTTGTTTGTTTGTTTGTTTGAGACAGAGCAACACCCTGTCTCGAAAGAAAAGAGAGAGAGGGAGAGAGAAAGAGAGAGAGAGAAAGAAAGAGAGAAAGATGAGGAGGAGGAGGGTGGGGAGGGAAGACACGAAGTAAGGGAGGGAGGAAGGAAGGAAGAGAAAGAAAGGGAGACGCTTACTGCTTCTCTATATTTCCCTTCCTCTTTGCAGTTAGGTGGGGGCTATGAGGCCAGGTCTGGCCAGTAGCTGGGCGTAAAAGGGACACAGGTCACCATGGACAGCCCCTGGCTCTCTCTTTCCCTGCTACAGTTATCCATGCATTGATCCAGCAGGTAGGGTGACATGGTGCAAGCAGCCTAGATTTCTGAGCTACTACCTAGGGGACAGCCACACTGGAGTTACCAGACCTAGAGTGGACTTGCATAAGTGAGAAATCAACCATGTTAAGCTGTGGAAACTTTTTTTTTTTTTTGAGATGGGGGTCTCCCTATGTTGCCCAGGCTGGGCTTGAACTCGAGATCCTCCCACCTCAGCCTTCTGAGTTGGGGGCACTACAGGAGTGTGCCTCCATGCACGGCTGTTTTTGATTTCTTTTTCTTTTCTTTTTCTTTTTTTTTGAGATGGAGTCTTGCTCTTTTGCCCAGGCTGGAGTGCAGTGGTGCAATCTTGGCTCACCACAAACTCCGCCTCCCGGGTTCATGCCATTCTCCTGCCTCAGCCTCCCAAGTGGCTGGGACTATAGGCGCCCGCCACCATGCCTGGCTAATTTTTTTTTAATATATATTTTTTATTATACTTTAAGTTCTAGGGTACATGTGCACAACGTGCGGGTTTGTTACATATGTATACATGTGCCATGTTGGTGTGCTGCACCCACTAACTCGTCATTTACATTAGGTATATCTCCTAATGCTATCCCTCCCCCCTCCCCCCACCCCAAATTTTTTGTATTTTTAGTAAAGACGGGGTTTCACCATGTTGGCCAGGATGGTCTCGATCCCCTGACCTCGTGATCCGCCCACCTTGGCCTCCCAAAGTGCTGGGATTACAGGTGTGAGCCACCGCGCCTGGCCTTGATTTCTTTTGTTATCACAGAGTAATCTAGCCTAACTGGTGTGCTACCCATTCATTGACACTTATGCCAGGTGCCAGGGGAGAGGTAAGTAGAGAAACCTAGTCCCTGTCCTCATATACTTTCCTCTCCCATGTCAGAGTGGCTCCAGCCTGGCTGACCCCCTCACTCTCCTCTCTTCTCCCTGACTTCACTCCTGGTGTCTTTGGAGAAGTTAGGCAGATTTTAGATGCTTGGTACTATTTAGGATGGAAGGCATTAATATCCAATGTTTTTCAAAGGTTTTGACTGCAAGAAGCAGTAAGGAACGTTTTTTATATCACATCAGTATGCGACACATACGTATGTTCATATACATGCTGTGATCTTTATCACAGACGGTATCTTCTGATATTTTGTATTCTATTTGGTTAAAGAATGCTCATTGCAATGCCCTGAATTGATGTCCATGACCTGCTAATGATACACCACCTGCAGTTCGAAAAAGCCTCTGGGAGCTAGAAAATGGAGGTAAACGCTGGCCTGGGGCTGATCTAGGAGGGCTTCCAGGAGGAAAAGACGCTTGACCAGCCTTGTGGAGGATGGGTAGGGGCTGGATCGGTAAAAGTAAGTCATTCTGGGACAGAAGATTCTAGGAGGAATGGTGGTCAAACTCTCTGTAGGGGAATAGATATCTGGGGAGTAATGGGAAACAGGGATGCAGGCAGAGATGATGTTCGAAGTAGGTAGCACCTTGAACAGCGTGGGCTCTGATCAATCAGAACATGCACCCGTGGTGAACTCCCTCCACCCCGCCCCACTCGGGCAATGGTGCTAGTGTAAGGCTGACCCTCATGCTGGAAAGGGGCTAGGCAAGGAGAGGGGTTAGAACCTGAACAGCAGTGGAGGAGGGCTGGGTATCAGAAGTCTTGTAAAATGGCCAAACAGCTCTGCAGTATGCTTTTTAAAAAAGAGCAGTCGATCCCCTTTGCGTGCCCTTCCAAACTCCTCAAGGTTGTGAACCTCTCATGCTTGGGTGAGGGTCCTGTCGGGCTGAAGCCTGGCAGAGACGCAGGACTCCACCAATGGCAGGGGCGGGTCACACGTGGGACCCACTGTGAGCGCCGGAGGACAGACATGCAGATCGCCTGCCAAGTTGCCTGTGCTCCATGTTGCTGGACTGGATGCTGAGAGAGGCATCAGGACCTGGCTGTAGGTCCAGCCCCACAAACGTCCTTTACCTTGAGTTTCAGTATCTGATAAAGGAAGTACAGCAACTTCTACTCCGTCGACCTCAGAATTACACGGTGAGCTTATGATGAGGAGCAGTGAGAAATTGCCTTGAAAGGGAAAAGTGTTTTACAAGCAGAAGCATTGCCTCGGGGTGGTATAGGGAGTACTTTCCTCGCAACTTTCCTGAGAAGGGAAATTTTGTTTAAATAACACAAATGTAATAATAGAACTGTCCAAGGTACATGATTTCAGCAATGAAATTTGTGGAACCTAACTCATGGTTCTCTTAGGTTTATAACAGTGTAAAAATAATACATTTTTCATCAAGATAGAAGTAAAAACAACAATAAAAATCTAACATTTATTGTGTGCTGATTATATGCCAGGAACTATACTAGGTACTTTGCATCTCATTTAATTCTCACAAACATCCTGTGCGGTGCATACTATTATTGTCCTCATTTTGCAAAGAAAAATGATGAGAAAGTTGGTATAACTCAACTGACAATGACATACTAGTTATTTCGTGTTGTGGCGAGAGCTAACGTTATGGTGTCTAACATCTTCTTGCAAATGTTTGAGTCCTGTGTCCACAAAGGCAAGGCATTATAGGACTGGTCAGCCCTCTAGCGCATTCCTGAGCTGTGTAGGACTGGGTCTTCCCCACAAAGCCACTTTCTTACTCCTTGCCCCCCCGACCCCACTCCTTCTCTGATTTGTCTCTGCTAAAGCCTCTTACCTTTCCAGGCCTTGGGTAGGAGTGAGGAGTATAGAATTTGGGCTCTGGGAGCACAAGAATCCCATCATTTTCTGTGAGGTCTGATCAGTCCTCCTGTTAATTCAGGAGTGGGGTTGGAGTATGTGGGTGGTGGCGAATGAGATAGACAGACATCTGGAAACTAAATTGGGAGTTTGGGTTTCTTCTCACTCCCACCAGCTTAGCCACAAAAACCCAAGGGAGACCTGTGGGTTTTAGTAGGTTCTCCCTGACCTTCTGTCAGTTTCAGGGTCCTTAGCTTTCATCTGCCTTTCTACATCTTCCCTGTTGAAGATCAACCTCCAGGCACTTGTACTCAGGGCTTTTTTCCTTCTTGGTACGATGTTTGTTAACAACTGGCCATATGTGGGCCTTACCGTTGGTGAGGTGAATGTAATCCGTGGAAGCCTGTAGCTGGGATGTTCCAGCAGGTACCTTTCAGGACTTCTTCCTTTGGGACACCCTCACACATCCCCAAACCCACTCAGACTCGCCTCTCTCTGCCCCTGATGGATATTTATGAGAAAGAATGGGATAACAGACTTGAATTCCTCGCCTGCCACTTTCTATCTATGCGACCTTGGGCAAATCACTCCATTACCTCAATCCTGAAATGGGGATAATGATACCCTGAAAAGTTGCTGTAAAAATTAGAAATAATTTATGTAAAGCGCTTAACACAACGGCTGGCTTCAACAAATGGCCCTGGGGTAGTGGAATAAACCCGGTGTCAGGAGAATCGAGTTCTCGTTCTGACTCTGAGACTATCTGGCTGAACTTTAGCACGATACTTCTCTCTTTGGAGCCTCTGTTTCTTCGTTTGTGGAATTAGCAGACAGGTCTGGATGGTAGTTGAGTCTCTTCCAGTTCTCATTATTGTCTCTGACCCTATCCCCAGCCCCAGCAGGGCCTGGATGAAATGTTTTCCTGCTGGGAACCAAGCCAGTAAGACTCAACTTGAAATCCCAAGCACTGGAGTTCGAAGGTGCCTGCTTTTCCCCCGGATCTGGTTGGCTGCCTTTTGTGATGGGGGAAGGTTGGGTCCTTGGCTGTTTCAGGCCTGGTGTGGAGAGGAGCCAGGGGCAGGAAGGAAAGAGGGAGGAGGACAGAGTGACCTTGAAGTTGGAGCCCCGTCATCAGCCCAGAAATGACAGGTAAAGGAGGAGTTCTGGCGTGTTGCTCTTCTCAACTTTAATTACTGTAATTCAGAGAAGACTTGCGTGTAAGCCTCAGAATTCCTCCATGGAAAACCATGTCTTTGCAGCATCCGCAGACAAGGACGTTAGCAAACTGGCAGTCACCGCTCCATCAACTCCCCACGCAGGGAGGGCTGTCGCTGACAGATGGAGGTGTGTTGGCAGCATGGGTCAGAGCCTGTCCGAGCCCCTCCCGCGTGCCTGGCTCCCCTTTCCCTGCGATCACACGGCTGCTTAGCCACAGTCACAATTACAGAGCTATGAAGATGTCTCTTACCTCTGGGTGGAGGGATGAGGTGGTGGAGAGAGAGGAGGGAGCAATTCTGAGAGAGGTGAAAAGAAGACAGGATGGGAAGAATCAGGGACGTTGGCTTTGGAAGTCTTTATGTTTGGCGGCACTTCCGTGTCAGTGGAGTGTAGTCTCTGGTGGGTGCCTTCTTGCGTGTGTGTGTGTGTGTGTGTGATTCTCATGGTGAGTGAGGGGGAAGGAACAGTTGGCTTCCACACTTAAGAAAGTGCATTAGGCCCAGAAAGCCCGGACCTTCCCTGATTTTGGAAATGATTATACAGTAATTTCAATGTTGACCCTTGGCAAAATTCCAAAACTGATGACTGAAACTGATGATTTGTGAGTTCTTGGAAAAGAAAGGTGATCGCTGGAAGCCAGTGTGAGTTCACTTAGGACAAAGAGGATCACTCCAACTTTTTCCTCCTTGTGATCGCTGTTTGATTAGAAAGTCAGTGTAACAGGGCACTTCTGCTCGGCAGGGGCGGCAGGGGGTGGTGGGTCAGAGGTGGCTCCTCTCCTCATATTATCCATGTGCACATGGGACTTAAGTGTCACAGAGTGGCCTTGTGGGCTGTGCCTCTCTTATGTCCCTATTTTTATTCTGAACCTATACAGGAACAGAGGGGTCCCCACAGAGACTAGGCAATGAGACCCCTATCCTCACATGGCTGGAGAGAACGGCTGCAATGAGGTGAGCAGGCAGTAAAGAACAGCATGTTCCCCAAGAGCACGCTCACCACAAGAGAAAGGGAAGCAGGACCGGGGCCAGGCCTCCAGGACCATCAGCAGGGGCAGCTGGCATGGATAGCTGGCTGCTGCCAGAACCCAGGGCCAGTGTAGAACTCTGGGTGGGCCTTGGGAAAAAGCTGCATCCATCTATCTATCTATCTATCTATCTATCTATCTATCTATCTATCTCTCTCTCTCTCTCTCTCTCTCTCTCTATCTTATGATCTATCTCTATTATCTGTCTGTCTACTATCTATCTATCCATTATCTATATCTATATATTATCCATCTGTCTGTCATCTATCATCTATCTATATTTAGAAAGGGTCTCACTCTGTCGCCCAGGCTAGAGTGCAGTGACACAATCTTGGCTCACTGCAGCCTCTACTTCCTGGGCTCTCAAGCCACCCTCTTACCTGAACCTCCTGAGGAGCTAGGACTACAGGTGCAGGCCACCATGCCTGGCTAATTAAAAAAAATTTTTTTTTTGTAGATATGGGGTCTTGCTCTTTGCCCAGGCTGGTCTTGAACTCTTGGTCTCAAGCAATCTTTCTGCCTTGGCCTCCCAAAATGCTGGGATTACCAGCGTCAGCCACCACACACAACCTAAAGCTGCATACTTCTGATTAAATATGTAATACTTAGGTCCCAGACAGATGAAATGTCCTTCTTCTCACCTCACAGAGTCATCGTGGCCACCCCCAAATCAAGCAGACATCCATGGCTAGACCAGTCAGCAGAGTGAGTCTTTCTGAGTTTCTGCTTTCTTTGCAGGTAGCAGCCATATAGCCTCAAAAGGCCTGAGTTTTAGACAAGTGTATACAAGCCTAGGTGTTCTTGGGAACTTCTGGGAATTAGACCCTTGGCTAAGTGGGTGGGGACTCAAGTGGGCTGGTCCGTCTGTGAGCAAGCAGTGCAAAATCTTTCCTGGCAGCCTCATGAATAAATGAAAAAAATAAAGTCTGGTTGGCAGCTCACTTGGGTGCATTTAGAGCTGCTGAATAATGGCTTGTAAAGGGGTTGCTGGGATCCCAAATCTCACTCTTTCCCCTCTAGAAGGGGCACCTAGTATTGTACCAGAACACTCTGTTCTAAGCCCTGCTCAATTCGACGATTTTATCTGTGACGTGGACGAAGATACAGACAGCAGGATGATTAAATTTCTAGATGACAGAAGAGATAATTGAAGTTCAGAGAGATAGCTGAGGATTTGAAAGCATCCTGAGAAGCTGAAAGGATGCCTGAAACAAACAAGATGAAATTTAACAGGACCAAATATTAAGCCCTATATTTAGGTAATAAAAGTGAATTATGTAGGTACAGTATGGGAGAAGCATGACTTGGGAGAATTTTGAATTAAAATCCTGCGGCCGGGATGCTCTGAGAGCAGGCTGCCTGATGGGGGCAGCAGAGAGCAGGGTGCGGGAGGGGCCCGCAGGAGGGGAGTGGAGCCAGCAGCTGAGACCCCGGCAAGGGCAACCATGGATCTGGAGTTGGAACGGGACAATGCGCCATCAGGCCGGCAGAAGCTGGCAGATGAGGGCCGAGTTGCGGCACACAGGTGCCAGGTATGTGAGTTGTCTGCATCCAAGTGAGACTGGGTTCCCTTTGTCCTGGGCCATTTCTGTCCCAGGACTGCCTGCTTTGTTCAGCTGGGATCTACCCGGTCTCCAAGGTGGTTTCGGATGGCCACACGCTTCAGTAGGGGCAGAGACTGGAAATGACAAAATGACAGAGAACACAGATGGGTGATAGCCAGGGGCTGGGGGGAGTGCGGGATGGCGGGATCTATATGGAGAGGGAAGAGTTGCCAATCTTGATTTTCAGTGTTGGTGAAGTAATCAAAGGGCACAGAACTATAGACACACATTGTAACCAAGTCAGTTTCCTGATGTAGCATAGTTATGTAAATTGTAACTCAGGGAAAATGGGCAAGGGTCTGTGAGATTGCTCTGTACTATTTTTACAACTTCCTGTGAGTCCAGAAGTGTTGTTTTAAGTTAAAAGAAAACAAGAGCCAAGCCTTTCTCTGCAATGAGGGGGCTGGAGGTTGGGGGTTGGGGGGCACCGGGGCAGATCTCCATTCACTTGCAGGGGAAGCTATCTGTTAGGACAGCCTGTGGGGAAGGCGGGGGGAGGACTTGTATGCAGGAGAAGGCCAGGGTCCCTGGACTTTGAAGAGCCTGTAACAAAGGGCCCAGGACATGGGGAATGTAAAGCTCAAGCCGAGACTGTTCCTCTGACCCGAGTGCCCTAGGTGGATGGAGGACCCGGGAGGCACCAGACCCTTGGGTTCCTGCCTATGAGTTTGATTTCTTGTTGCCAGGGAGAAATGCTTGGGGATTTAATTCTAGGAAGGACATTTAAAAGGCCTCTGATCCAGCCTGGGAAAACCCATCCCGAGTTCCCTAAGAGCTGGTAAAGTCACATGTTAGGATCTCCTGCTTGGGAACTTAGCAGGGGTTAGAGTCCCAGGGGAGACACTGCCTCTCAATCTCAGTCCAGCTCTGGCCGATGCAAAGACCCGCTGTGAGGATGCCTCACCGGGAGGCCGATTCCTGCTTCTGTTCCAGGGGAGGCCCGAGGCAGAAAGTACAGAGGGATGCTGCTGGCTGGGCCTCCACAGGGGCCCTAAAGGCCTCTGAGGAGGTGGCTGCCCATGCCGGCTGTGTCCTGGCCCTTGTTCTCTGCAGGCTGCTCCCCTTCTCTCCTGGGGCCCAGGAGGGGCCAGCCACAGGCCTGCTTTTGAGATCAGTGTGATTTAAAAATCGGTTTTCTGGAGAGGACAAGAGTGTCAAGCACTTCTGCGAGGCTGTCAAGAGGCAGCCCCTTTCCCTGATGGGAGGTCAGGTGGCTCCCCAGGTGCTTCTTCTAGAGTTGCTGGGAAATGTGACTTCCTTTATACCCATAGGCTGGTGGCCTGGTTGTGGGGGTTGCTTGGTTGCTGGGGGCTCCTCTGCAGCCCACCAAGTCTGGTTCCCAGGAGAGGAGCCTCACTTACACCTCAGTGCCCACCTCACTTCATTCCAGGGGCCCCATTCCCAGAAGCCTGCACCAACTCCTTTTTTTTCCATAGAGTCCCTGAGAATTCAGGCTCTGTACCTGACATCTCTACTGTTACCACTGGCTCCACTGAGTGCCTGCAGCCCCTTCCCATGATGGCATATCCTAGGCCCTTGCTGCCATCACAGCCACTGAGATGGGGTCTCTGAGTGACAGCTCCTTTGATGCCTCCATTACCCTCAGTGCCAGCCAGGACCTGTCATTTCTCTGCTTCCCTGTGGCCCAGTTCTTTTGTATTCTGAGCATGCCAAGGAGCTGGCACCAAGTGGTCATAGATTTTGATCTCTATTGGCAGCAAAAGCCCAGGAAGGACTCTGTCCAGGAGGGGAGGACTTGACGGGACTGTGGGGCTATGGCTCCAGGTCAGTGAGGGGGGTGGGCAGAGGGAGGAGGCTGACCTCCCCCAAGCTGGAGGGTTTGCTAAGGAGGGAGTGGGGAAGGATTGCATGTTGTGGGTCACTTCCACTCCCACAGTCCACTGTTGTGGATGGTATCTGGGGGCAGGTTTGGATTTGGGGCTCCTGTGTTCATCAGAGAAGAAAGCTGGAAGTGATGTGGTGGTGGCTCAGGTGTGGGAGGGGCTGGATCATCTGCCATGTGCTTTTGCATTTGGCTTTTTATGGAGCCTGTGAGGCTCACAAGTTCTACTTGAGCTGAGCTGGTGAGAGACCAAGGCTTGTTTATTCTGTAGCCTATTTCAGATCATGCGTTGGGAGATGATCTAGGAGGGTAAAATATGTGTTCCAGTTCTGCCCAGGACTGTAGGAGAAGCAACATCTGGTGGCTTAAGGTACTGGATCCCATCAGCTGCTGCAAATTTGTGTTGTTGGGTGAGGGTGTGGGTGATGTTGCATTTGCTGTTCCCCTATTTCCCTTCCTGGGCCGTGTTCTATAGCTAAAGAACTCTCCCATCCCTGGTGCCATTGGGCTTCCCAAGGAAGTTACTGCAAGGCTGTTTTTCAAAGACCAAACAGAGGCTGCAAACTCAAGAGCCATTGGCAGCCAGACAGCAACACAAAAGTGTGGGCAACACAGTGCGATGATGCAGGGGCCAGGTAGGGAACTGGGGGGTACAGGCCTCAACTAAAATCATTCAGATACAAATTGTTGGCCGGGCGCGGTGGCTCACGCCTGTAATCCTAGCACTTTGGGAGGCCGAGGCGGGCGGATCACGAGGTCAGGAGATCAAGACCATCCTGGCTAACACGGTGAAACCCCTTTTCTACTAAAAATACAAAAAAAAAATAGCTGGGCATGGTGGCGGGCGCCTGTAGTCCCAGCTACTCGGGAGGCTGAGGCAGGAGAATGGCGTGAACCTGGGAGGCGGAGCTTGCCGTGAGCTGAGATCGCGCCACTGCACTCCAGCCTGGGCGACTGAGCGAGACTCCGTTTCCCAAAACAAAAACAAACAGAGATACAAATTGTTCAAAAACTCTGCCAAAGGAGATACATCTGCAGCGGACATGCATTTGTTTCTCTCCTGCCCTTAGAAGGGCTCTCTCCTGGTCCAGTTCCTCAGTGTTCCTCCCACAGCAGCCAGCGACAAACAGGAAAAAGCATGGAGTGCGGGTCTAGGCCTAGCTTATTCACTTACTCCTTGCGTGATGTTGGGCTGACACTTGGCCTCTCTCTGCCTTGCTTTACCCATCTGCTAAATGGGCACACTACCCTCCTTATCCACTCTGAAACATGGCCCCAAGGAGGAAATGAGATAGTGTATTTTTAAAATTCATACCCTGCTTCATTCCACAATGCATTTGAGGCAGCTTCTAAAAATACCCGTGATAAAAAGAGGTAGAAATAAATAATATGTGAAATCACTTTGCAATTGTACTGTAAACTCATTTTCCTTATTGTCACTCGTAGCAGTGTGGAAGTGATAATAGATATATTTCCAGACTCATTTTCAATTCAACCTTGGCTTCAGGGCCTTCACTGAAACGCAGCTCGGGTGTGGGAAGCTCAGACCCTGAAGCGGGCCATCCACGTGGCCCTAGGGCCCAAGGGCTTGTTTTGCTGGAGGGGATTTGGGTGGCTGGGTGGTGGTCAGTCCTGAGACTTCAGCTCCTCTGGATAGAGGCTCTTCCAGCAGCTCTGTTATTATTAATGCCAAACCTCCCTGAGCATCCCCTTTGTGCCTGGACCTGCGCTGGAGGCTCAGCTGCGGAGAAGAAAATGACCAAGTCCCGTCCTACAGGGGTTCATAAGGAGGGTTAACGGAAGTGAAAGGCACATACTAGGCTTACTCTGACTTTGGAAAGTTGACTAATTCCTTTTTATTTCAATTCCCTGTCCATAAGATGGACATCATAACAACCCTCCTCCATCATAGCAATGCTGGAAGGATAAAATGAGACTGTGCTCTGATAAGAAAAATTGCTATGCAAATGCAAGAAATCACCATCTCTATTCAGTGCTGCTCTAAAGTGATTTCAAAAATAACAGAGCCATTAGGATTTGGGAGCCGACATGACAAGAGGGTTTGCCTTAAATATTCCACCATGGAGTTTTTCAGGGGTCTGTGCAGGACTAGGAACTCAGGCCACAAAGATGAGCCCTTCCCCCAGAGAAAATGGAATGTCTACCAATTTCGGAGGATGTGTTAAATATTTAATATGTGCCCAGCCCTGAAGTTGGCATTGTGGAGTGAGAAGGTGTTATGAGCTGAACTAGTTCCCTTCAAAATTCATATGTGGAAGCCCTGACACACACTACCTCATATGAGTGTATTTGTAGGAAGGGTATTTAAAGAGATGATTACATTAAAATGAGGTCATTAGGGTGGGCCCTAATCCAATCTGCATCTGCATAGTAATTTTTCTTATCAGAGCACAGTCTCATTTTATGCTTCTAGCATTGGCATGATGGAGAAAGAGGCGTTATGATGTCCATGTTACAGACGGAATTGAAATAGAAAGGAATTAGTCAACTTTCCCTAGTCGGTATGTGGCTTTCACTCCCAGTATCCTTTCTTGTAAGCCCCTGTAGGATGGGACTTGGTCATCTTCTTCTATGTTTTCTCTGGAGTTCTTATAAGAAGAGGAATTTGGACACATGAGGAGACACAAGGGGTGTGCATGCACAGAGGAAAGGCGATGTGAGGACACAGCAAGAAGGTGGCCATCTGCAAGCCAAGGAGAGAGGCCTCAGAGAAGCCTTGATCTCAGAATTCCAGCCTCCAGAACTGTGAGAATATATGTAAATTTCTGCATTTAAGCTACCCAGTTTACAGTACTTTGTCATGGAAGCTGTCTTGGTTTGTTTTCTGCTGCTATAACAGAATACCGCAGACCGGGTAATTTACAAAGAATAGAAGTTTATTTGTCTTATGGTTCTGGAGGCTGCAATACAAGAGCATGGTGCTGGCGTCTGGTGAGGGCTTTCATGCTGTGTCATCCCATGGAGGAAAGTGGAAGGCAAGAGAGGGTGAGAGTGAGCAAGACAGCAAGAGGTGGCCGAACTTACTTATGTAACAAACCCACTGTTGCAGTAATGAGCCCACTGTCTCAATAATGACATTAATCCATTCATGTGGGCTGTCAATGATCTCAGTGCTGAATACTACTATAATGACAATTACATTTCAATATGAGTTTTGGAGAGGACATTCAAACCATAGCAGCAGCCTGAGCAAACCAATACAGATTTGTACAGAAAAGTATGAGTAATTTGCTCCTTTAATAAATACTTATAAGGTACTATGGCATTACGTTAGGTACAAGAGATACAAGGATGAATGAGAAAGATATGGTTTCTGTTTTTAGGAAGCTTGAAGTGACCAATAGCGACATTGTAGCTGCCTTTGAGATAGGAAGATAGAACCAACACCCTGAGAAAATATGATGACATATCATTATGTGTGGATACAAAAAGTTTACTTTGAGAACAGGTGCCCCTCTATTTACAGTGGAGTTATTTCCCAATAAATCTGTTGTAAATTGAAAATATAATAAATCAAAAATACATTTAGGCCAGGAATGGTGGCTTGTACCTGTAATCCCAGTGCTTTGGGAGGCAGAGGTGGGAGCATCACTTGAACGGAGGAGTTCAAGAGCAGTCTAGGCAACACGGCAAGACCCCATCTCTACAAAAGTTAAAGGAAATTTAGCTAGGTATGTTGGCTTAGGCCTGTAGTCCCAGCTACTCAGGAGGCTGAGGTAGGAGGATCGCTTGAGTCCGGGGTCCTGGGCTGCGGTGAGCTATGATCGTGCCTCTGCACTCCAGTCTGGGTGACAAGAGCAAGACACTATCTCAAAAAAATGCACTTAATATACCTAACCTACCAAAAATCATAGCTTAGTCTAGCCTACCTTAAATGTGCCGAGAACACTTATATTAGCCTACAATTGGGCAAAGTTATCTAACATAAAGCCTATTTTATAACAAAGTGTTGAATATTTAATGTAATTTATTGAGTACTCTTCTGGAAGTGAACAACAGAATGGTTGCATGCATATTGGAAGTAGTTTCTACTGAAAATGTATCTCTTTTGCACCATTGTAAAGTTGAAAAATCGAAAGTTGAACCATCAGAAGTTTGAGACCCTCCGTAGTTCTGACTTCAAGTGGTGGAAATTCAGAGAAAATGAAAAGAAAAGAAAGCAAAAAGGGGAAGTTTTGTGGAGAGGAGGCTTGAATAATTAGGGTAGATGAAGAGCTGGGCTGCCTCGACCCTTTGCAGGGCAGTTATAGGACCAGCAAGAGGTCGTTTACCAGAGGCGCCCATCCCTTGGGACTCAGCTTCAGGTGACTGGCCAAGACAGGCTTCTCCCTGAGGGAACTGCCACCCTCTGGGGCTCAAACCTTCTGCCCTGCAGCCACTGGGGCTTGGCCGGCCCTTCTGTGGTTATTTGCTGTTGTTTCTCCAGGCAGATGGGAACTGCTGGCTGTTCATCAAGTTAGCAATTAACAAGTAATTCATTAGGCGCCTAATGAACAAATTATTAACCTGGCAAGTCATGTCCAGCCACTGACTGGGGAGAGAAATGGCTATTAATAAGGTCTTGGAGTGGCAGCTGCAGTTTAGTGGTTAAGGCACTGGACAGGACCACAGGAGATGTGGGCTCTGGAAGCTTGGGCCAAATTGCTTTACGACTCCCAGCCCTAGTTTGACTGCTCATGTAGTGGGGGTAACCAGACCCTATTAATGAGGGTAAATGAAATGTCAGAAACTGTGTGAATGCAGAGCATCAGATTGTATAAACTCCAAGGCCCCTTAGTTCTTATTCTGCATGACTCTACCTCCCCAAGCCACTGTAACATATACTGGGGCCATCCCATAACCCCTGTAATTGGTAAGTACTCAGTCGCTGCTTCAGCTCTTCCTGAACTGTGCAGAGGGCTGTGTAGCATAGGGAAAATATGTGTAATATGTCCCCTGCTCTCATGGAGCTTTCCATTTGGTTGGGGCTACCAGATGTTCATGCCCAGCAAACCAACTAGAGTATAAAGCAATTTATGATAGGGCCAAGAGCTGTAGAATTTCACAGAAGAAACAGAATTGTAGACTAGGATGGAGGGGAGGGGCTCACAGGAAGGTAGGAACTTAAAACATGACTTCATTGTGATTTCTTTTTATGAGAAAAATATTATGTGCTCATTCCCCCAGATCTCCAAATAGAGGAAATTGGAAAGAAAAAGATAAAGCTAATCTGTAATTTCATCACCCGGAGACAACTGCTGTTGACATTGCATTGTGTGTCTAAGGAGGACTTTGACAGGCGAGGTGGTGGGAGGATATTCTAGATGGGAGGCATGCCTTGAGTGAAGGCTCTGGGTTTGGGGAGAATGTTCGGTGGACACTGTTGGGGATGGATGTGTGGACCAGGCATGCTGAAATAGTGGTCCTGTTGCAGAATGGAATTGGAGGCTGGAGCAGGGGAGAAAGGGCAGTAGGGGCCATTCACCAATGAGGCCGGGGTGAAAGAGGGTCGGGAGAGCTTATGAGCCCAGAAGCCCCAGCCAGCAGGCCAGACACTCTGCTCTTCAATAACACTCATGACACAATGGAACTTATTGATGTCGCTGCCCCACTTAGCAGAAATCCTGCAAAAACCTCTGCAGGAAAAGCAGACAAATCTGAGGCTGTGCTCAAGCTGCCAAACAGAGCGTGGGGACAGAAGAAGAGGCAGGGTGGGCCCACCTCTGGTTGTTGTTAGGGGCTGCTTCAGGGGTGTGAGGAAGACTCCTCAGAGTAAGGCATCTGTCCTATTTTGTTCCCCACCCAGGAGTTGTGACCTCCCTTCAGAACTTTGCATCATCCCTAGGGCATATCTAATGCACCAGTTTGTTTTTTTTTTGTTTTTTTTTTTAGCAGAGAAGTTTATAGTTGACAAAACTCTTTTCTATAAGATAATTAAATAGATAATAGATATTTCTATTATTCCCGTTTTGCCGATGAGGAAATTGAAGTTCAGAGAGGTGAAGGGACTTACCTAAGGTTATGTAACTAGTGTCAGAACCAGGCTGAGAATCCAGATCTTGGAACTGTAAATTGTGTGTATGCATGTGTGTGTGTGTGTGTGTGTGTGTGTGTGCATGTATGTATGTAAAATTAGTGACTCCATTCCACTATAGGCAGCAGTATAGGTTTGTGGTAAAGCGAATGATTTTTGGAGACAGGGGACTGACTTCTGCATTCAATTTCCTGCTCTGATATGTTATGAGTTGAAGAATATGAAGAACCTTTGACTTGTTCTTTATTATCTTCATATATCAAATGGGGCTATTAGTATTATTTATCTTCCTGGGTTATTGTGAGGCTTAAATAATATAATACAGGTGATGTGGACTTTGCACACAGTAAGTGTTCACTTAATGTTAGCTATGGGCCATGCACAGTGGCTCACTCCTGTAATCCCAGTGCTTTGGGTCGCTGGGAGTTTCAGACTAGCCAGGGCAACATGGCAAGACCCTATCTCTAAAAAAGTAAAATAAATTAAGCAGGTGTGGTGGTTTGTGCCTGTAGTCCCAGCTACTTGGGAGGCTGAAGTGGGAGGATCATTTGCACATAGGAGTTGGAGATTACAGTGAGCTATGATTGTGCCACTGCACTCCAGCCTGGGTGACAGAGTGAGATCCTGTCTCTTCAAAAGAAAAAGTTAGCTATGATCATTACTGTGTTAACTCTGTGCTCATCTGAGTCATAGAAATAACTTGAGTCTTGTTGTTCCTCAGTTCTCTGCCATTGCCAGTCACTTTGTAGTTAGGAAGAATACATTTCCAGTCCTGTAGCCCAGGAATTGCTTGGCTCTGAGGGGACCAGACTCAGAGTTCCCTAAAGGACTCTCTGATTAGCCAAACACCCCAGTTCTGTGAAATGCAGACAGTTCTTTGTTCTCTGTGGCAGAGCTCTTGATGCTCACCAGACATTCCATGTTTCCTCATATCTTCTAGTCCCACTGTTGCTAGACAGGAGCATGTAATTGGTTCTGGCCAATGGGATGTGGGTGAAAGTGACATGTATTCTGGCCAGCTCTCTGCCCTTCAGTTGTCTCTCCTCTTGCCTCAATGACTGAAGAGGACTTGTGTTCTAGGTGTAGCAGCTGCAGGATGATAATGCACGAGTCAGCCTGGATCCCTGAGTGACCGTGTGGAGCAGAGGCCCCTGCCAAAGTACATTGAACATGTTGCATGAGGAATAAATAAACCTTTGCGGTGTTAACCCTCTGAGACTTTGCAGTAGTTTGTTGCTGCAGCAATAAACTTAGCTTAACCTAGCTTAGCTAATACAACCTATTTTTGTTGACCGAAGTCTGATATTTTACATGAATGCTTTGTACTGTACAAATCCCCACAGCCTATTATAGAGTAGGTTCACACCCATCATCTTTTTGGATATCTAGAACAACTATGTATATGGAAGTACCTCCTGGGAAGAGCTTAGCAAGTGTTATTTCCTTATGAAATGATTTCTCTAAAACCTCCATTTCTATGTATATGCATTATTCAGTCAATCCTTCTCCCCACTATACCATAATTCTACCACCATAGCTTCCAAACATTATTGCACTTTTTCATTTGTACATCTGCCTCCCCCTACTAGGCTGTATGCTTTTTGATCCTGTCTTATTGAAGACAGAAGGCCAGGCGTGGGGGCTCACACCTGTAATCCCAGCACTTTGGGAAGCCAAAGTGGGAGGATCGCTTGAGCCCAGGAGTTCTAGACCATCCTGGGCAACACAGAGAGACCTCATCTCTATAAAAAATTAAAAAATTAGCCGGACATGGTGGTGCACATCTGTAGTCCCAGCTACTTGGGAAGCTGAGGTGGGAGGATCACTTGAGCCTGGGAGGTCAAGGCTATAGTGACCCATGATTTAGCCACTGCACTCCAGCCTGGACAACAGAATGAGACCCTTTCTCAAAAGAAGAGGAAGAAGAAGAAGACAGAGGCAATGTGTCTATGTCAGTGCCTGGAACATAGTAGGTGCTTTAAGGCTGGTGGAGTGAGTCACCAGTCATGTGAAATAGGCAGGGCAGGTGTCATTGTCCCTGTTTTAACCAAGGCACAGCCAGATTTAGGGACTTTCCCAAAGCCAGGCAGCTAGAAAGTGGCAGAATCAGGGGTGAGCCCCGTCTCCTGAGTAATGTGCGAGGGCACTTTGTACAGGGTGAGGAGTGAGAAGGGTGAGACATTCTGGTTCCTTTTGCATTTCCAATCTGCAAACTGCCAGTCAGGAGTCCCACATGGTGGTGTCAGAAATGGAAGGACCAAACTAGAGCAAGGCAGCGTGCTGAGGAGCGGACGGGATGGAAGTTCCCTGGGGGAGGAGGCCTTGCCTGCCACACCCTCATCTGCAGGACAGAAAGGATGCCTTTCTCATTCTCCAGCACCCGAGTCCCATTCATGCTTCTGGGTCCTATCCAAGGGGCGTGCTGGATGGAGCACTGGGCGTGGACAGTTTGGCGAGGGCTGCGGGCAGCACCTTGTGAAGGGATGCCGCCTTCCTCAGGGCTGATGAGATGTGGAGGCCCTTCTGTAGCAGGGATTTGTTTTAGTGAGTTGTCAGATTCCAGCAGGGGCTGATGGTTTTTCTTGGCAGGATAAGTCTCTAAAAACCCACTTCCTTTACCCACTCTGCCTGGAGCACAATAGGTGTCTAATGCCTTGTTCCATTGAACCAAGGGGAAGCAGGAAAGAAGGCTCTCACTTGATCTCAAAAGGGCCAGGCCTATGAAGGGGGTGGGTGGGGTGGGTGGGGTGAGGAACCTGCTGGGTTCTCTTCCTGCCCCTCTTCTGCCTGCATGAATTTTCTGGGCCCATAACGGTGCCTGTCTCAGGCCCTTTGCTAACAGCAGCAGGGCTGTGTTGACTGCTGAGCAGATGACATTGTGTGTGGCTGGCTATTGGTTGCTCCTGTGCAGCCCATTTCAATGCTCCCAGAAGGCTCATTAGCAAGCACAACATTAGCCCTGTCCTCCTGCCTCCCAGTCCTGCAGCCACTGTGTTGGGAGGCCTGAGGGGTGACTCTCATTGAGAAATGAGACCACGAGTCCCATTCATATTCCTGGGTCTGATCCAAGGGGTGTGATGGATGGAGCATCAGGTGTGGACAGTTTGGCGAGGACTGTGGGCAGCACCTTGGGATGTTCTCCTTCCTCAGGGCTGATGGGATGTGGAGGCCCTTCTGCAGCAGGGATTTGTTTTAATGAGTTGTCAGATTCCAGCAGGGGCTGATTGTTTTTCTTGGCACAATAGGTCTCCTCCACAAATCTCCTTCCCTGTTCTCCTTAGGGAAGTGGGATGGTATCTGTCTTCTGAAAAATCTTGTGGATGCCCTCACTGGACTTCTTTTTTTTTTTTTTTTTTGACACCAGGTCTCACTCTGTGACCCAGGCTGGAGTGCAGGGGTGCACTCATAGCTCACTGCAGCCTGGAATTTTTGGGCTCAAGCCATCCTCTTGCTTCAGCCTCCCAAGTAGCTGAGACTACTGGTGTACAACACCACGCCTGGCTAATTATTTTTTATTTGTATAGAGATGGGGTCTCACCGTGTTGCCTGGGCTGGCCTCCAACTCCTGGGCTCAAGCCATCCTCCTGCCTTGGCCTCCCAAAATACTGGGATTACAGGCGTGAGCCACCATGGCTGGCCCCCTGTTGAACTCTTATGGTATGGCTGGGCATAACACAAGTCATCTGTGGTGTGAAGGATAGAGGGCTTCTCAGTTACCTCACAGAAGCCCAGATCCTACAACTGGAGGGGACTCAGAATTCATGGAACTAGGACTTGCAGATGGGTTAGATAAACTTGTGTGCCACTCCAAGCGACTGGTTGTGATGCCTAACGCATTGCATCCAGAAGCCTTACAATATCTGCCATGATTAGGAGAGGGAGTGGCGTGTGAATGCTGCAGATTCACCTTCTCGGATCTCATTCAAATTCCTTTTTCGTGGTGCGGGAGTTCTAAAGTTAGACATCTATTATTTTACATTAGGGCCTTGTCTCTCTGTTAACATTTCTTTAAAATGCATATGCCTCAGAGAGGAGTAACAAGAAGGTATTGAAGAATTCAGTGATTGATTGAGATTGATTGCAAAAATGGGCCATTATCAGTTTTGCTGGTTCTGGAAAAAGAGTTTACTACACCAGTAACTCTTAAAATAAATAGATGATCACTTCCCTTAGGATCCGTTTACAAGACTGTCTTCCAAGGTGGCAGCTGGCTGAAAGGAAATGGGAGAGCAGACTCATTTGGTGGAAGGTGAGGTTAGAAGCTGGAGATGTCCCCTAGCCAAAGTGCACCATGCAATGGGAACACCAGGGGGCCAGAGGTACAGAGGCTCTGACTACCTGTGGGAGGGCACAAGGCCAGCTCTACCTTTTCCTTTATTTAGAAGCCACCAGCTCTTGATCTCCCACCCCGAGAGCCTTGCTTGGTTTGTCTGCAGAGGACACAGGCTTCTTGTTGGGGGAGCCCTGTGTTTCCAGGACTGTTGCCAGCTCGTTATGGGCCATGCCTTCATCTCCCACTTCAGGGGGATTAGCTTGAGGACTGCAACCCCTTTGTTTCTTCAGACTAACAAGTGACTTGGTTCACTAGGCTGGAGGGTGGTGGGCAGGGGATCACACTGCTAACAGGTAAGAATAAGGCAGTTTATTGTGTGGACTGGGAATTCTAATGAGTCTGGCTCCCATGAATGGACTGAGTCTTTATAGAATTAGACTTTAAAGTCAAGAGCATAAGTCAATCTAGCTTGAATTAAAAAGAACTTAAATGTTTAAAAAATCCTCTGGTCAGGGCTGGGTGCAGTGGCTCATGCCTGTAATCCCAGCACTTTGGTAGGCCAACGGAGATCGAGACCACCTGGCTAACATGTGAAACCCCGTCTCTACTAAAAATACAAAAAATTTAGCTGGGTGTGGTGGCGGGCACCTGTAGTCCCAGCTACTCAGGAGGCTGAGACAGGAGAATGGCGTGAACCCAGGAGGCGGAGCTTACAGTGAGCCGCGATCGCGCCACTGCACTCCAGCCTGGGTGACAGAGCAAGACTCCGTCTCAAAAAAAAAAAAAATCCTCTGGTCAGATATATCAATTTTCACTAAAGAGAACGGAAGGGGAGGAAAGAGAAGCATTTATTGTGTGGGTCAGTTAGACCCTAGTGACTCCCAAACAAGTAGATAAGTGGTTTGAACTAGGCTAGTGATCCTGGGCCTCAGACCCTGTGCTAAGGTTATATTGGGTTAGAGGCATCATTTGCCCATTCATTCATTCTACACTCATTGGGCAGTTATCATGGGCCAGCCCCTAAGGCTATGGTGATGAAGAGGATGTAGGTCATGTTCGAACAGAGCTTTGAGTTGAGTGAAGAGTACAGATAAGAATGGGAGACTTCAACAGAGTGCAAGAAGAGCTAAGAGAAGCATACACAGCAGGACCTGGAGGCCTCAGTATTCTCACCTGTGAAAAGGGAAAGTTCCTTTTTACAAAGGAGCACCGAGTCACTGGAGTAGCAAAAGCTGTCCCAAGTAGTGCAGTGGGCAGGGGGTACTCATCCTGAAACAGATAGCGAAGGGTGGTCCCCAGAACTCACCATGGGATGTGGGCTGCCTGGAAAAGTCAACAGGTTCTTACGTCTGCAGGGCATTGCTTACATTTCAAAGCATAGTCATATTCAGTGTCTCATTTGATCATCCTTGTCCCTTGTGACAAGGGCAGGGTAGAGGACTGTTATCCTAGAGGAACTAAAGTCACATGGTCAGCTGGTGGCAGAGCGGGTGGCTGAATCCAAGTGTACCTTGCTGGCTCATTCCATGAGGTGAACTGGATGGAAGATGAATTTCGGGAGTTAGGTTGGAGCAGAGATGAGGAGAGCACTGAGATTCAACAGTACACACATCCCTCCCTCCCTCTTTCCCTCCCTCTCTTGCTTCCTTTTTCTTTCTTTCCACTAGGAAATCCTTCCTGAGGGCTGACCATGGGCATTGCGCTACCCCAGACTGTGCTGAACTCTTTTCTGGGCTGGCAGCATGTCTGGGGTCAAAGCTAGAACTCAAACCCTTGTCCAAGCCTCTTTCCATAATGCTGGGTGGGATGTTCTCCCAGGAGTCAGGTAGGAAGAATATGAAAGGCTGGGCCCATCCCAGGGCAAGGGAAGACTGCAGAATCCTGGGCTTCATTGCTTGGGGGAGTGCAGACTGCCTTTTGTAGTGGGGAGGCAGCAGGTGCCTGTACCCCTGGGAATGTCCCATCCTGGAGCCCACTGTGTGGACTGGACGTGATGGTGACTATGGTGACTTTTGCTGGGGAGTAGGAGGGGGAACTGTAGCTGCTCGTTGTGGCAAGGAGCAGCCTGCTGTTGTTGAAAGCAAACAGCATCCACAACAGCCAGCACTTCAGGGGCAGACATGCTGCTTTCTGCCCAAAGGCCACTGCAGTCTGAGGGACTTCCAGGATCCTCCCCATATACTGGATCCTTGTGGACATGGGAGTTATGGAAAGGCAAATTCCATATTGGCATAAGGAAAAACCACTCACCAGCCTGGGCAACATGGTGAAACCCCGTCTCTACAAAAGATACAAAAATTAGCTGGGCATGGAGGTGCACGCCTGTAGTAGACAAAGATGGAGATCCCATAGCCCATGGAGACCACCGTAAAGTGAGAGGCACGGGTGGCAAAGGCTTTACGTTGACCTTGGCCTGAGGGTATCTTCAGAATGGTGGAGATGATGTAAACATAGGTGACCACTGTGAGTGAGAGGGAGCTGATGAGCAGGACCAGGGAGCTGAGAAAGTCCAACAGCTCAATGGCACGAATGTCAACACAGGCCAGGTGTGCACCTCCACGCTCAACTAATTTTTGTATCTTTTGTAGAGACGGGAGGCTGAGGTGGGAGGATCACCTGAGCCTGGGGAGGCTGAAGCTGCAGTGAGCTATGATGGCACCGCTGCAATCCAGCCTGGGTGACAAAGTGAGACCATGTCAAAAAAAAAAAAAAAAAAAAAAAGCAAAGAAAGGAAAAAAAAAGAAAGAAAGGCCACTCAATTGTCCGCGTTATCTGTGATGTAGAATGCAGCCCCTGAGTCAAACAAGATCCTGTCACTGGAGATATTTTTAAGAAATTGTCTTTGTTCTTAAAATTAAAAAGTATTTTATTTTATTTTACTAAAGCATTTAAGCAAAAGCTAACTCACAAATAGGGAATTTGGGGTTAGTTAGGACACCTTGGCCCAGTCCTAGATCAGCAGCTTCCTGACTGTGTGATCGCTGTCACGTAGTGGGACAGATCACTTGATGCCTGGACTATACATCTTCCCATGTGAGAGATACTGATTTCAGAAAGCTCTTGGGAGGCCCAAGGGAGGCAAACTTGCAGAAAAAAGCACCGAAGGCTGTTGAAGGCCGTGCACTTGCTGGTAGTTCATTATTGTTGTCATGGAGGGCTCCTTCCAACCTACAGCAGGTGATGACTAAAATTCTACCATTAGCAATTCATTCTTTGAGGTTAAACATTGCTCTGCCACCCAGGGTTTCCTATTCTGGAAAGAGAGATAGGATACCAGGAAAGCAGGAGTGCATGGGGACAGTGGGGGGAAGGAGAGAAAGTTCTAGATGATGGGAAAAGAAGTTTCCAGAATGAAAGGTCAAGGTGAGAGGGTAGGCATACAGGTAAATGTGCTCATCTGGCCAAACTCTGGGTTGGGCCCAGGGAAGGCATGTGTCCTCAGAGAGAAACACTAGTTTCTGTTTTCTGGCCACAGCCCCTTGGGAGGTGCCCTCTGGGTCCTGCAGTCGGACCTGTGCCTTTTGAGTGACAGTCCAGCTCAGACCTAGCCCTTGGCTAAATAGATACTGCCTGTGGAGCTGTTGGGACTGAGAGCTCTCTGCGGGGGGCGTCAGGCAGCAGGAGCCGGCTCCCCAAGGCTTGGCAGGAGGAGTCATTGTCCCTCTTCCTTGATTCTGCCTTGACCTCGGGTACCTGGCAGATGGCCAGTGTCTTGAGAGATGAGGTGGGCGTGTGTGCCCAGAAGAGAAGCTGTGAGGTTTCTCCAGGCAGCTTTCATCTGCAAACACAGCACCAACTTCAGGACAAGGCTGGGGTGTAGCCAGTATAGTGCCAACTACAGAGGGAGTGCAGTGTCTCTGGGGCAGCAGGGGCAGACCAGACACCCAGCTAGGATATTTTAGGCTTAGGATAGCTCAACAGAAGGGTGGTTTACTAGCTTAGCTCCTGCTGCTATCGGGCAGCTGTGAAGGGGGAAGGCGAGGAATGAGGTTTCACAGTTTTCTCGAGAAGTCTGGGATTTCTGGTGAAACAGGAATTCAGAGAAACAGCCCTTCCCAGGTCTGTCTTGGATGACACAAAGACGATGCCAGATGACTTGAGTGCTTTTTCCTTGCCCTCCATGAGCCCCTATTGTGGGACAAAGCAGCAGAGAAGCCCAGGCCTGTAGTAGGTGGATGCCTGATTTCTGGCCTGTGAGAGAGGCCAAGTTGGAATTGGAAAGCCCACTGGATGAGTCCTTAGCTCTGCCACTTGCTGGCTATGTTGTAACCTTGGTCATGTCATGAGTGGTCTTCAAGAGTGAGTTTGTTCCCTGAGGCCAGGTGCGATGGCTCATGCCTGTACTCCCAGCACTTTGGGAGGCCGAGGTGGGTGGATCACCTGAGGCTGAGAGTTCGAGACCAGCCTAGCCAACATGGTGAAACCCTGTCTCTACTAAAAATACAAAAATTAGCCAGGCAAGGCAGCACACGCCTGTAATTCCACCTACTCGGGATGCTGAGGCATGAGAATCGCTTGAACCTGGGAGGTGGAGCTTGCAGTGAACTGAGATTGTGCCACAGCACTCCGGCCTAGGTGACAGACTGAGACTCTGTCTCAAATAAAAAAAATAAATAAATAAAAAGAAAAAGAAAAAAGAAAAAAGAAAAAAAAAAGACAATGTGTTTCAGTTTGTTGTCTGAGAAGGGAAATTAATTCTCTCACGCCCCCCTCCCAGGGATGTTGTAAGGACTTCAAGATCATGGATGTGGAAGATGCTTTGTACAGCCGGGAAGTACAATAGTCACATAAGGTGGTCTTGATGGCTTCCTGTCAGAGCAACTTCCCATCTGCTTCCACTGTCTACCCACTCTGTCCAACCCCCATGGGAGCTGCAGCAGCTGCAGGTTCCTCCCTCTCTAATGGGCTACCCTGGGGCTTACAGGACTCCCTGAGATGGGTGGGGCTGCAGAGAGGTCTGCGAGGCCCTGGGGAGAAGCTGGGTAAAACCAGAGCTCCACCTCCTGCCGGTGCCTACCTCTAAAGAGAATGATGAAGCACTGAGAACATTGACTGAAATCAATTAGAGAAATCAATGGCCCTGAGTGCAGTATGCATTTCTTCCCTCCTAGCCCAGTCCCACCCAGCCTGCCCCAGCAGCCCTGTTCATTCTTTGGGATCAGATGGTTTATTTAAATTCCTGCTGGTCTCCATTGCCAGACTAGTGTGCTCCTTCCAGGCTGGGACTCTGGAATCTGGAGTGTGGAGGGGATGTTGGCGAGGGGTCAACTTGCCAGTAGGAGGGAGGTAGGGGCTGGAAAAGCTCATGCATGACCCAGGCCCAGGGCACTTAGCTGGGCACCAAGCTGGGCACCTGACAGAATCCTTTCTAGGCTCTAGACTTGAACTCCAAAGCTTATGCCAGACAAGGTCCACAGTAAATATTTTATTTAGTTTTTAAATAAAAAATAAAGTGGTCAGCTGGGTGTGGTGGCTCACGCCTGTAATCCCAGCACTTTGGGAGGCCAAGGCGGGTGGATCACCTGAGGTCAAGAGTTCGAGACCAGCCTGGCCAACATGGTGAAACCTTGTCTCTACTAAAAATACAAAAATTAGCTGGGTGTGGTGGTGGGTGCCTGTAATCTCAGCTACTTGGGAGGCTGAGGTAGGCCAATCACTTGAACATGGGAGGCGGAGATTGTGGTAAGCCAAGATCACGCCACTGCACTCTAGCACTCCAGCCTGGGCGACAGAGTGAGACTCCGTTTCAAAAAAAAAAAAAAAAAAAAAAAAAAAGTCACTCTCAGGATAAGCTTAATTTTTTTAGAATAAAAAATAAAACAAGGTCCACAGTACAGATTTTAAAAGTAATTTCAGGCTGGGCACAGTGGCTCAGGCCTGTAATCCCAGCACTTTGCCAGGCTGAGGCAGGAGGATCACTTGAGGCTAGGAGTTCAAGACCAGCCTGGGTAACATATGGAGACCTCATCTCTGCTAAGTAAATAAATAAGCCAGGTGCAGGCCTGTAGTCTCAGCAACTAGGGAGGCTGAGGGGCGAGGATGACTTGAGCCCAGGAAGTCAAGGCCACAGTGAGCTATGATTGCACCACTGAACTCCAACCTGGGTGACAGAGCGAGACTGTCTCAAAAAAAAAAAAAAAAACTTTGATTCTCATGATTTTTTTCACACTATTTGTGGATAGGGAAGGGAGGAAGAGGATATCTTAGGTGTTGTGAAGGGGAATATGAACATGTGTGGGCCTGGAGAGCCGCCACTTTTCTTGTCCGATACAAGGCACAGAATTGACCAGTTGGGGGTGCTGGATCCTGACTGCCCGAGTTTGAATCCAGATTCTGCCACTTAAAATATGACCTTGGGCAGTTGAATCACTTCTCTTGCCTCTCCTCTCTCACTTGAAAATGAGGCTATTAATAGTACCTAATAATAGCCATCGAGTTATTATAGGAATTTGAAGGAGTATTAACTTGTATCTAGCCATAAATTTGGCTACTTTAATTATTATTTTTCCAAGGACAAAGGCTGAGCCGCTAGGCTGGTCACTTTGTCTTGGCCTGGCGACTCTCCCTGTGTTCCAGCATCATGCCAATTCATCCTTACACTGCCTCTGACAACCCTCTCCCTCTGTCCACGCCCACTGCCACTCCCTGTTGGACCCTCATTACCTCTGCCTGGGACTGTTACAATCACCTCCTAATTGGCCCCTGGTCTCCATCCCTCACACAGTCATCAGATCAATCTTCCTAAAACATTATTCTCATCATGTCAGTTGCCTGCTCAAAAACCTTCAGCGGCTCCTGGTGCATGAATCTGAAGACTGCAAGGCTTGGTTCTTCTCCACTTGAGCACCCCAATTGGACCCTCTAGTTCTTCCCCAACCTGTGCACTTGGCTCCTCCCACCCACTGGATTGTTCCTTTCCTGAGAACTTTCTCTTTTTTTTTTGAGGCAGGGTCTCGCTCTGTTGCGCAGGCTGGAGTGCAGTGGTGCCATCTCGACTCACCGCAACCTCTCCCTCCCAGGTTCACGTGGTTCTCCTGCCTCAGGCACTCGAGTAGCTGGGACTACAGGTGTGCGCCACCGCACCTGGATATGTTTTTTGTATTTTTTGCAGAAACGGGGTTTCACCATGTTGGTCAGGCTGGTCTGGAACTCCCGACCTCAGGTGATCTGCCCGCCTCTGCCTCCCAGAGTGCTGGGATTATAGGCATGAGCCACCACACCCAGCCTCCTGAGAACTTTCTAATCACTGTGCTCTTGCCTCTGCTGTTTGCTCACCTGGAGTGTCCTCCTCTGTGCTCAGCCAAATTCTACCCATCCTTCCAGCTCCAGCTTGAATCCTACCCCTAGCAAGTCCTCTCTGATTGCACTCCTGAAATCCAGTGGTACCAACTCTTCCTTTCTCCCACTGTGCCTTTGTTTTTTTCAGTATCTTCTCATAGCTACACGCTTGACTCTATAAATGCTTTCAGGGGAGGGGCAGTCTTGCTGTATTCCCCACAGCCGTTGGCCCTGCTGGGGCCAGAGAAGTCGTTCAATAAGTCTGTGCTGATGGATTGATTGTGGGGTGCCCTGGATCAGGCTCTGTCCCATGGCAGAGGACACTTCCACCTTGCCAGTTCTGTGGCTCCTGACAGTATTAGCTGGATGTGAGGCACCTTCTTTTCACTCCTGGTCGATTTTTATCTCTGGGGTCAGGGAACCCTCAGCCTTCTTCCCTTCACAAAGGAATAAGATTGTGGTCAGTGAGCAGTGTGGCCCAGGCCTAGGTGCGCATGTGTGCGTGTGTTGGGGTGGGGCTGCAACGCCCTCCCCTCCACTGGTCCTTCTTCCCTCTCCTGCTATCCAGAGAACCCACTCCATAAGCAGAGAGGACTAGAGAGATAAGAGAAAGGGAAGGAATGGAAGGATTCGGTGTTGCCTTTCCCTCCCCATGCAGATTTGGACTCTAGGATCTGTGATGGGGAGGGGCTGTGGGCAGGAGGCTCAGCTGCTGGTGAACTCAGGAGCACTGGAATGAGCCAGGAAGGCTGTAAAAGGACTCAGGCACTACGGAATGTGTGGAAGTCTGTTGGTGAGCCTAGGGCTTGCCTCCTACCTGCTAGAGACTTCACATTTTCCTATGACTACCTCTTACGACAGCTGCTTAATAGTCTCTGTTGCCCTTGAACCCCTGTAGCTTTTTGTTTCTGCTTCTCATTTGCCCCTTAGGTTTTATTGCCTTGTCATAGGTCCCTAATTCTTCTTCTAGAACCCAGAGCAAAGCAGTAAACAACTTTATATGGGCCAGGCATTGTACTAGCCGCTTTGTGTAGTATCTTATGTAATTTCTACAACGTTGGTTTATCTTTTTTAATCCCCATTTTATAGATGAGATGACTGAGGTTCAGAAGTCCTCTTATCTATAAGGTGTTATAGTACATGTTCAACTGTGTTTCCTCTGTAGATCCCGGCACAAGGCAGGGGGTCTTCCTCATGGCAGATGCTCAGGAAATAAGGGATGATGCCATTTTTAAGAGCAGTTTGGGTTGAGTGTTGGGGTGGGCAGAGGGTGGGGTGTCATGGGATACGTCTGTATAGGCAGTAGGTAAGAGAGGGTCCAAGGTCAGAGTGCCCTGCAGTCACACAAGCTGAATGCTGGTGGTGACTGATTGGTGTTCTCTACTGTTCTTGGGATGGCTGGGTGGTCTTGGGTCGCAGAAGGGCCACTTACCTCCTGCTACCGGAATCCTCTTTCCTACTCCCGTGGGAGCTCAGTGAGAACCATCCCCAGGGCTTCATTGCTGCTTTCTCAGCCCCATTTTCTGGATAGGTGGGAGGGGAGAACTACATATATGATTCAGAGAATTTCTCTCATTATGCTCAAATGAAGTTAAAAGAAAGTGAAATTCTTTTTTGTGGGGAAGGGGAGAGGGATATGCTGAGCAGAAATTCTGGAGTTTGGAGCAGGGTCCTTGGAAGGGGGAAGGCCTGCGTGAGATTCCGAAATGGGTGGTGGTGGGGAGTATTTGGACAACCAGAAGACCCTGGAAGTCGAGGAGATGAGAGGGGGGACATTCATTTAGGCCAGGCTCCCAGCCTCGGGCCTCCAGGCCAAGCCTGCCTGGCAGTGTAATTCCTGTCAAGTTTTATCTTTTAACCTACACTTATCCAAAGCCGGTTCCTTATGCTCCCCAATTTTTGGAAAAAAAGCCAAGAGACCTTGTCAGATGCGAAGTCACTTCCTAGAACATGAGAGGCTTGGAGGAATGACAGGGAGGGCAGGCCTGAAGGGGGCTTTCCCCAACTCCAATCCCTAAGCCCTCTGTCCCAGACTCGTCACTACCCAGCTAGGGCCTAGGCTCGAAGCAGGCACAACTGGATGGCTGGGGGAGAAGATGGAGGGAGGAAGGTCGATGCCCCAGGACGGACCACAGGAAAGAGGCGTTCACAGGAGACTCGCTCTCTGTGCTTCCAAGGCCGGGAGCAGCCGCCTTCCCGCCTAAATCCTCAAGATGGAAGTTGCTCCCTCTAGCTTTCCCAATAGCTAAGGCTGCTGGTTTTGTTAGTGACCCCTCCCTTCTCGTCCAAGTCGATTTCTAGCATTTACTGGATTCCAGAGTCTTGTTATTTAAGAATGCATCTTAAACGGTACTATCAAATTCATGTTACGTGCAGCCCAGATTGTTTTGGGCAGCACGAAAAGTTTCTGAGGCGCTGCGTGTACCCCACCCCAGGACACCGTGTGTGCGCGCCGAGCTGAGTGCGAGGAACGTGGCGCGAGGGCCGGGGGATGCCGGGCTGCGTGGGTGTGAGCCCTCGCGCGACCGCGACCCCGCGCCTCTCCCGCTCTCGCCGGAACGTGACCGCAGCCGCACCTCTCCTCCAGCCCTTTCCCAGCCAGACGCTTCCTTTTAGGTCCTTCTGGGCGTTTATTGTAAATTCTGCGACTAAAACACGCCGGTGAGCCCGGCCCACCGACAGATGGATCAATCGCCCCCTTCCCGGCTAGGGGAGGAGGAACCCCCCAACCCCGGAGCCTAGGGAGCCGGGAGCTGCCTCGGGACGAGCTCCTCGGAGCCCAGCCGGCTGCGGAGCCCCGGCCCGGGTCGGTCTCGGGGCCCTCCTGCCGGGGTGGGGTGCGAGCCCCTGCCCGATTCCTCTGGGGCGGTTCAGGCAGGTTTGCCGGCCTCCGAGGAGGTGGTCAGGGCGCCCTGGCCCAGCAGGCTTCTTCCCGAGCCGGGGGGAGGGGAGACCGGCTGGGGAAGGGGCATCTCGAAGGGGTGGAGGCCGGGGCGGGCGGGAGGCAAGCGCGCCGCGGGCGTGAGGGCAAAGTTCCCGAGGTCCGCGCGGAGAGCACACGTGTATGTGCGCGCGGGGCTAGGCCGGGGCCGGCAGGATGCGTTGGGTTCGGGGGCGCGCGGGGCCGGCGCCGAAGGGGATAATTCCTTTCCCTGGCACCATCGGGGAGACGCTTTGTCGGCCTCGGCTCCTGGGCGCAGGGACGCCTTAGCCCACGGAGGGTGGAGCCCCCCTCAGACCCGGGCCACCGGCTGGGGTTTTTCTAACGCCCTGCCCCCCGAGCCCCCGGATGGCTCGGGCCCCACGGACTCCGCGCCCTCCAGCCTCAGCTCAGCTCCCCAGGCTTCCCAGACCCAGCGGCGCAGGGGGCGGGGGCAGGGGCAGTGGGGGTTGGAGGGCGCAGCCGGTCCCCAGGGTGGGGAGAGCTGCGGGGGGAGGAGGAGGAGGGTGCCGACGCTTGAGTGGGTTCGAGCCCGAGCCGTAGCCGGGGGAGCCAGTCAGTTTCCGGCCAAGGCAGCAGGTCAGTCCCAGGAAGGGCGGGCGATTGAGCCGAGGGAGCCGGCGGCTGGGCTCTCCTCTCGGCCCGCGATCCCCGGCGCCGCCGCCGCCGCCACCGCCACCGCCACCGCCTTCGCCTTGTCGCCGCCGCCGCTGCAGAGCATCGTAGCTCCGCCGCGCTCCCGCGCCCCGCGCCCCGCGCCGCCAGCCGCCTGGGAGCCCGAGCGCCGAGCCCGGGGCGGAGGAGAGGGGCGCTGGCGCGAGAGCCCGGGCGAGGGAGCCGCGAAGGGAGAAGGGGGCGGGCGGAGGGAGGAGCAGGGAGAGTGGGAGAAGGGGGAGGGAGAGAGGAGAGCGAGGGAGAGCTGGAGAGAGCGAGAGCAAAGAGCGAGCGAGGGAGAGGAGAGAGAGAGAGAGGAGAGAGAAAGACACACGCACGCAGAGACACACGGTCACTGGAATTCCATTAGAAAAAAGTGAGCCGAGCAAGGGTTAGCGGGAGAAGATTTTTTTGAATCTTGTCTTCGTCTTGGTGCGAAAGAAGCGACTCCAGTCTCTCGTCCTCGAAGCTCCGACTGGATTGTTCTTGGGCGCTGACACCCGTCTGTGGATTTCTTTTCTATTTGCATTTTATTCCGACCCCCTCCCTCGCCGCTTCCTTCCAGCCCTTCACTCGCAAATCGCCTCTCTCCCCACCTCCCCAGGCCCCTCCTGGGAAGCGCAGGGGAATTGGACCCGCGGGGACTCACGCCTTCCCGGACGATTGGAGGGGAGGGCTGACCCCAGGACTGGGCTGTTGGCTTAGAAAGCCGATACACAGATACGCGTATATTTGATTGTAGCGGGCAAGGGGGGCGTCGAGAGGCAGCAGCCCATCGCCCGCCTCTCACCCCACCCCCTCCAGCCAGAGGCGAGAATCGCAGGACTCGGGATCTTCATCGGGTGGACTAGCTGGGATCTCCGCATTGGATTTGGGGCTGATTACCACTGCTTGCCTATTATTATTGTTGTTGTTACTACTATTATTTTTTTTTACCCAAGGGAGAAAGACAAAAAAACGGTGGGATTTATTTAACATGATCTTGGCAAACGTCTTCTGCCTCTTCTTCTTTCTAGGTGAGTACCTGCGGGCGGCGAGCTCGAGGGGGAGGCGAGAAGCCGGGGAGGCGGGGGGCGAGCGGAGCGCCGGTGGGGGGCTGGCGGGAGGTCGGCGGGGAGAGCGCGCCGCGGAGCTAGCCGGGCCCGGTGCTGGCGAACCGAGCGGGGCCGGGCGGCAGGGACGCGGACGAGGGACCGGAGCCGCGGCTGGCTGGCGACGCAGGGGGATCGGGAGGGAGACTCAACATCCGAACCAGCCCCGCAGACACTGTGCACGCACACACACACCCGCGCTCGCTCACACGCCAGTATAGCGCGCATCTCCCCCGAAATAATGGGTTCGAATTGCGGCAACTTAAGAAAAAAAAATATCCAACTCTTGATCTGCAAGAAGGGAGGGAGAGAGAGGCTCCTAGGCGGGGAGAGAACAGTCCTGCGGGGTCCGCCTTTCCTGGTCTGCTCCCCGAGTCGGTCGTGGTGGAGGGCGCGGGTTTCTCCGGCGGCTCCCGCTTGGACATCGCGCGGGGAGCGCTGGCAGTCACTCCCCACCTGCCAGCCGCGCCTGGCAAACGGAGCCCGCGTCCCCACGCCCTGAGCCCCTAACCGGCGGCTCCACTCCCCGGAACACTTTTCAAGTTTCTCCCCACCGAGCCCCGAGCCAGATGGGTGGGCGGGAGCGGAGGGTTGTGAGCAGCCGTTCCCGGCCTTCCCTCCTCCACCTCTGGGGGCCGCGGACCCCCGTGGCTGGTGGGAAGAGGCGGGAGGGAGGCCAAAGTTTGCTTTCTCCGTTGAAGAGGGTGGGAGGCGAGGGAGGAAAAACGGGTCTGAACAAAGACCACTGCTCCTTCTGCAAACCCCCCCCACTGCCCCCCCCGCCGCCTCCAAGACAGGGAGGAGAGGCTGCCTGGCGCCACTGAGCCCCACGCAGTTTCTTTTCCACACAGAATTCCCAGCTCCTCTCTCCCTTTAAAGCTAGGTGAAATCGCAGCTGCTTGGGAAATGGCAATCTCCGGAGGGAGGTGAGGAAAGGCGGTTGTTTGCAAGGCTGTGCACCACCGGGAGTCCCAGGCAGGGCTGCTGCCAGGGAGTAGACGCTCCCATAGAGGGAGCCGGGTAACTACTGTGTATGTGTGTGTGTGTGTGAGTGTGTTTGTAAGGAGCACACGTCTGCTTCAGTGAGGGTGTAGTTCTACCACCTTGGCTTGCTGTGTAGCCAGTGTTGAGCCAGGCTGCCCAGCGGGGTCATGATCTCACCCTCTCCCTCCTGCAGTAGGGGATCTGGGAAGGCCACGAGTGGGGAGGTAGGAGCTGGTTACAGGAGGATGTGCGTGGTCTAAGAAGTGCTCGCCAGACTAGGATAGGGGACCGGAGTCATTGGGTGTCCACACAGGCTCTGGACTCTCTGCCTGTCCCCTCTGCTTCCCGCCAGGTGCGAGTCCCCAAGGGGGCAAGTCCCTGCTCTAGGGTGTGGCCTCAGAGGTCCTACCTCCCTCAGCCAGAGGCAGCTTCTCTCTGGGGTGGGAGGGGCTCCTCTAGGAAGCTGGAAGTTGCTCTGGGCCCGCTGTGATCCCGAAGCCCTTCCTGTCAACCCTGGCAAGTGGACTCTCATTCTGAAGGGGCTACTATAAAATCTGACCTTTTTCTCCCACTGCTAGCTTGAAAACCCAGCCTTCTGGGTCCAAGCATGATCAGGGCCAAGGTGAAAAAAAAATTGTATTTCAGGCAAAACAGCCAGATTGCCTACTGCTGAGCTGCATACCCCAGCATGGGCAGGGCTCCCAGGTGTGGGCACCATCTGTGGTCGGGGGCTGGAGAAGAGCAGTGTGGGCCCCTGGTCATTGCAGGCAGGCTTTCTCCAGCCGGGCAGGCTAAGGAGTCCACCTTTCTCCTTTTCAGAAGTGGCTGGGGTTCCTGCTCGTGGTGGGTGTGTATGTGTGTGCATGGGAGATGACCAGAGAGGCCCAACCCAATGTCTGCAACCCTGGAGGCTGAGTGTTGAGAGGCGGGGGTGAGAGCAGAAGAGCAGCAGGCTCAGCATCCCCTTGCTCCACAGCCCTTCAGTTTCCTTCCCTCGAGAAGTCCCCTTCTAAAGCTGGGCTGAGTGGAGTGACCACAGATACTGAAAGGCTTTGGGTTAGGCCAGTGGAAAGGAAGGGATGGGTTGGTGTTTAGGAAACTTCAGCCCTGGGGCCCTTTTCCTGGCAGGAAGCTGGTTGAAAATCCCACTGGGTGGGTGGGTGGAGGGTCGGGGGAGGTTTTTCTGGGGCTTGAGACTTGGTGGGCAATTTCAGCTGGGGGCAAAGGCCTTTGGTGTGCCCCTACTGAGATTCTGAGTGAGGTCTGGGCTGGATAACCCATGGTGGAGAGAGAGGCCTTTCTTGCCCAGTATCTTGACCTCCAGTGCTGACCCAGGGAGAGAAGGAGAAGGGGAAAGTGACTCGGGTGGGGGTGTTGGGCTGGCCAGAGGGGGCCACTTCCGACTGACTTTCTAGCACACATTCTAGCTCTGGTGGGATGTTGGATGCAGTAGGGCAATTGTAGCCCTGTGTCGCTTCTCCACCCCCCTCTACCCCTGTGTCTCTAGCAGCTACTCCCTGTGTCTTGATGGATCAAAGTTTTCTCCTAATTTAGGATTTGGAAACATCACCAGGACACCCCCTGCCCTTCACTCTCTTAGGATTCTTAGCTAAAGGCTGCAGGCTGCAGGGATTCCTTTCTCTGGCTGGGCTTGATTGGTTCTGGGGGTCATGGAATGAACTAGAAGAGTCAAGGATGGTTTGGTGAATGGATGCCCCGGCCCTTCGCAGAGTGTGTCTGTTGCCTGGCCACACGTGCCAGGTGGCAGGATGGGGGAAGCCCTCAGTTCTGGCACGGGAGCCTCCCTAAGATTGTGTAAGGATCATCCTGTGGGGCTCTAGGCCCAACTGTAGGACAAGCAAAAAAAGCGTCCTTATGCCCTGAATCCCCTGGGCTAATCTTCTGACCTTTAAGCACGCGGTGAATTCTGTGCCTACAGAAGGCTAAGGAAGCCAGGAAGTTCCATTTCCAGGCCCCCATGACAGTGCAGCCTTCAGTTCAGTCAAGGTGGGAGGGCATTAGCCTATGGGGAGGCGGGGTGGTTAAGTCAGTGGAGGGCCCAGGGTTATATTCTTCCAGAGGCTCCCACGGGCTGGCTGGGGGCCGCAGGTACAGGCGGGGCCGTGTCAACTCAGCTGCTCTTGGGGGGCCCGGCTGTACGCGGGTCCTGCTCAGGGAGGTAGGAATCTGCTGAAGCCGGGGAAGAAAGACGCTGCCTCAGCTTGTGTGGAGGACAGCTCTCCAGCCAGTGCCGGGCCTCAAACTCCGGTCTGATTTCTTCTCTGGTCTTGTCTCAGCCTGGCCACATCCATCAGCCTTCCTGTTCTGTGGCAGAGGTCTGGTCAGTGGGAGAAGGGCACGTCTTTTGCTCTGGGCCCCGAAGAAGCCTTCTGTACCCCAGGCCCATCCCTGCTGTTCTTCTCTGTTGTCCCCTAGGGATGGGTCTCCTGGCTGGTCCCACCGGGAGTGGATGGATTCCTGTTCTCTGGGGGCTCTCGGGAGCGAAGGCCCGCTGTGCAGCGCGCTGCCTTTAGGTGTCGCTGTCTCCCTGCGGTAGCGCTCCCCTGAGCAGGGCCTCCCGGGGGATGGCCTGAGAGTGGCTGTTCTGGGTAGGGATGGGGAATTCTGCGGTATTGAGGAGGGGACTTCTGGCCTAGGATTTTATTATGTTCTGAGGCGAGATGGAGTCGAGGAAGCCTCCCAAATTACTCTTTCGGTCCAGGAAAGGGCAGTCATGGCTCTGGGCCATGGTGCGGGCTTTTCCTGGTGGCAGGATCTCGAGTTAGGGGCTTATCAGAGGACAGGGGGACTGGGAAGACGATGTCTGTGTCTGGAGGAAACCATTTTAGGAGCTTGGCTTTGAAAGGATCAGGCGAGCCTGTCCCTGCCGTTCACCTACCTCTCTTTTTCCCTGTCCCCTCCCTCCTGAGGCACTGTGGGTGTGGACATGGGGGCCAGGATGGGAAGGTGGCCTGATGGGGGATTGCACATTGGTGGAGGAGCAAGGTTCCATTTGCAAGGCTGGGGTCCGAGGAGGGGAGCTTTTCCCTTTTGCAATTATTTGGCTTTTGGAAGGAAGAACAAAATAAGAGATAGAGGGGAAGGGAGTTTCAGAGGAGGGTGGAGAGGAAAGAAAGAGAGGAGCTGAGAGAGAAAAAAACAAGGCCATTGAAAGACAAGAGGTAAAAGGTGATGAAGAAACACACCTCTTGGGAGGCCATCAGCAAGAGAAGCGTAAGATATAGCCAGGTGCAAGCAGAGCTAGAGTGGGGAGGAGAGAGCAGGGGGCGCGGGGGGCATGGATGCTCCCCAGGCTTGCCAAAAGCATTTTCTATTGGAGGGGGCCGGGGCGGAACTTGTCTCTCGGAAGAGGAGAGTTCAGGTCTCCGTCTGGTGTGAAGTTGGACTAGAAGGTGTGGAGGGGTGAGGGGGGAAAGGGGTAGCTCCTCCTTCCTGGGCTCGCCTGGACGGTAGAGTTAGGCTCATCTCTCCCTGTCTTGTCGTAAAGTCAGAATGAGAGTCAGAGTGAGTACACTGGGAATCGGAGGGGGTGTTTCCACCGCTATGTGTGACCTTGAGTTGTCATCACCCTTCTTTGGGCCTCAGTTTCCCTAGGGTAAAATGTGGGGTTGGGCTCTATGGTGTCTATAAGGTCCTAACAGGCAATGACAACGAAATGACTTCGCACTGCATCCAAGGTTTAGTGCAGCGCCATGGATGGGCCTCTGGCTGGAGCTGGGGTTTATAGGAGGCCTGGGTGGTATGCAAGTGAGATGTTCCCCACTCCCTGCACCCCCCAGCAAGCCATGCAGCCCCCAGCTCTCTGCTGAGGCTGTGACATTCTCCTCTGGGCTCCTGACGTCTTAGACTGAGGTCTTGAGCCGGGACCTTCCTGGCTTTATTGTGCTGTGCTCCTAGGCCCAGGGCCGCTGCTGAGGAGGAATGGAGTGCAAAGGGAGAAAACTTGCTCCTACATCCAGGGGAGGATGATGCCTGAGTTCTCCCTGGGGTATGAGGAGGGCTGTCCCACAGAGTCGCCTTGGTGTGCTTTGGCGAAATGGGTGTGACGTTCCCAGCAGGGCCCAAGCCCCCAGGCCTGCATCTTGGGTGGGAGATTGTGGCGGCCGTCATTCATGCTTGTCTTCCCTCCCCACCACCCAGACGAGACCCTCCGCTCTTTGGCCAGCCCTTCCTCCCTGCAGGGCCCCGAGCTCCACGGCTGGCGCCCCCCAGTGGACTGTGTCCGGGCCAATGAGCTGTGTGCCGCCGAATCCAACTGCAGCTCTCGCTACCGCACTCTGCGGCAGTGCCTGGCAGGCCGCGACCGCAACACCATGCTGGCCAACAAGGAGTGCCAGGCGGCCTTGGAGGTCTTGCAGGAGAGCCCGCTGTACGACTGCCGCTGCAAGCGGGGCATGAAGAAGGAGCTGCAGTGTCTGCAGATCTACTGGAGCATCCACCTGGGGCTGACCGAGGGTAAGCCTGGGCGGGGCTTGCCCAAGGGGAGGGGGTGTGGCGCAGGCAGAGAGGACGTGTGGCGGGCCAGGGGTTCAGGAGGGAGGACTAGGTGGTGGCGCAAACTGGCCAGCTCTCTATGTCTACCTGCTAGGGGAACCTAGAACCCAGAGAAGTCGCCGCCCCACCTAGGAGGGTGGCATTGTTTGGAAAAGGCCAGGAGAGACAAAGAGGAGGCAGAAGCAACAGCTGGAGGAGGAGAGAGGGAGGTGGTGGGAGGAGGAGAACAGGCGCTGGAGGAAGGGGGGTGAGTGGGGTGGGGGAGGTGAGCAGGGGTTGGGTAGGAGCAAGACCACGTGATTCAAGCAAGGACGGTGTGAAGTGGTTCCAAGAGAAGGTGAGGCAAGAGTGACCAGGCAGATGGAGAAGTGAGAACCAGGAGAGAGAAGGGGCAGGCTGGGTGCAGGCTGAGAAACCAGCCACTTCCGCTGCCACGGCTGCTGCCCTGCTATGGCTGCTGCCCTGCCCCAGGGCTGATCCCAGAGCTGGCTGCCCCTACTCTGTCCTTCTGGCTCCTGCCTCCCTGCTTCCAGGACACCAGCCCTTCATGTGGCTTCTGGACCCCATGGCTGACCTATCACCTTCTACAGGGCTTGGGGCAGTGTGCAGGCAGCAGGCCCCACATCCCTTGGCAAACCAGCCTCCGAGTCACAAAGTAGAACCTATAAGTCCCCCCGCCAATAACACACCTTCACATCCCCTCCCCCTCCAGACCTGGGTGTGGAGGATTTGCATCTGTTTAGGAGGTGGGCCACTGTAACCAGATGTTCATTTATTAATTGAATGCATGTTTATTGAGAGCGTACTGTCTGCTACACTCTAGGTGTTGTAGGAACAGTTGAGGGCAAGCTGATGCAGCCTCTGCCCTCCTGAAGCCGAGTCTGGGGAGGTGCGGATAAATAAGGGGGCTTCTGTCATTTGATGGTGTAAGTGCTGTGAGAGGGAAGACACAGGGTGCGATGGTAGCAGCTTGGAGGGGGCATCCACGTCTTTGCTGTAAAATCTAAAGCGTCTTCCTGGAAGAGACAGGCTCCAAGCTGGGGCTGAAGGGTGAGTCAGAGTCACGAAATGGAACATAGGTGAAGGGAGGCAGGAAGAGTGTGGGAGGTGGAGGGAACAGCATGGAAAGGCCCACTGTGAGAATGGAACCTGTTTACAGAGCTGCAAGTGGCTTAGAGTGGTGGTGGGTGGCAGGTGGTGTGTCGTGGGTGGTGGTGGAAGTGGGGAGGAGAATTAGGGGCACAGGGAGGGATCCCTGAAGGGTTTTAAGGGCGATGATCAGATCTGTGCTTCAGCAAAATGCTTCTGTGGTTCCAGTGGAGAGAGTAGATTAGAGGACTGTCCAGAAGCTGCTGCTGTGATACAGGCCAGGAACAGTTGTGGCGGAACCAGGACAGTGGCAAGGAAGGAAAAATGGGTCTAAGAGCTATTTATTTGTGTATTTATTATTTTTATTGGGGTCTCACTAGGTTGCGCAGGCTGGTCCCAAACTCCTGGGCTCAAGCCATCGGCCCGCCTCGGCCTCCCTAAGTGTTGGGATTACAGGAGTGAGCTACCACACCCAGCTAATTTTTAAATATTTTTTTGGTAGAGATGGGGTCTCGTTATGTTGCACAGGCCTATCTCAAACTCCCGGGCTCAAGCAGTACTCCCACCTTGGTTTCCCAAAGTTCTGGGCTTACAGGTATGAGCCACTGCCCCCGGCCCTCTGAGAGCTATTTAGAAGAGAGAATCCACAGGTCTTGGTGACTGATGGGAGAGGAGAAGGGGAGGGGAGGGAGGAGTCAAGAAGGGCACCCAGTTTCCTGTCTTAGGCAGCTGAGCAGATGATGGAGGCCTCAGAAGAATCAGGCCAGTCTTAGAGTGGAGAGGGGAGGGCAGGGGGATGGGGAATCTGTTTTGGGGCCCATGGCTCTCATTGACCACACCCTGCAGATGTGCAGGTCTAGAGTCGAGGGAGGAAGTGGGTCTGAGCGAGACTGAGGAAGGGACATGAGCCTGCAGGTAGAAACCAGGGCCAAGGGGGTGTGCATGACCGCAGTGAGAGGAGGGCGGTAACAGACCCCGGAGACCATGGTATTTAAGGATGTGGGGAAGGGAGCCTGCAGGGAGCTGAGAAGGTGCTGGGGAGAGGTGGGAGGAACAGCAGGAAAACAAGGTAGGGTTCATCCCAGAGGAGAGGACCCTCAACAGGGTCAGATGCCTTAGGGTAAGCTGAGGCTGAGGCTCTTAGCTTCTTAGACACCTGCTGTGTGCCTCAGAGGGTGACACACTGGATTAGCCATGCTCCCCGTGCCGGCCATCGGCCATCGTATGGGGCAGGAGACCTTTCCCCGGGCCCTCCTGCTGGAGGGAGGAGCCTGGCTAGGGAGGAGCCTGGCTAGGGAGCAGACAGGAACAGGGGGATTGGGAGTGATGAATGCAGATGACTCTTTCCAGAATTTTGGTGTAAAGAGGAGAGAACAAAGGATGCTTAAAAAAAAAAAAAAGATGGGAGAGGATCGAGCAGTTTAAAATCTAACATCGGACAGTAGTGATGGCGATGTTGCCATGAAGAAGACAGAAGGGTCTTCTGTGGAATGGTGCCTTTGGGAAGGGGAGGGGCTGGGTCCAGGGCACAAAGTGGGCCAGGGGATGAGCCTTCGAACAGGGGAGCAAATGCTCCCTCCAGGTGCTGGGAGGGAGGGAGGAAGTGGCTGCAGGTGCGAAGCCAGATAGAGGGGGATCCCTGACCAGTCAGAGATGGCTCGAATATGTTCTAAATATGGGAATAAGAAATGCATATAATTACTACCATCATTAATAGCAAAGTATTCCTCATGAATCAGGCGGTGCCTTCTCCCTAGCAACCTGGATTCCTAGAACTAGCATGAGCAAAGGGAGGAATACTGTCCTGAGGGTACTGCACTCTATTCTTCAGGAGATAAGGCGCTGTCTTCACCCAGAGCCGGACTCTGTAGCGTACAAATAATTAAAGCGCTCAATGCCTGAGCTGAGTAGTTGTGTTTCTTGTCTTCTTTCTGGCAGCCTTCAGTTTCCACCCAAGGGAGACTGGGCAGCGGGTTCGGGTGGGCTGCAGAGTGGACAGGGGAGAGAACAGGACAGAAATGTCACCCAGAACAGCCGGGGGGGCACTTGGGCCTTTTAGCACCAACAGCCCTTCCCATGTCACTGGCTCCCTCTGTATCACTGCATCAGGCCACGGGAGGACTGTGCTGATGGGATCCCAGGGAAATGAGCACGATGCTGTGTGCGTTTAGCTGCATGCTGCTGTGTGGTTTTCAAGGCCCCTTGATCGGGAGTGCCTGACTGCAGATGGCTTCTCTGGTTCCAAATCTCGTTTTTTGAGACAGGGTCTCACTCTGTTGCCTAGGCTAGAGGGCAGTGGCATGATCACAGCTCACTGCAGCCTCTACCTCCTGGGCTCAAATGATTCTCCCACCTCAGCCTCCCGTGTAGCTGGGACCACTGGAGCCTGCTACTATGACTGGCTTTTTTTTTTTTTTAAGTAGAGATGAGGTCTTACTATGTTGCTCAGGCTGATCTTGAACTCTGGAGCTCAAGCAATCCTTGTGTCTCGGCCTACCAAAGTGGTGGGATGATAGGCGTGGGCCGCTTGTGCCTGGCCTTGAGTCTTTTTATTTATTTATTTTTTAATGAGATGGAGTCTTGCTCTGTTATCGCAGGCTGGAGTGCAGTGGCAAGATCATAGCTCACTGCAGCCTCAAGTTTCTGGGCTGAAGTGACCCTTCTGCCTCAGCCTCCCGAGAAGCTAGGACTACAGGCACGTGCCACTACGCTTGGCTAATTTATTTTTTATGGAGGTGGGGTCTTGCTATATTGCCCAGGCTGTCCTCAAACTTCTGGCCTCAAGCAATCTCTTCCCACTTTGGCCTCCAAAAGTGTTGGAATTATAGGCATAAGCCGCTGCGTCCTGCCTGGTTCTAAGTCTTGAGATGGTTTATTCATTCATTTATTCAACAACCATTTGTTAAGCACCTACTGTGTGCCTCAGAAGGTAACAGCACTGTAGGAACTGTGTTCCCTGTGCTGGCCAGCAGACAGGTCGGGAGACCTTTCCTCTGGGCCCTGCCTAGAAAATACACCCTTACTTTTTTCCTTCCATAGAAGACTGCATCTTTTCTCTGTAGGGGAATTCTACCTTCTCCTGGGTCTTGGGAGCCCAGAGGTAGTTTCTGCCCAGGGCTGACCAGGGGAAGCCAGGAGGCCTCCAGGTAGTGTTCTTGTGAGTGGCGGGGTCTACCTGAGAGGTAAGCGTCCATGGCCTGTTGAGCAGTCTCCCTGAGGGAGGCTGCGAGTCCTTCCTCCCTGTTCCTTGATAACATTTAATAACCTGATGCAGGCCTGGGGCTGCGGAGAGGGCAAGAATCGCTGAGAGGAGCGATGTGTGTAGGATTGGATTTTCCTTCCGATTCTCAGCCTCTCCTTGGCCCCTGCTGGTGGGCGTGATTTACCATGGGGCTGTGCTCCGCCTTCCTGGGACTTAGCTCTCAGTATGCAGTCAAGGCGCACAGCAGGTGCAAAGAGCCCGTGGCGGCAGTGGGGAGGATGGAGAGAGGGCTGGGGTGGGAATGTGACCGCAAGACATGGCTGCTGAGCTTCTAGAGTCTGAACTGCAGAGGATCTGGCAATCATTCGGGCTCACCCCTACCATCTGGCAGGGAAACTGAGGCATAGATGGGTGAGATGGCCTCCCAGGGCACACAGCAAGCTCGTGGCAGGACCCAGAGTGGGTCCCAGGGCCCCGACTCCTTATCCAGGTCCCTTTTCACTGTCTTGGGGGCGATCCCACGGCCTGGGCCCCGTTTTCCTCACTGCCATTACCACCACCAGTTTTTACACAGGGGGCTGCCACTCTTGGCTGCATGGGGGCTTTGAGACCAGGTTTCTTGCCTTCTGCAAAGGTGACACTGAAATTCAGGGTTCTTTGGTCCGAAGGTGAAGAGCAAAGCCTTCTTCCATTCCCAGAATCTCACATTCTGGCTCTGGTTTCAGTGGCTCACACCTCGGGATTTCTCACTGGTGAATTCTGTGGCAGAAACAGGCTACACAAGTTGACTTAAAGAGGCTGGGCCCCTCCAAATCAGTTCCGGAAGAGGCTGTCCCCACCCTGCCACCCCCACCCCATTAATCAGACTGGCCTAGCTATACCTAGGCCCATGGCTGCGCTAGATGCAGTAGGGAAGGACAGGCCCCCACACCACCCCGGGGCACCATCTGGCGGACAGAAGACTGATCTTGGGAAAAGGGGAACAACAGTACTTATTTAGGAATGACTTGGTTCCGATAACACTCTGCATTTTGGGAGACAGTATTCACAGCAGTGAAGCACTTGGGCTTTGCCTGGGTGTGAACCCTGGCTCTGTCGCTTGTTAGCTGTGTGACCTTGGTCAAGCTACTTAATGTCTCTGTGCTCCTTGTTCCTCCTTATCAGTCAAACAGGGAGAAAAATAGTGCCTATCTCATAGAGTAGTTAAGAGGATGAAATGAGCTATATCTAAAGCACTTTCAGTGCTGGCACCTGGAAAACGCAGTCTAACATTATTTTTATTGTAAAAGTGATTTCCTAAGTTCCTATATTGTTTGGCCTCAATAAATAGCAATGGCTGGTAACCCCACCCCAAGGAGTTTCTCAAGAGAGTCTAAAGTGCCAGTAGGTGGGGTGGAGGACATTGAGATCATCCAGGCTGGACAGGGGCCCAAAGGCCCCAAGGAGAAGGTGGGATCAGATATGGGCCGTAAATAATGCGTCTTGGCTGGGCGCGGTGGCTCACTCCTGTAATCCCAGCACTTTAGGAGGCTGAGGTGCACAGATCGCTTGAGGTCAGGAGTTTGAGACCAGCCTGGCCAACATGGTGAAACCCCATCTCTACTAAAAATACAAAAATTAGCTGGGCATGGTGGCACGTGCCTGTAATCCCAGCTACTTGGGAGGCTGAGGTGGGAGGATCGCTTGAACCCAGGAGATAGAGGTTGCAGCAGTGAGCCAAGATCGTGCCACTGTACTCCAGCCTGGGTGAGAGTGAGACTCTGTCTCAAAAAAAAAAAAAAAAAAGAGTCTCGTCTGGATGAGGCTGTTGTCAAATTCCAGCTGGGCACCTGCTGTGTGTCCTGGGTGTTGCGGGGCATGAGGGTTGCTTTTAGGAGGTGACGTGAAAGGTGGAGGCTGTTCCTAATGCAGGGAATATGCTTCCTCCTTGTCCTCTGGGGCTGCCCCATTTCTTGGGGGTCTGCCGGAAATAACAGGCAGCCTCCTTGCTCGGTGAGCCTGCAGGGGGCTAGTTGAGTCTCCAGTTCCAGCCTCTGGGTGACCACATGCAGTGGGGTTGCAAAGCCCCTCTTCCAGGCCCATGATACCTTGCTGCAGGTAACCCTGAAGAGGCTGCCCCACCTGTGCTCTCTCTTAGGCAGAGGGTGCCTGCCTGGGCACCAGGCCCTGCCTGGATGGGAAATGAGTCTGTGAGGCTGTGCCCTGCTTTTCACTACACACACACACACACACACACACACACACACACACACACACACACACACAGAGGATGAGTGGTGAGCCATCAATTTCCCCTCACCAATAACGTCTCAAGAGACTATTTCCTTTCCCGCTGAGGCCTCAGCAGAGGAGGGTGGGATTCCTGACACTGTGGTGGGGTCTTTGGGGGAGCCCTGGGCCATCCATCTCCTGTTATTCACTTGCTTTTCCATTCCTGAGCCCCCAAGGCACCCAAAGCCTCGAGGAAAGGTCCAAGGAGCCTGCAGGTGGTGGGGAGAACAGGAGGGCCCTGCAGGAGAGGGACCACGCAGATGGAAGCTGGGGATCAGCCCACCCACTGAGCAGACCTTCAGCCCCTCCAGCAAGATTCTCCTGGTGACACGATGGGGGGCAAAGAGGAAATTCTGTCCTCCTCAGTGACCTGGGCGGAGCTGGCGTGGTGTGATGGGAAAGGGTGCTGGTGGGAGGGCCAGGACAGCAGAGTCTAACTCTGGCCCTTCCAGGAGTAGCTGTGTGATCTCAGGCAGGTTTCTTCACCTCTCCGGGCCACCTCAGAGCCCTCTCTTGTGAAATGAGGCATGATTGTGGAGAGCATTCTGGCTTCAAATCCTGCAATTGATACCTGGCCTTACGTGGGCCAGCATTGCTCCACTTCCCCCAGATGCACCTGCAAGTCCTTCCAAGGGGGCTGGCCATGCAGGGTGGTCACGAGAGAGAAGCGTCAGGCAGTTCTGAGCTGCTGTCAGGGAGCTTCTCCTCTAGTTGGGGAGACAGACCTGCCCAGATGAAATGCTAAACATTTCGTTGCTAATGTGCCCTGGTCCTGCACTCTTCACTTTGGGAAGGGCTGCCCTGTCTCTTATCCTTTGGGTGGCACGAGCTTTCCCCTGGTAGAGAGCTTTCCTCCGGCAGATTTGCTAAGTGCCGGCAGCGCTCTGGCCCGGAGGAGCCCGCATCTGATGCCTGTTCTGTCTTCCAGGTGAGGAGTTCTACGAAGCCTCCCCCTATGAGCCGGTGACCTCCCGCCTCTCGGACATCTTCAGGCTTGCTTCAATCTTCTCAGGTAAGTGAGCTCGCACTGGGACTTGGCCCGTTCTCCTCTCGTCCCTGTGGCATGGCAGATGGAGCTCTGGGCTTGGACAGGCATCCTGGCGTCCGATGATGGCCCTGCTGCCCATCAGCTCGTCCCTCAACGGTTCTGAGCCTCAGTTCCTCCTCTGTAAAGAACACGATGCCCACCTCCCTGGGTGCTTCTATGGAGCAAGGCGTTGGTGGAAATTGCCTGGCCAGGTGGCTGTCATGGAGTAGGGCTTGAATCTGGAACCTGGTGTCACCCTTCTATCTTACCCTTGTTCCCTCTTTCCAGTTCCCTGGCTCTCCTGCTTTGGAGCTCTTCCACTTTGTCAAGTTGCTTAACCTGTCTGGGCCTCAGTTTCCTCAGCTGTGATGGGGGAGTACCGTACCGACCTCATTGGATTGCTGCGAGGTCTAAGTGGGTCAGTGGGTGGTAAAGTGCTCAGCACGCCGCATCAGTCAGCATCAGCTGTGGCTTGTTATTACTGGTCCTATAAGATCTGTTCTGCCCTGGGTTTTCCCTCTCTCTTGAGGGCTCTTCTTGAACCACATGAAGGGAGGTGTCTGCAGGAGCCACTCTGGTCCTCAGGCCACCCCCTGTGCCATCCTCCTTGGGAAGTGATACCGTCTCCATTGGGTTCTAGCTTTGTCTGCCAGGCTCCACATGTAGGCACCAGGTAAAGCTCTGGGGGTCTTTCTTCTCGGCTTTGTTCTCTCTGGCATCTGGGAGACACTGGGCCCAGGGCAGCCCACCCTGCCTGGGCACTGGGGAGGGGGTTCTGGTCTTGGGAGTGCTCTGTGGGGGTGGGGGGTGAGCTCCTCTAGGGGATTGCTGGAGATTGATGCTCCAGGGGTGGCCAGAGTGGGGCTTGTTCTCAGGGATCTTTGAGCACAGGAAATCTCGTTTACATGCAGTTTTGTGGCAGTCTGAAATGTTCTGGAGTTTCTGTGGCTCTAAAGCGGGGTTTTCAACAGCAGCACTATTGACATTTTGGGCTGGTTAATTCTTTCTTGTGGGAGGAGCCGTCCTGTGAGTCTGAGGATGTTCAGCAATGTCCCCGGCCCCACTGGATGCCAGCCGCGCTCTTGCAAGCTGTGACAACAAAGATGTCCCCAGACAGGGCCAGATGTCCCCTGGGGGGCACAGTCACTGCCAGTTGAGAAGCACTGCTGTAAACTGTGAGCTGAAAGCATTTCCAGTGAGAACCTAAGCCCTTTCAAATAAAGAACTCTCTAGGACCATGTTTCTCAACCATTCTTTTTTTTTCCATTATTGTTTTCCAAGGAGAAAAAATAATTCTTCCTAACTAGAGAAATTAAATACCAAGGAATAACATTTTGTCTTGAAGGTTTGAGTTTTGGAGGACCATAAACCATTGTAAGATCTCCTTTTTCTTTCTCTTTTTGTCCACCCAAGAACCAGCTTTTGCTCCCTTGAGGTGACGCCCGTCCTTCCCGTGGAGAAAGCACGCTCTAGGAGATTGAAACAGGGATGATACACGTGTCCCTAGTGGGAGAAATCTTGGATGCCCAGGAAGGGAGGCACTGGCCAGTGGGTGGCCATCTGGGTGTGGCCTTGGGCACTGGCGGTGGTTGGGGTGGTGGTGAATGGAGCGGAGACCTCAAAGTCAGCTGTGTTGAGCACCTTGCGCTGGGCTGTCAGCATCATAACCCCCAGTGGGGTCATACAGAGGCTCTGAGCTCAGAGCAGCTCCCATGCTGGCACTGCCTGTGGGCACCATGGCAGCTCTACGGTAAGTCTTGGCCAAGGGCTGGACTGGATGGGGCTGAGAGTCCTTCCCGCACAGGCATTCTGATTCTCACATTTCCTGATGAGTTTTGCATAGAAATCCACTTGGGACCATTCCTTCTGAGACAGTGCTCTGGGGCTCAGAAGCAGGTTGAGGATGCCATTGGCCTGTGGATGCTATGGTGGGCACACCCTGGTGGCCGCCAGATGCACCCACATTCTACTCTGTGTGAAGCTCAGGTACCGGCAGATTACTACTGCGTGCACAGGTGACACTGGGCTGCCCTCCAGTAATAAATAGCTTTGACTTGCTCCTGGATGTTGAAGCGTAGAGATCCTCGCCTTAGCCCAAGCCCCTTCTGCTCCCTGGACTCATGCTTAAGTATCTTCCTAGCAGAAAATCTTTACCTAATGGACTTGACACTCTGTGGGACAGGATGTTGACAAGACAAATGAGGAAGTTACTAGGTCTGCAGCTCACCGAATCAGCCCCCTTTTACCTGCTGCCCAGAGATAACTGGGCCCCACGCAAACTCTGGGTTTCTGTGCTCCAGGGACCACTCCCTGCCATGAGGGCTGGGCTTTGGGGACTGTGCCGGTCCCTCCTCATTGCCTCTGTTGACTCTGCTCCACCCAGAGAAGCGTTAGGGTTAGGTGAGTAGGCAGCTGTGTCTGGGGAGACTTGGGCACATAGTTGAGTAGGGAGGCCCCGGCCCTGCTACCAAGAAACCAAGCTGGGGCTGGGCACAGTGGCTCACGCTTGCCTGTAATTTCAGCACTTTTGGAGGCCAAGGTGGGAGGATTGCTTGAGCCCAAGGGTTCGAAGCTGCAGTGAGCCATAATGACACCACTGCACTCCAGCCTGGTCGATAAGAGTGAGACCCTGTCTCAAAAAAACCTCCCAAAACAAAGAAAAGAAACCAAACTGGCCATGGTGAGGAGCTCAGCAGAAAGAAGGTGAGAACAGGAGCTGGGAGGCGGTTCCAATGCAGTCCCCACCACAGATCACCTGTAGGATCTTGGGTAGGCTCATTTCATGTGCCAGATCTTCTGTCTGAATGAGGACATGAGCTTGGAGCAGTGCTTCCCAACCTTTGTCCCATCAAGGCACACAGAAAATGGTGATGCGGCAGGGTGAGCAGACCAGCTTAATGCTCAGGCCATCACGAGCCTCCTGCTTGTCAATATCCGGGCACATGTATCCCCCACCTGTGTGTCGCACGCTGGCTGCAAAGTCTTGTTGTGAGTATCCCAAGACCTGCACTAGAGCTTTGGCATTAAAAGGCTGCCACCCCATAGGACTGCATGAAATCCCGTGGGAAGCCCCTCCCCACCCAACTCATATTGCCTGCGTGCTGCCCCCTTCACTTCTCTGTGGGGAAAGACTGTGGGTAGGGAGGGAGGCATGGAGTCTTGGTGGCTGCTTCTGGGTTGTACTACCTCCAGGTGGGACACCAGGGAGGATGCTCCTGTGTCTTTGGGACTCAGTTGCTACTATCTGTTTACCAGCTCCTGTCTGAGAATTCAGGGCCCTGTTATAGGGGCCTCCTGGAACGTGTATTCTTCTTCATCTCTTTCTGTTGGGGTTCTCGGAAAGTCGTACTGGGATTCTGTTGCAAAGAAGCTGCCAGGATTCCTGCAACACCCTCCAATGTCCAGAAGCCTTGGGGAAGGGCAGCTTCTTCCCTCCTCTCTGCCCAGTGCTGCCTGACAGGCCCTGGGCTCAGCAGTGGGTCAATGAGTCCTGAGTCCAGGGCGAAGGAGGGAGCAGTGTGGCTGTGTCCTGAGTCACAGCGACAGTGATGTTGGACGTGTCCACATATCCTTCCCTCCCCTTCTATGTGGGAAGAGATTTCATGGAGAGGAAGTGAGTTTTGTCCTGTTTCTAGCAATTCAAACTGCCCTTGAAAGTGTGAGACAGTATTTAGGGAGGTGCCTGGAAGAGCACGGGCCTTGAGCCAGATGGTCCTGGGTTCAAATCCTGACTCGGCTTTTTAGGGGTGTGTGATCTTGGGGCTCACTGTGGCCTTTTTGAGCTGTGGTGCCTATGTGTGTAAGATGGACATGTGATGCCCTAAGAGGGTTCGGTGGGAATGGATGTTGGCACAGTGCCCACGGCGCATCAGGGACTGAGCCAGCCTTGGCGCAGTGGGTCATCCTCTGTCTGCCTGGGGTGCTCAGTGGAGGCAGGAGGTTGTTTAGTTGGATGCAGGGGTTGAGGAGCTGAAGTGGAGCATCCTCCTCATCCCCAGGCTCCATGACCCTGTGAATGCCGAATCCCAGCTGGTTTCACCTGGGGAGGCAGGAGAGGGTGGAACCAAGGTGGGGAAGAGAGATTGCGGAGGGAAGGAGGACCTGGAAGGGTGGTGTGGAGCCAGCAGGGGTGTGGACTTGTGGGGCTAGAGAGAAGTGGGTGGACATCAAAGTGGTGATGAAGAGGACTGGGCGGGTTGGGCAGAGGCATCCTCACCGCCACTGGGCCCATGCCTAAAGGACAGGGAAAAGTGGTGGGCAGATGGCCTTGGCTGTCATCAGGCACTGTGTCTGCATCCTGGGTGAGGGGCAGGGGCTCTGGGGTCTGGCCATGCCGTGCAAGTGTGGCTAGAGGCTTGGGCATGGGGCATCCTTTCTGAAGCTGGAAGGGAACTTAGGGATCATGGAGGCCCACTCCTTCACCTGACAGAAGGGGAAACTGAGGCCCAGAGGGAAGGCACACATGTTGATGGGATTCCAATCCCTGTCCCACCTCTGAAGCGCTTCTCCTCTAAGCCCCAATCCTGTCCTCTCCCCCAGCCTGGAGCCAATGGCAACACCTACCTCTGAGGATTTTTGTTAAGACTAAATGAGATAGTGCAGGTGAGTGCTTGGCCTGAGCCTGGCATGCTGCACTAAGCCAGGTTAGCTTTTAAAACATTCGTATGGACTGATTTCTCCAAGGTTCGATGGCAGGTTGTGGCTGGGCCAGCCTAGAACCCGGCATTCTAGAAACTGTGTGTGCCTTTGCTGATTCGAGGCCACCTTTCACGCTGGGATAGTGCTTGGTGGTGACTGGAGTAGAGGTGATCAGGTGATTTCCAGAGAGCTGTGGGTCCCTGAAGCTCAGAGGGAGTCTTGGGTGGGGACGGCCATCATGTACTATGCTGTGACAGGGACAGATAGAGGCTGGTGAGCGGCCTGGCCTCAGTGGCCTTTGTGAACTGAAGGTAGAAGAGATGGCATTGTCTACCGTGGTTGGCCAGCATGCATCTGGGGTGGGCCATCTTGCTTGGTTGGAGCCTGGAGAGGGCCAATGATGTTCTCATTGGATGCTCCTGTGGTCCTTCTTGGAGGATGGGCTCAGGAGAGGAGGGAAATAGCACTCAAACGCTACCCCTTGCCAAGAAGCCTTGCATACGGCCTCTGAGAGGTAACCACCACCGGCCCCTGGTGCCACAGCACTTTGTCCTTTATCATGGTGCTCACTGCCACGTATTGAGGGCATGTGTGCGATTGTACGTGTTGGTCTCTGTGTCCTGTGTGGCCATCACCCTCTGCGTGTGTGTGTGACACTGTGCTTTGTATCTAATACATGGCCCCCGAGGATCCTGGCATCACGGCTGGAATGTGAACTTTGAGGCCGGCTAGTCCTCGTTTTGAATCCTGGCCTTACCCTACTGTGGGAGCTCAGGGTCACTAGACCCCCTGAACCTCATGTTTCTTATCTGTAAGGTGGAGCAGTCCAGCTGCCCTGCAAGCACTGGCATGCAGCGTGCCAGGGCACAGGAGCACCCTAGGTGCTGGTGAAGGGTATCACCGTTCGCTGACTGGAGGGAGCTGATGGCTTTGCAGGAGGTGCTAAGCAATTGTGAGGTGTCACATGTGTGTGACATCTTAGGAGTATCTGGGGCATTGAGAAGGGGTGGATCCTGGCCGTGGTGTGCAGGAATCGATCATGGAAGGGGCAGGGCAGGGGCGGGGCTGGGGCGGGGCTGGGGCCAGACTTCGGAGGAGCATGTTTTGTTCAGTAAATAATGAGTGCTCTGTGTGTTCCGGAGACGGTCAACCACTGCTGTAAGAGAATCAGACCTGTGTCCTCACTGTGTGGTGCAACAGGTAGATACTCATTTAGGCACTCCCTAAGTGGCTTGTTTTCAGTAGCAATGTAGACCAAGTGCTGCCCCAAGAGTTCAGGGGAGGCAGCAACCAGCAATGCCTGGGGAAATTGAGGAAGTCTTGGAAGAGGAGGAAGTGCGATGTGGGAATGATGTTCCTGGTGGCATCATGGCTGGGAGGCCTGGCTAAGCCTGGGGTGATGAAGGAACCTCAAGTCTTTTGAGCCTGGGGGCTCAGGGGACGGTGAACAGGGATCATTGTGGCAGACAGGACAGTGGCCTCTCTGGGGTGCTCCAGCCCAGGACTTCTCCATGACAGAGCTCAGGATGACTGCCTGATTAGGGGTCTCGGGTCCCTAGGGAGGAGCTGGTCTGTCCTTGGTGTGGGGAGAGACTTATCCCTGGGCTCAAAAGTCAGTTCCCAGGAAGACACCCCTGTGGCCTTGGTGGGGGCTGTGGGAGGATTGGGCCCGGCTTTGCTCGGCCGGTGTCTAGGGAAGCCCCTTGCCTTCCCTGGGTCGGCTCCCTCTGTGCACCCCAGGCCCGGAGGCAGGAGACCCAGCCTTTGTGCAGGCACCCCCTGCTCTCCTTGGGCTGCTGAGCAAAAGAATAGACGGTGAGGCTTTAATGTTTCAGCAGGTCGGGCTGGTGCCTCTCAGGGACCCCCTTCCGAGGCCGCCCTGTGATGAGGCGGGGGCACAGGGGGCTGAGGGCAGGGAAGAACTGGAAGAACAGCAGCAGCTCTCCCTGCCCCCTTCATGGTGGCTCGGGCGATAAACTGCTTATCCTCAGGTTGTCTCCCTGAGCCGAATGCAGAAGCATGTTATTTAAATTTCAAAATCACATTCTTCTTCTAACAGCTGTCAGAGACTCTGAGTGTCAACGAAAATTGGGCTTTAGCTGCAGCTCTGTCACCTCCGACACCTCCCCTTTCAGGGAGAATTCAGCTGATGGCCAAGGAGCAGGTGTGGGGTGCAAGAGAGTGGGGGCTATGGAGACGAGGAGAGGTGGACTGTCAGGAGGTGGAGAGAGGTGACCCAGTGACTCTCACGGCGCTTGGGGCCGCCAGGAGGAAGGCAGCTTCCCTCTCCGCAGGTGGCGGAGCTGGAGGGATCGACATTTTCCCTCTTCTGTTTTCATCTGCTCTCTCTCTCTCTCTCTGTCAACGCCAGTGACCTCAGGCTCTTGTCAGTCGGTAGAAGGATTTGCTGGCACTAAGGTGTGAGCAGGGTGTTGGTGACTTCATCTGTGGTTGCCTTTGTGTCCAAGGAAGAAATTGCTATGAAAAAGACGAGGAGGGAACAAAATTTAGTGCCCCCTCCCACAACCAAAGCCTCTTTCATGGTGGTATTTCAGGTGCTGTGGTTGAAGTGAGATTTTTTTGGATGAAGGTATTTTCTGGGTACCCTCCAAATAACATCTTCCAGGGAGCCACCTGCCTGCTTCTCCTTCCGTGTGTGAGGCAGGCTCTGCCAGTGGCTGGGGTGTGGGGCGGCTCTTGGCCGGACGCCCCTGCTCTGTGCTGCTCTTGAGATGGCGCTGGTGGGGCTCCGGGCTCCCTGAGCACGCCCTGGCTTCGCCATCAACTGCAATCACTCCGGCTCAGAAAACAGGTTGTGAGCACGTGCCCTGGGCATTCCCCTCCCACCCATGCCTGCACGCTCCTGTAACCCCCGTGCACGGTGAGGAACAGCGGGAGAGGGGTCATTGTGTGACGGGAACACGTGTGTGTGCCTGGTGTGTGGAGAGTGTAAGTACGCATGGCATATGCATGGTAGGATGTGTGTGTGTGAGAGAGGTGGGGTGTGTGTGTGGAGGCGGTAGATATGTATAGGCAGTGGTGTGTGTGTATGTGGTGGTGGTGTGTGTATGTGATGTGTGTGAGGTGGTGTGTGTGTGTGTTTGGGCATGGTGGATATGTGTAGGCGGTGATGTGTGGGTGTTTGTGGTGGTGTGTGTATATGTGATGCATGTGTGTGGTGGTGTGAGGTGGTGTGTGTGTATGTGATGTATGGTGGTGTGTGTGGGGTGTGTGTGAGATAGTGTATGGGGTGCCTGTGATGCGTGTGTGGTGGTTTTGTGCATGGCAGTGTGTGTAATATATGTGCTGGTGTATGTAGGTTGTGTGTGGTATGTAGTAAGTGTATGAGGTAATGTATGTGTGTCGGTGGTGGAGTGTGTGTAGGTGTTTGTGTGTGTAGGTATGTGTTAGCGTGTGTGTGGATGTGGGGTGATGTACGTGTGCGGGTGTGTGTGGGACAGGGTGTGCATAGGTGTGATGTGCATGAGGTGTGTGGAGCGTGTGGGTGGGCGGTTTGTGTGTGTGGGTCTTTGGCAGTGGCCTTCTGTCTGAAGGGACAGGACGGAAGGAGGGACAGGGAGGGAGGGGCCAGAGCGGCTCAGAACAGTCTCAGCTCCGACCATCAGGGGAATGACCCCCCAGGCCCCTGTTCATCCTCTTAGGGGAGCCATGGAAAGAGGGGCTCAAGGGGGAGGGGCATTAGAAAAAGGGAGGCCATCTTTGCCTGATCAGTAACAGGAATGTGTGGACTGCACTTGGTTCGTGTGTTTGGGGCGTCCTGCGACTGGAGGCTTCCGCGCTAACTCGGGGAGCTTAGGCTCAGAGGGAAGGTGTGTGAATTTATCCCCAGATAACTCACTGAGCACCCTCTGCGGGCCATGCCTTGTTCGAGGTGCTGAGGATACATCAGCGAACAACATGGGCGGGTGCTGCTCGTATGGAGTTTATGTTCTTCTATTAGCTGGAGACAGAGAAAAATAGAAAACAAGCCAACAAACAAATTAACAAGACATGTGAGATAGTGATGAATGCCAAGCTGAGAATTAAAATAGGATGATGGGACAGAGGTGACTGGGAACCACAAAATCTGACTCACAGGAAGGATCCAGCAGTGGGAAGATGAGGGAAATGGCAGATGGAACAGCTAGCGAAAGGCCTGGGTGGGGTCCTGCACGTGGAGGGTGGGACCCAGGGAAGCACATGTGGCTGGAACCTTTTATTTTAAGAGTGATGAGAAACCACTGGAGGCATTGAGGCGGTTGACTAGCACAGTATGATCTATGTGTTTGAAAAGATGACTCTTGCACTGTGGAGGATGGATCATGGGGCTGGGCACAGAGCAGAGTGGAGCCAGGGAGATCAGTTAGGAGGTTGCTGCAGACGGTCATAGGTGAGATGGAGAGGATGCATGGGCTGGGAATATATTTTGGAGGTGGGGTTGAAAGGAAGTGGGATGAATTTATGGACAACTCGATATTTTGTACTTGAACAACAGTGAAGCTGCTTGTGCCATTTACTAGGAAGGAGAAGATGAGAGGAGGAACAGATTGGGAAGTTCAGTGGGCAGAAATTAAGAGTTCTGTATTGGCCATTTTAGGGTGGAGTTGCCAATTAGATCTCCCCCCGGAAGTGCCAAGGACACAGTTAGATGTAGGCCTGGAATTCTGGGGAGAGGTCAGGGTTGATACATGGATTGAGAGTGATTAGCATATAGACAGTGTTTAAAGCCACGGAACCATGAGGTCATGGAGGGAGGGTATATAGTCAGGAGAGTGAGGCTGGGTCTCACCAAGTAGAGGAGGAAGAGCTAGCAAAGGCAGCTGAGACTAGGGCCAGAGAGGGAGAGAGAAATCAGTCAGCTGTGTCAGAAAAGCCAAGTCAAGTAGAAGTGTCAAGAAAGGGGAAGTGGGTCAGGTGTAGTGGCTCACACCTATAATCCCAGCACTTTGGAAGGCTGAGGCGGGTGGATCTCTTGAGTCCAGGAGTTCGAGACTAGCCTGAGCAACATAGCAAAACCCCACCTCTACAAAATACACAAAAACTGGCAGGCATGGTGGCACATGCGGGTGGTCCTGGCTACCCAGGAGGCTGAGGTGGGAGGATTGCTTGAGCCCGTGAGGTCAAGGTGGCAGTGAGCTGTGATCATGCCACTGCACTCCAGTGTGGGTGACAGAGTAAGACTATGTCTCAAAAAAAATAAATAAATAAAAAATAAAAAGAAAGAAAAAGAAAGAAAGAGGAAGTGGTTAGCCTGGTCAGATGCAGCCCAGAAGTCAAGCCAGTGAAGTTTAGAGAAGTGACTTTCTGATTCAGTGACATGGAGGTCACCCATGATCTTGCCAGAATATTCTTCTTGGAGGGTGAGGTTGGAATGTTGACGTGAGGAGGATGGAGGAGAAAATGTGAAGGGAGAAGGTAAAATCAGCAACCAGAAATCTACTCTTTCAAGCTTTGCTAGGAAGGGGAGTAGTGAAATAGGGGGCTGGGTAGTGGTCAAGGGAAGGCTTTGCTTTTGGTTTTGTTCTGTCTTGAGAAAGGCAATGATGGTGGCACATTTGTACCTGTTGGGAAAGGTCCCAAGAGAGGGTGGAATTGAAGGATGTAAGCAGGAAGGGGCGATTTCAGGAGTGATGTCTTCAATAAGTGAGGAGGGATGGGGTCCATGTGGCGTGCACCAGCACGCATGGCAGGGCAGCCTTTGGCGAGGCTGGAGCTGGGTCCTTCTAACAGAGAGAAGGCAGAGCTGGATGTCCAGGTGAGACAGACTGGTCACTGGTGGGTGACAAGGCGAGGGCATTTCTGTCCAAATCTATTTTCTTATCAAATAATGAGTTAAGGTGCTATGGTCTCAATATTTGGTCCTGCTGCCCAACAAATTTATAGGTTGAAATCCTAAGCCCCAAGGCAAGGGTTTTAGGAAGTGGGGCCTTTGGGAGGTGATTAGGACATGAGAGTGGAGCCCTTATGAATGGGATTAGTGTGCTTCTAAAGGAGACCCTGGAGAGCTCACTTGCCCCTTCTAACAAGTGAGGACACAGCCAGAAGATGGCTGTCTGTGAACAAGCAAGTGAGTCCTCACCAGACACCAAATCCACCAGCACCTCGATGTTGGACTTTGCAGCCTTGAGAACCATGAGAAATAAATTTCTGTGATTTATTTATACGCCACTCAGTCTGTGGTATTTGTTATAGCAGCCCGAACAGACCAAGACACAAGGTAATCAGCTTAAACAGGGGAAGGTGAGAAATGGCTGCTTTAAGCCATTTGGAGCTTGAGATTGGGACCTCAAAGTGAGACCAGTCAGCTGGTGTGTGTGTGTGTGTGTGTGTGTGTGTGTGTGTGTGTGTGTGTGTGTGTGTGTGTGTGTTACCTAGTGACCTTTGGCTGCTCAGGAGCCAGCATGGAGTGGGGGTGGCTGGGTTTCACTGGGTTTATTGGTTTGTGACTATGATGGAGGAAGAGAGGAGGAGAGGGGCTGAGGAGCTCAGGGGGTTTCATGCAGGCTGGGAAGTGTAGGCTGGGTAGGGAGGAATTGAGGACAGGGTAGGGGGACGGATGAGGGAGAGCAAGTGTTTGGGTCAGGGGGTCAGGGTCTGGGAGAGGTTGAGGGTTTGCTGGAGTGGGAATTCCAGAGAGGGAGCTGGAAGGTGAGGAGAGGGTGGCTTGAGGTTGGGATGTGATGTCAACCTTTCAGCAGGGATTTGGATGTTGATGAAGGTCAAGGTCAAGGATATGACTACGGCAGTGGGGAGCTAAGGGTAGGAGGAGATCACTGGAGGCAGATAGAGTGTTGTGCAGACAGACCGCCCCTGTTGAGTGGAAGCCTCTAGGAATGGTGCCCAGGAAGGGATGAACCGGAGATGGTGAGCCAGGTGTGAGGTCATTCCTGAGAGAGGGGAATGGCAGGGTTGGTGAGTGACAGCCTCCAGGGGAGTAGGGGCAGCTGATGACATGAACTTCCCAGGAGGACAGATGGGGCAGAAATGATGAGGAGAAAGGAGGCCCCCAGCCATCCATGAGCTGCCCAATAGCCACTTCTTTCAAAATTAGGATGCTAAATAACAAAGTCACTGATTTTACAAAATGCATTGATTTACCCAAACTAAGTCTTTGAATTATTTTTCATGGTTTTAGAAATTCACATTTAATGGTTTTCATGGCTTTTGAAGATTTTTGCAAATGGTCTTCATAGCTATATTTTAAGATATATTCAGTTTTTGGGAAGCTAAGGGTCATGAGTTGATGTGGACTTCTTATGGTGAGAAAAGTATATTTCATAATCAGTAAACAAAAGTTTAGCTTATGATGGGTGCTTCAAATCCTGTGTCCATTCTCTATACCATCAAATAAAAAATGCTGAGGAAAGATTTAGGTTAATCACATCAATATGAAATGCCTCAAATTTGGTTTTTAATGGTTACAAATACAAAATTAAACCCAACTCATCATTGTGGGAATTTTGTATGAGAATGGTAAAAACCCTAAATATTAAAAAACCCCCCAAATACCAAAACTATATTTAAAAGAAATAGGCCACTCAAAAGCGGTTGAAAAAATTCCTTTGAATGAGAAAGATAGAACTTAAATTTTTAATTGTCAGAACCACAAAATTAAGACTAACCTGAAATTTGAGGACTTGGAGAAAGAAATTTAAGTGTGGTTAAAATTTGACAAAATATAAAATGCAATTTGAAAGGTTCCAAATTGATTTTATTTCAAATTGATGTTCAGTGTATTTGCCATTCGTCAAATTGATTTTTGGCGGGTTAGCCTGCTTCCAAAAATGCAGCTTCACCTGGAGACTGCTGGGTGGTCCTGGTGTCATGGTAGGGCTGGGAATGAGGGGAAAGTTCAGAAAGAAAGTTGAGATTATAAAGAAGCTTGGACTAAGACTTCCAGGACTGATTTGAGGAGGGTAAGCACCCTGACCTACAGAGCAGTAGGGGACAAGGGTTCAGGTCCCATTGGATCCTTGGGCTTTGATTGACAACTGAGAGGACTGGGAGGCAAGGCTCTGCTATTGGTCTTGCCAGCTCCTGGGGACGGGGACACTGATGTATTGCTTCCAGCTAGATGGTATGGTGTTCCTGGCCCCCACTCCTGGTGGTGAGGGGGCCCAGAAGGGAGGAAGATGCCCCGAGATCTTGCTTGGGATGGAGCAGAGGAAGCCCTGAAGATCTTTTGCTTATGGAAGGGAAGACTGGGGACCATTTTATCTTTTGCCACATAGTGTGTAGAGGCCGGAGCACAAGGGACTGACTTCTTTTCCTAGCAGGGCAGTGTAATGTGAAGGTAGCCAGAGAGGTGAGATGGGAGGGAGGACCTTTCCAGCCAGGGGACACTTTTTTTAATTTTTTTAATTTTTTTAGACAGAGTCTCGCTCTGTCACACAGGCTGGAGTACAGTGGTGACAGCCCTCAGCTCACTGCAACTTCCACCTCCCTGGTTCAAGCAGTTCTCGTGCCTCAGCCTCCCGAGTAGCTGGGATTACAGGTGCGCACCATCACGCCCAGCTAATTTCCATATCTTTAGTAGAGATGGGGTTTCACCATGTTGGCCAGGCTGGTCTCGAACTCCTGGCCTCAAGCAATCCACCCACCTTGGCCTCCCAAAGTGCTGGGATTACAGGTGTGAGCAACCGCACCCAGCCAGGTGACACCTTTTTAAACAAGCATTTATTGCCTGTGTACTATGGATTGGAAACTGCAAGGGGTATTTTCATCCACATTGTCCCTTTTTCTCTTAGCATAGTCCTCTGTGTAAGGCAGGTAGATGTTCTATCCCAGTTTTGCAGGTGAGGAAAGTGAGGCTCAAAGAGGTTACATAACCTGTGCACACTTGCTCTGATAGTGGCCCAGCCAGGTCCTCCGTCTTCCCCACAAGCCACTGCTGGACCAGGGTCTCTGCTTTTTCTGGGACTCCACACCCAAAGGGGAAAGTTTCCATCTGTTTACTTGTGATCTCTCACCTGAGCTAGAATGTGAGCCCCAGGATGGCAGGTGACTTGGTGGTTTTATTCGTCAATCCAGCCTTACTTTACACACAGTGGGTTGTCAGTAAGTGTTTGTTGCAAAAAATAAATGGATCTTGAGGGCGGGCTGGGGTTGGATGCTCCATGAGGAGATCCAACGTGAAGTGTGGAGGTGATGCACATCCAGCATGAGGTGTGGAGATGACAGTCATCCAGCATGAGGTGTGGAGGTGATGGTTGTGGTGGCTTTAACCCTGCAGGGAGGGCTGGGATTAGGGGCAACTCCCTGGAGTCTCTGCTCCTGGACCCTCCCTTTCTCTACCCGCCCTTGCTGTCTTCCTTCCAGCCCTGCTGAGAGTTTATTTATTCTACATCTCATTGTGAGTTGCCCCTCCACTCACCCTTATGCCCCTAAGTATTTGGGGGGGTGTCAGTTGACCATCCTCCTTTTCGAAACTCTTGCCTTCCGTGAAATCAGCATCTCTTGATTTTTCCACCAGCTAAAGGTCCTCTCCTTTCTGGCCTCCATTGAACATAAGGCGACCCAGAGTTCTGTCCTGACTTGTTTCCTCTTCTTTGTTCTCATCCCCAACCTGTGGCGCCTCACTGAGTTATGTGGCTTTCCACAACCTCCTCCAGTATCAACCATGCCAAGTTTTGTGTCTTTAGCCCAGACCTCTTTCTTGAACTCCAGGCTTGTGGACCCTTCTGCCTATTCAACATCCCTGCTTCGACATCTAATAGACATCTCAAACTTAAGTCAAAAACAGAATAGTCCATTTCATTCTGCCTCTCTTCTTTCCTTCCAAGTCTTTCCTTTTTCGTGAAATGATATCTCCATCTACTTGGTGCTCAGGCCAAAAATCCAAGAGGTTTTCTTGATTTCTCTCTCTCCTCCCACTCAAAATGCAAGCAATCCTTGGCTTTATCTCTAAATTATATGCAGAATGGGTTCACATTTTGCCCTCTCTGCAGTCACCACCCCACCCCAGCCTCCACTAGCTTTCTGCTGCTTCAGCAGCCTGTGACTGGTCTCCTTTTCTGCTTCAAACCCTCAGATATACCCTCAGTTCCATGTGTCAGTGAATGAGGTCATGTGCCTTCCTCCTTAATGCTCTCCAGCGCTTTGCATTTTAGAATAAAATCTGAAGTTCTTACCTGCCCCGCAAGGTCTCCCCTGACTGTCCCTCTGACTTCTACTTCCTCTAACTTCTGCCTCCTCCAGGAAGCTCTGGCAACCTTACCCTTCCTTTTGATTAGGAACGTGCCAAGCTCATAGCTGTCTCAGGACCTTTGTGCTTGCTCCTCCTTTGCTTGGAATTCTCTTACCTTGTTTTTGTTTTTGTGTGTGTGGTCCATTCCTGCCCGCCATTTTAGTCATTCTACCTCAACTTGATGTCACCTCCTCGGAAAGGCCCCTCTCTTATTTGCTGGTCATTCTTTTTTTTTTTTTTTTTTGAGACGCAATCTTGCTCTGTTGCCCAGGATGGAGTGCAGTGGTGCGATCCTGACTCACAGCAACCTCTGCCTCCCGGCTTCAAGCGATTCTCCTGCTTCAGCCTCCTGAGTAGCTGGGATTACAGGCACATGCCACCACACTCGGCTCATTTTTGTATTTTTAGTAGAGATGGGGTTTCACTCTGTTGGCCAGGCTGGTCTTGAACTCCTGGCCTTCACTGATCCACCTACCTCAGCCTCCCAAAATGCTGGGGTTACAGGTGTGAAGCACTGCACCCAGCTGGTCATTCTTTTTTAAATTCCCTTATTTTCCTTTCTTTAAATTTCTTTCCTTCCTTCCTTCCCTCCTTCCTTCCTTCCTTCCTTCCTTCCTTCCTTCCTTCCTTCCTTCCTTCCTTCCTTCTTTCCTTCTTTCCCTCCCTCCCTCCCTCCCTCTCTCCCTCTCTCCCTCCCTCTTTCCCTCTTTCCCTCTTTCCCTCTCTCTCTTCCTTTCTTTCTTTTTTGAGCCAGAGCCTCACTCTGTCGCCCAGGTTGGAGTGCAATGGTGCGTTCTTGCCTCTCTGCAACCTCTGCCTCCTGGGTTCAAGCCATTCTCCTGCCTCAGCCTCCCTAGTAGCTGGGATTACAGGTGCACGCCACCACTCCCAACTCATTTTTGTGTTTTTAGTAGAGACGGGGTTTTGCCATGTTGGCCAGGCTGTAACTCCTGGCCTCCAGTGATCTGCCCGCCTCAGCCTCTCAAAGCGCTGGGGCTACAGGTGTGAGCCACTGCGGCCGACCTTTTTTATGTATTTTTGTGTTTACTCTCAGTCTTTCCCTTACTAGAGTGAAAGCTGTAGGAGAGGGAAGATTCTTTCTTTCCTGCACACAGCTGGATTTTAGGGCCTGGCATGTAGTTGGTGTATGAAAATATTTGTTGACTGGCTACTAATGCAGGGACTCCGGTTCTGCTCCTGGAGAGGTGGGTATGGTTGGGTGTCTTCGTGTGTGTGTGTGTGTGCACCTCGGTGTGCACACATGCTGTTGAGTTTGCACAGTACCAGAGTGGGCTCCTTTTAGCCTGCCACGGTGGACCTGTGGCTCCGGCTCAAAGGAATGAGGTGAGACAGCAGGGCTTTCCCTGGCCCTCCATCCCTGAGAGTCTTGCACTGGTGTGTTGGGTGGGTAAGTGAGAGAGGCACAAAATATAAGGGATTAGGCAGTTCAAAACCCGTCATCATTCAGGTAAAGAAATGAGACCGAGAAAGGCACAGAGATTTACCTGGGGTCTTCTTCAGCTTGGAGAAGCAGAGACAGAATTAGGACCCACGTTCTTTAACCCCTGTTTAAGTAGTAGAACTCCACATCTTGGTTCAGGGACCCAGGGTGGGCTCAGGGACGGACACTGCAGCTGCAAATGGGATGAGGGGCAGTTTCCTGGGAGGCAGGAAGGGTGGTTAAAACACCTGGGTCCCCATTGGCTGGGAAGCTTTACAGGATGGGGAACCTCTCCTTTCTGCCCACAGGCACATTTGCGATTGGAAAGTCTACCTTGAAGATCCTCTCTGTTGGGAGGTGGCAGAGGGGGATGAAACAGTTGAAGGGCGTGCCTAGGTGACAGTAGCTGGCCACAGACCACCGTCTGTGAAGGGCAGGCTTGCTAAATTGTGTGCTGGGTGAGGTGTGTGTGTGTGTGTGTGTGTGGGGAGTGGGCCAAGGGCAGCCCTGCTCCTCCCCTAAGCTTTGGGTCTCAGTTTTTGGAAGGTGGCCTCAGAATCACAGGGAGCTTGTGAAATCCAGATGCCCAGGTGCCAGCCGCAGAGCTCCTGACTCGGTGGGGCCTGTGAGTCACAAATGCACCAGAGGTCAAGTGCCTTTTCTCTAAACCGGTGACTTCCCCCTCCGAGTGCATTGCACACCACTGCTAGAATGGGAGATGGGGCCGACGAATATGTATTTTTATCTTTATTGCATTCTAATGGGTTAGAAAAATTCAGAACCAACATAGGTGTTATCATTTAGGATAAATCTAGATAGGTATTGAAAAACGTAAAAGGTGAGTCAATAAGGAGTTAAACAGATTCATTATTTAAGAATTAAGGGATTTAGGTCCAGTGTGGTGGCTCATGCCTGTAATCCCAGCACTTTGGGAGGCCAAAGCGGGCGGATCACCAGAGGCCAGGAGTTCGAGACCATCTGGCCAACATGGCAAAACCCCGTCTCTACTAAAAAAAATACAAAAAATAATTAGCTGAGTGTGGTGGCAGGCGCCTGTAATCCCAGCTACTCTGAGGAGGCTGAGGCAGGAGAATCGCCTGAACCTGGGAGGCAGTGGCTGCAGTGAGCCGAGATCATGCCACTGCACTACAACGTGCGACAGAGTGAAACTCCATTCAAAAAAAAGGATTAAGGAATTTAAAGAAAAAATCAATTAAACATTAGTAGAGGTGGTACTGTTAATATGACCAAAACGAGATAGGGAATTGAAATTTGGTAAACCCAGCTCAATATAAAAGCCAAATAAATATTTAAAGAATATGAGTTTAAAGAGCACTCATATGCCTGCCTGCTGGGGGTGGGGGCTTCCAGTGTCTGGAATCACAGCCTAGTGGTGCAGATGGGCTCTTGGCTCAGGGCAGCACTCCAGGAATTAACAGGAGAGGCTGGGCTGGGTGTGGCTGCGGCAGGGCAGTTGGGGAGGCTGAGCTGCAGCCTCTGGTTGTGCATTCCTCAGCTGTCCTGCCCCTCTGCTGCTGGCTGTGCTCCCCAGCTGGCTGCGCTCCCCGGGTCTGGCCCTCACCCAGGGAGTAGGAGGGGAGGAGATGAAGAAGCCAGAGTGTCCCCTAGGGCCAGGAGCTGGAGGTTGGGAGGATGACTTAACTGCGGTTTTGGAGAAGGCCAAGTGTTAAATCCCGCCTCCCTCTCCCTTGGGCAGCTGTTTACCATTTACTCCTTGGCCATCAAGGCTGCTCTCAGCCAGCCTGGGAGACCCACCAGGGCTGGCGCTGGAGCACGTGTTGAGTTCAGGCTCTCCAGGGCCAGCCCAGGACTGGGATCAATTTCTAGCTCCGGAATATCTCTCAGGTCTTGTGTGGTCTCAGCTCTCAGTGCAGGGGATCGGGGCAGGGAGACGGAGGGGGCTGGGTTTCCTGAATCCCCATTTCCTGCCCTTTGTACATTTTAGCTCAGGGGCTGTAGCCCCAGTGCCAGGCAAGGACTGTGAGGGGTCTTGGTAGGTGAGGTTTGTATTTAGAATCCCCCACCTTCTTCTTCCCAGTGGGAACTCACCTTCCTGACAGGAGGGACAGGAGCCTTAGGGTAGGTGGCAGGGCAGTGGCTGTCTCAGAAGGAATGTGTGTCCAGTTTTTCTGCTGCAGATGGCAGTGGCTGGCCATGTGCCCAGCCCTGACCCCACCATCTCCCTCATAATGAAAACGCAGCGCAGGCTGCCTCCTTGGTGAGGTGCTTGGCAGAGCCTCAGAGCCCAGGCCCGCTCCTGGGGTCTTTTCTCCCGTCATCCGGCCCACTCAAACCCGGTTCCTGCTGGGAGGATCACGGGGTATCTTCCTGGTAACCAGGTAGGAGCTGCATTTCTTGATTTTTTTTGTTTCCTAGGAAATTTACCAAGTTTTGGCCCAGGAGTTTACACGTTCTGCCCCCTAGCAAAAGCTTTCACTATTCAAGCTCCAAATGGAAGCCACGGAGGCTATAATTACACCAGCACTAGCTCAGGAACCTGCTGAGAGGAGTGGGAACGGAGCACCTGGGGAACCTGGGGGCAGCCGCAGCCCTAAATTAGCTGCTGTTCCGCTTGCAGTTGCTAACCTCCTCTCTGGGGTCCCTCCTGTTGTCTCTCCTCACCTTGGCCCCCGGCCGCTCCACTCCTCCAGCCAGCAGCCAGCCAGCCTCTGACAGGTGCGTCCTACGGCTGGCCTGGGAGAGAACCTGTCCCTTAGAGGCAGTGTCCCCACAATAGCCCTTGTGTTGACAGGCATCCTGGGATCCTTCTGTCCTGGGCAGAATGGTTTGGTAGCAGCTCAAGGAATTGCCTGAGAGGCCACATGCCCCAACATGGCTGAAGGCCCTTGTCTTGGCATTCCTTGCCTTGGTTTCCATGTTCAGTCGTATTGAATTGCTTGCAGTTCCTCCCAGCGATTGCACCTGCTCCCCTCTGTGCCTGGGATCCTTTTTCTGCTGTCTTTACTTCCTCTGAGTCCTCCTGTAGGTTTCAGCAGTGATGTCACTGCTTCCAGGACCCCTCCCCCGGCCCCCACCAAGGTCTGGACAGGATGCTTTTCTCTCCACACCTGACTTCCCTGACACAGAACTCACATTGGCATGGGCTGCTCCTCCGTCCCTAGCTGTGTCTCTGGCAGGGTTGCAGCCTCAGTGTCTGGGGAAGTGCCTGGCACATAGTAGGTCCTCATTAAAGATATATTAATGGATTGATTGGGAAAACAAACCTTGATTCTCTTTCTGCCTTAATTTCCCCCAGCCTCCATTTTTGTAGTAAAAGGCTTATTTTTTTAAGAGTGGTTTTAGGTTCATAGCAAAATTGAGAGGAAGGTACAGAGAGTTCCCATCTACCCGCTACTCCTCCCCAGGCACAGCCTCTTCAACTATCAGCATCCCTCTATAGAGGGATGCATTTGTTAAAATTCTTGAACCTACATTGACACATCATTATGAGGCAAAGCCTAGAGTTTACATTAGAGTTCACTCTTGGTGTTGTACGTTCTGTGGGTTTGGACAAACGTCTAATGGCATGCATCCTCCATTACAGTATCATACAGAGTGATTTCATTGCCCTAAAAATGCTCCATGCTCTGCGTCTTCCTCCCCCACTCCCCACTGACTCCTGGCAGCCACTGATCTCACTGTCTCTGTTTTCCCTTTTTCAGAGTGTCATACCTTTACAATCATAGGGTGTGATACATGTCTCCTTTCATGTAGGTTTTCTCCGTGTCCTTTCATGATTTGATAGCTCATTTCCTTTTATCACAGAATAAGATTCTTTTGTCTGGATGTACCCTCCCCTCTTTTATTTTTATAACAAGAAGAGAGGGCACTTTTCTCTTTCTGCCTTTAAAGGGCTATTGTTGGCCAGGCACAGTGACTCATGCCTGTAATCCCAGCACTTTTGGAGGCCGAGGCGGGCGGATCACCTGAGGTCATGAGTTTGAGACCAGCCTGGCTAACATGGTGAAACCCTGTCTCTTCTAAAAATACAAAAATTAGCCGGGTATAGTGGCAGGTCCGTGTAATCCAAGCTACTCAGGAGGCTGAAGCAGGAGAATCTCTTGAACCCAGGAGGCAGAGGTTGCAGTGAGCCGCGATCACACCATTGCACTCCCGCCTGGGCGACAAGAGCAAAACTCTGACTCAAAAAAAAAAAAAAAAAAAAGAAAAAAAAAGACCATTGTTGGTCAGACAAAGTGTTGGGTGAATGGCTTAGTCTTCGTTGATCATCCCCCAAGTTTCAGGTCTGGGCTAGGCCCCACATGGTCCTGTGTTGATCACTGTTGCCTACTCTGTACCATTTTGCTTGCTTAATAATATTAGTCAACATTTTTTGAGCACTTACTGTAAAATAGACACTGGCCTAAATACATTTATTCCATCACCCCTTAAATACCTATTGCATAGCACCTGCCTGTCAAACACAGGGTACTAGGGACACAGCACTGAGCACAGCCCTGTCTTCCTGGAGCTTGTATTTGATGCAAACAAACAAATGAGGAAGTAAGTACATACCATGGCAGATAGTGATGAGTGCTGTGGGAAAAATAGGTCGGAGTAGGGGTACATGGAATGTGCATGGGGTGTTGTTACTATGTGTGGGGTGGTCAGGAAGGACTCACACATTAGGTAACATTTGAACAGAGTCTTGAAGTAGATGAGGAGAGTGGTTGTATGGCTGTGGTGGGGAGGGAGAGACTTCCAGGCCAAGGGGACAGTAAGTGCAAAGGCCCTGTGGCCACGCCGTGATGGGCGTGTTCCAGGAAGATCCAGGAGGCTGGGGTGGCTGGAATGGAGGGAAATGAGCCTGGAGAAAGGAATAGGAGGTGAGGCCATATACAGCCTTGCTGGCTGATGGAAATATAATATGCATCACATATATAATTCTACATTTGCTTGTAATCACAAAAAAGAAACAGGTGAAGTTATTTTTATTACTACATTTGTTTAACATCATAGATCAAAAATACCCCTTCGATGTGTAATCAAAGTAAAAATTTATGAGATACTTTACATTATTTTTTTCTTTTCTTTCTTTTTTTCTTTTTTTTTGAGACAGAGTCTCCCTTTGTTGCCCACTCTGGTGTGCAATGGTGTGATCTTGGCTTACTGCAACCTCTGCCTCCCGGGTTCAAGTGATTCAAGTGATTCTACTGCCTCAGTCTCCCGTGTAGCTGGGTGTAGTCCACCACATGTCACCACGCCCAGCTAATTTTTATATTTTTAGTAGAGACGGGGTTTTGCCATGTTGGCCAGTCTGGCCTCGAACTCCTGACCTCAGATGATCTGCCTGCCTCGGCCTCCCAAAGTGCTGGGATTACAGGCGTGAACCACCGTGTCCAGCCTACATAATTTTTTTCTTATTACATTTTCAAAATCTGGTGTGTGTTTCAAGGCCTTGTGTGAACATGTGAAATGACCCAGCCACATTTCAGGTTCAGCAGCCGTGTGTGGTGAGCGGACAGCATTTCAGAAAGCACAAATTGTTCTGTCACAGCAAATCAGACAGCACACATATAGAGGTGTGTAGGTCATGCTGAAGCCCCCGAATGAGCTGGGGAATCCAAGGGGGGCTTTGGAGCCTAGGAGCAATGGCTGTCTGCTGTAGGTTCTAGAAGGTTCTCTCCAGCTGCTGTGATGAGAGAAGATTGTCATGGGGTGGGGTATGGGGGCACAGGGCAAAGCAGGAGGCTGGGAGAAGGAGGCTCTTAACAGGCACAGTGTCGGTGGCTCAGATCCAGGTGGCAGCAGTGGCGGTGGTGAGAAGTGTCTGGATTCTGGCTGTATTTTGAAGGTGGAGCTGCCAGGGTTTGGCAGTGTATGAATAAGAGTCAAAGAAGCGCCGAGAGTTTTGGCATGGGCTACTGGAAGGATGCAGTTGTTTCCAGCAGGGTGAGGAAGACTGTCATAAGTGGAGGGAAGCCCCAGGTTTTGGGGGGAAATACGGGGTTGGGTTTGGATGTGTCAAGTGTGAGATTTGGGTATTAGGCTTGCAGCTAGAGGTGTTGAGTTGGCAGGTAGACAGATAAGTCTGGGGCTCAGGGCAGAGGTCTCGTCCGGGGGTATAAATCTGGGGGTTGGAAGCACAGTGATGGTGTTTCAGGCCATGAGATGAGTCCCAGGGAGCAGGTGCATGTAGAGAAAAGGAGACTGAGCCCTGGGTATGGAAGACGGGACCAGCAAAGCAGGCTGAGGAGGAGACTGTGGGGAGGTGGCAGGGAGCCCAGCAGAGAGTGGAAGGAGGCAGGAGGGAGGAATTGGCTGTGTCCAGTGCTGCTGATGGGCTGAGGGAGATGAGGCCTGTGGATTCCTGAGCATCCATCAGACAGGTGGGGCCAAACACCAGGCTGAAGCAGGTCTAAGAGAGAATGGGAGGAGAGCAAGGGACAGGTGGTGTAGACAACTCGATTGAGGGGTTTTGCTTTCAAGGGGAGCAGAAAAATGGAGTGGTAGCTTAAGAGGGGTGTGTGGTCACGAGGAGGTCTTTTTTTAATTGAAGATGGGTGATGTAATAGCTGATGGGAATGGTCTAGAAGACAGCAAAATCATGATGTAGGGGAGAGAGAAAAAAATGAGCTGTCTCATTCATGCTTACAAAGGCCCTATGTGGTAGATACCAGTTTGCAGACAAGGAAACTGAGGCAGAGGTTCAGCCATTTGTCCCAGGTCACAGAGCCAGTAAGTATCAGGGCCAGGAGTTGAACGCCGATGGCTGAGCTCTAGAATGCCCAGTCTTGGCTATTGTGCTGTTCTCCTCTTGGTTTTCTGGCTGGAGTTGTGAGCTCTTCCAGAGTGGGCCCTCCTCTTGCGCTTTTATATCTAACACGGCACCCTGCAGAGGGCTGTGCAGAGGTAGGACCTGATCAATCTTTAATGGGCAAGTGATTAGAACACCAGGAACTGTGTGCTGTAAGTGGTCAGTCAGTCACCTGGCCCACGTGAGAGGGACGTGTGACCTCAGCCTACCTCCTCACCCCAAGTCCTTCCCACCACCTTGCGGGACCTTGTGTGGAGAGAGTGGTGCTCAGGAAATACTGGAAAGCATTTGTAGGGTGGGTGAAGAATGGATGAGGAGCTTAGACCAACGGTTCTCGCTGGCATAACTGCACTACTGGGTGTGACTCGGGTTCCTGTGCTGGGCAACCTTGGGCAGGCCCCTTGCCCACACAGTGCTTCAGTTTCCTTATCTGTAAAATAACAAGGTTGGGTGAGGTGATCTCCCATCTGGCTCTCACCAGAATTCCTCAGGAGGGCATGTGTGTGCTGTCTGCACCCAGGCTGCTGACAATCCCATCATGAGCATTGTCTGACCCCAAATGCCAGTGTCCTGCTGGTGGGTGCACGGGGGCCCCCTCGTTGTATGACGCTGAGCCAGTCACTTTATTTCCCATATTTGTAAACAGGGCCATACACACCTGGTTGCTTGCCTTTTAGGCTTGTGATGAATTTTAAGTCCACTATTGTCCTAGATTGCCATGGTACAGCTCACCCTGCACCAGCTGCTTCCTAAGCGCTCCCTCAACCTGTATATTAACTCCTTTACTCCTCACCACAGCTTTAGGAGGTAGGTCCTGTGAAGTGATCCCCATTTCGCAAAGGGGGAAACTGAGGCACAGAGCAGGCACATGGAAGCATATCGAGTACTGGGAGACATCTTCCAGTGAGGGGGCAGCTGTGTCCTCCTCATGCTTGTGTGGCCTCTGACCTGCTCTCTTGTTCCTCCTCCAGGGACAGGGGCAGACCCGGTGGTCAGCGCCAAGAGCAACCATTGCCTGGATGCTGCCAAGGCCTGCAACCTGAATGACAACTGCAAGAAGCTGCGCTCCTCCTACATCTCCATCTGCAACCGCGAGATCTCGCCCACCGAGCGCTGCAACCGCCGCAAGTGCCACAAGGCCCTGCGCCAGTTCTTCGACCGGGTGCCCAGCGAGTACACCTACCGCATGCTCTTCTGCTCCTGCCAAGACCAGGCGTGCGCTGAGCGCCGCCGGCAAACCATCCTGCCCAGCTGCTCCTATGAGGACAAGGAGAAGCCCAACTGCCTGGACCTGCGTGGCGTGTGCCGGACTGACCACCTGTGTCGGTGAGTGCCGCGGCAGCCCCGGTGGTGCTGGCAGGAGGGCGCTTGCATTGCCAGGCTGTGTTTTCCTTTCTCTGCATTCCTTGGGTGCATCGAATTATGACCCTGAGTCCAGCAGAAAGGGTGTCAAAAAGGGTAAAACTGACTTGGACATGTGCAAAATGAATTTTCCATTTCATTCATCCATTCATCCATCCATCTACTTCTTTATTCATTCATTTGTTCATTCATTCACTCAGAACAGGTTTATCATTTGCTTACTTTGTGCTCAGCTGGGGAAACCAAAATGAACAACCCAAGGAGCTTATAATTTAAAACCACAGACTCCTTGAGTCTTGGAATGAGAGACCTTTGGGTGCAGTGGCTCATGCCTGTAATCCCAGCGACTCAGGAGGCTGAGGCAGGAGGATCACTTGAGGCCAGGAGTTTGAGACCATCCTGGGCAACATAGCAAAACTCAGTCTCTACCTATATATGTGCGTGTGTGTGTGTGTGTGTGTGTATACACACACACACACATATATACACATATATATACTTACATATATTATATAGAGCTAAATTTCAGCTCAGTATAACCATGCATACCCCCCAAAACTACCTTCCTAATAATGAGGCTACTATGTTGGTAAGCACTTACTATGTTCTAGGCTCTGCGCTAAGCTTTGGACCTACGTTATGTCATCTAACGTTCACAATAACCCTGTGACGTGGGTATTTTTACTCCTATTTTATAGGTGAAGGGATGGAAGGTCAGGAAAATTTTGTAAACTTGCTCAAGGTTACATAGCTAATGAGTGGTAAAGACAGGATTCAAAGCTAGGACCGTCCGACTCCAGGACCCATTCCTCACCCTGAAACTAGACTGGATCAGACCTGAATACAGAGTGAGCTGGCTTTATATATATATAAAAGGGACTTTAGACAATTTAGTCCCACTTCTGAAGAAAGTTTCTGCCTAATATCCCAACGTAGGTCACGTGGCTATCAGGAAAGGTGCTCTCATAAAACGAAGAGCCAGCTCACTCTGTATTGAGATATGATCCAGTCTCAATGATCATATGAGTGAGGAATGGGTCAGGGTGAGGAATGGGTCCTGGAGTCGGACGGTCCTAGCTTTGAATCCTGTCTTTACCACTCATTAGCTGTGTAACCTGGAGCAAGTTTACAAAATTTTCCTGACCTTCCGTCCCTTCACCTATAAAATAGGAGTAAAAATACCCACGTCACAGGGTTATTGTGAACGTTAGATGACATAACGTAGGTCCAAAGCTTAGCGCAGAGCCTGGAATATAGTAAGTGCTTACCAAGTGTAGCCTCATTATTAGGAAGGTAGTTTTTTTTTTTTTTTGCAGGGGGAGGGGCGGGTGGTGGTGCATGGTTATACTAAGTTGAAGTTTGGCTCTATATAATTCTCACATTTGTCCTTTTTGTTTGCTAAGTATTTATTGAGACTCTGTTGTGTGCAGTTCTTGGTCCTAAGCCCTGAGAATACAGGGGAAACAGACAAAGGGAGTGGTAATCCCAATTCAGTGGGATGAGGCTGTGGGCTCCCAGAGGAGAGAGCACAGGAGAGGGGCATCTGCCATATCCTGGGTGTCCAGGGGAGGAGGGGGCCTTGACCTGAGCCTTGGGAAACAAGGAGGAGAAAGCCAGGGAAGAAGCCTGTTGGAAAAGCATGGCACAGGGTGGAAGTGGGAGAGGGCCTGGGCTCTGGGGAGCTGCAGGTGTTGGGCACATGTAGAGTGGGCCGTGATGGGAGGCAAGTCGGGGGAGGCTGTTGGAGAAATGGGGATTGTAGTGGGTGCAGGTGTTTATAGATAGCCTGTTGTGTTGTGGACACTGTTCTAGAGGCTTTCTGTCTCATTTAATCCTTGCGACAAAACTGAGGTAGGTGATATTATCTTTATCTGTCAATGAGGAAACATCTGGCAAGTTACAGAGAAAGTAACTTGCTGAAGGTCACACAACCATACATTTCAGAGTCGGATTCCAGCTAAACTGCTTCTTTCCAGTATTATTGAGTGCTCCAGACTAAGATAGTGAGTGTGGGTGTGGAGAAAACTGGATTATTTCAGAGGAGATTGGGAAGTGGCCTTGATGGGGCTAGGTGACTGGCTGAAAGTCACCTGGAGATAGAACCCTGGTGGCGAGAACTATTTCTGTTTTGTTTACTCCACACCCTGTCCTGCATGTAGAGCCTGGCACTTGGTGAGCATTCCATAAGGTTAGTTGAATGGATAAATGAATGATGTCTACCATGTTTCCTAGTTGAGTAATTCTGGGGAGATGGAGCCATTCAGTGGGGGTGGTATTGGACATGCAGCATTTGAGGGGCCTGGGGGACTATTGCCACCTTCATGGCAACACATAGGGGGCACTTGGACTTGTGGGTCTCGACCTCAGTAATGAGGCTGGAAAGAAGAGATGGGTTTGGAAGTTATTGAGTACTTTGCTGGTGATTAAAGCCACAGCAGTAAATGAAATGGCCTAGGAGGGGTTGCTAGAGCTCAGGAGGGAGTCTGGGCTGGAGATGCCTGAAGATTTGGGCATCCTCAGTGTTTAAGTGATAAGGCTTGGAGCGAACGGTGGAGGCAGAAATCTACTGGAAACACCAGTGCTTAAGGGAGGGGCAAAGGAAGTAGGATGTGAGACTGGAAGGGAAGGGGGTTTCAGAGGGAGGAGGTGACTGAGCTGTGGTGTCTCACAGAGTGTGTATATGTGTGTGCGCATGTGTGCATGTGTATGTGTATGCCTGTGTGCATGTGCATGTTTATGTGTGTGCATGCGTGTGTGTGTGTGTGTGTGTGTGTGTGTGTGTGTGTGTGTGTGTGGTGGAAGATGGACCGCAGTGGGCCCGGCCTGGCAGGGAGGCAGAAGTAGAGGCATTGGGTACAAACCACCTTCTTCAGAAGGAACCAGGGCCAGGGCCAGGGACCGCAGAGAGATGGGAGATGGGGAGGAGAGCTGGGGCCCTGTGCACACTGAAGGGGAAGTGGTACTTTGTTTGGTTTGCAGACCAAGCTCTCCTGGAGTTCGGAGAGGGGCCTGATCCCAGAGCTAGCTGCAGGGCTCAGGGAAAGCTCTGTGAAGAAGGTGGGTTTTTCTCTTTTGCTTACTTAAAAAAATATATCTTATTGCCTACACAAACCGATTGAGGCGATTGAAGATGAAACTATGCATACCACAATGAGGAAGGCCAGCCTTAGAGAGGAGGAGGGAGCAGATGTGGCCACGCTGCCATTTGCCACAGTGACTGAACTTGAGCTCCGAGCTTCCTGGATGCTGGGATAAAGGGGAGGCTTGATGGACCAAATAACTCCCCCAAACAGGATAGATGGGAGCATGATTTGAGACACATTCGCTTCTTCTTCTGAATGCTAAAATGACCTTGGGGGCTGCATCCTACACAGCTGCGTGGAATGATGGAGCAGACCGGAACTGGGCCTTGAAGGGGCTGGAAAAGACCAGGATGAATCCAAGCCCAGGACCCAAGCGTAGGAGTGGGCTGGGTGCGCTCAAAAGCTGGAGGACTGCAGGGGGCCTGGAATCAAGCTGCTCAGGTGTCTGAACTAGGCATCTCAGGTAGAGGAGTGGCTGGGACAGGGCACCCATTTTATTAGTATTGCTTTAAGGAAGGGTGGATAATGTGACAATGGAGTGGACAGCTCCTACCAGGCCTGCAGCCCTGAGATGGGGGAGTTTGGAGCAGGGTAACTTGTGGCTTGGAGAACGTCTGTGTCAGTTTAAAGAACTAGAAGCATTTTTTCTTTTTCCTTCTCTTTTTTTTTTTTGCTTTTCTGGAGGTGGGGGAAGCTAGGAAACAGGAGAATCAAGTGATACACTTCACACAGTGGAACCAGAAACGGCGTTGAAACAGGGCTAAGTATTGGGAGGGTCAGGACTGAGGAATCCTGGGAGCTGAGGGCTGACAGTTTCTGAGGTGTGCTGAGCCAAGCAGATGAGCTTCTTGCACTGGGAAATAAATTTAAACAATGGAGACTCCAGGGCCCACAAGCAGTGCTATGTCTGGATTATTGAATTAGGTACATGGCTCACTTTAGGAGGCCTGGGATCCTGAGTAGGAAATTCTGATTGCTCCAGGATGTGGCTGGGTGAGCTCCTGATCTTGAAGCAGGGCATTCTTCCAATCCCTCTTTCCCTATCTCCCACCAACACACCCATCTGCATGCAAATTTCAATGTGGTCCCGAAGAGGTAGGGAAGGAATGAGGGCGGAACCTGCATTAGGAAGAGTCTGGCACGAGCATGGAGAAGTGCCCTTTAGGGAACCTTGTGCATGATGGAGAGTTGAGGTTTGGGGCGGGGTGCATTGAGACATGCATCCGGAGCCACAGAGACTGAGATGCACAGACACTGCAGGTGATGGATGGAGGTTGCTGTGGTGGTGCCCCAGAGTCAGGGGACCTACCTTTACTCTTCACTTGCCTGGGGCCTCCTGCATGGTCTTCAGTGGGCTATTTCACTCCTCATGCCCTGGGGGGCTCTTCATCGATCAAATGAGGATGCTGAACCAAGTCATCTGTAGGGACCCCGAGGTCTTACAAGTCTATGGTTCTGATTCTGTTGAAGCAGTTTTCCTGTCTGCTTTCTCCCTCTGCTCCTGCCCTCTCCACTAGAGGTTATTTTACTGGAGAGATGAGCTCTTGGTATAAGGGGAAATGACTCAGCCAGCCTCATCAGGGTGGATGGTGTGGGAGCAGGTATTTGAAGGGCCCTTCTCACCAGGCTCTTCCCTGGGCCGGGCCTGGAAGGAGAGGAGTGGCTTCTTTCTACACTCTTGCAGGCCTGACTTGCCAACCCAAGTGTCACTGTCCCCAGAATCCACAAAAGTGCTCAGTTGTCCTATGGATGCCCGTTGTTAGCATCAGAGGTGACAGGTGGCTCAAGGGGGCACCTGGAGAGCAGGAAGCTGGGTCATGGCTCTCGACTGTGCCTGGGAAGGGGTGCACTTCCTCCTTTCCCTGGTTTGACTTCCTCCAGGTTTCTGACCGCAGGTGGAAATCTTCATTCTGAAAATGGGAGAGCCCAATGCCAGGGTGTTTGCAGCAGGAATTGCAGAACCCCCAACCTGCCTTTGCTGGTACTTTAATGAATGAAGCCGGCCTTGATGGGTGTCCTGGGAAAGCCTCTCTGGGCTTGTGACTCTGGAAGTAAGGCCCCAGCCCTTGGCATCTCCTAGGAGCATGCCCATGCTGCAGTGCTACAGCACCCGGCCCTGATACAGCCAGGCCTGCTTGGCCCCTGTGGTCCCTCCTCCTGCTGAGGGAGTTGGCCTAGAGATGCCCAGGCCTCCTGCAGGGGGAATCTTGGTGGAGGATTCTTGGGGGAAGCTCTTCCAGAGCCGACCTCACCTGGCACCACATGAAAGCAAGCACATCGATTCGCCGTGTGGCACACTGCGTGGCAGGCCTTGTCCGTCACCCGTGTGAGATTTAGCAGGCTCTGCATGCTGTCTTATTAAATGTCACCAGCGATAAAGTGTTGGAGGGTTCCTTTGATCTAGGGTTTAAAGATGCCTTGGTTAAACAAGGATATCTGCTTGCTGGGCCTCGGGGTTTTGGGAAGCACTTCTGAATCCTCCCATCATCCTTTGAACTCAGAGCAGTTTGGGGTCAGTGGCTGAGGATGGAGCCTCTGGGAGTGGAAGCTTTGGGCTCTACTGACAGTTCCACCTGGCTTTGAAGTTGCATCTCAGGAACCTTGGCTTATGTCTTTGGCCTTTGTCTGGTTCATATCGCACGAGCCTTAGGGCTGTGGACTTAAGCTAAGTGAGCATCTAGGGATAGGTCAGGAGAGACGTTTCCTTTAAAAGCCTTCTGATAAGGAGCCTGGAAAGCCTGGAGAACTTCTTGGAATGCATCCATGGCATTTGGCTGGATTCATTCCAGCCCCCACAGTGGGCCAAGATCTACATTTTAAAAACACAGTCTTTCGGTTTTTACCCTCTCAGCTTACAGCCATTGCAAAGATGGGCTCAGATTGTGTGTGTGTGTGTGTGTGTGTGTGTGTGTGTGTGTTGGTGGTGGTTGGGGGGTCGTGGGAGGATGATTCTGTTGTTCTCTAAACTGTGTCCCTACCAGGCCTCATTTGGAAGCGGTCCTCTGAAATGCCCTGTTCCTCTTAGTCTGCCAAGAGAACATAAATAACTCCTTGCTGGCTCCGTGCCATCTCCTGGGCTGTAATTTAACCTCTGGGTGCTGAGGATGTGTATAAATAGATTCCAGCCTGGAGCTACCCTGGCAACCTGGGCCCTTTCCTGCAGTGGACACTGCCCTTGTCAGAGAGGCTTGTTGGGAAGCAGAGGAAGTTGGGCTCACCTCCCTCAAGGCTGTCCTCAGGGGGTGGGAAGGAGTCCCTTCCACACACTCTCTTTCTTGCCCAGCATGGGGGGTGTTCAGTATCTTCAGGCAGTGTGGATGGACAGGTCTGGGTTTGATTCTTGGCTCCTTGGGACTGTCCCTCAGCTTAATGGCTTTCCATAGGATCTGTTGGCTGATGTTTTTAGCAGATCATCTCTAAATGGCAGCAAGTGGTTACTTGCACGGGGTTACGTGGGCTGTGGTGCTTCCAAGCCTTCACTCCCTTTAAAGTAGAGGTCCTTGAATATCTTGAAATTATACAGAAAGTTTTGTGTGTATTTTCTAGAAAGAAATTTGTTGCCTTCATTAGATTTCCTAAGGGTTCCTTGATCTCTCAAAGCATAGGAACCTCTTCCTTCTCTAGATGACCAACTTGGATTGGCTCCCTAGAGAAGGATTTTGAGTCTGGCTCCTGGCTCAGTAGCAAAGAGGGCTGTGATTGATTAGCGATGCCTGCCACAGGCATAGGAGGGGCAGCATGGATGTTCCACGGAACCCAGCCAGTCCTCCCTGGGGCCAGCAGATTATCTATAGCGGGAGGAGTGGGGGTCCTGGGACTATTTCTTTATTAATTTCACTACTCTTTATTGGTCATCCACTTTGGGCCAGGCATTGTGTTCGATTGGGGGAGTTAATGAAGTAGGTAGAGCTTGTCCTTGCGGCACTTAGAACCTAAGGAGGGGACTCTTTGTCAATCTTGTCTGTGGTGGGAGAGGAGCCCCACTACCATTGTAGCTACAATTGTGTAGAAGATAGCTTTTCACTCAGGTTCTCTTGAAATCCCAATTCTACTAGGTCTTCCCTGGGTAACCCTGCTGGCATTGCAGAGCAGCCCTTGCTTAGGGGAGATGAGTCACAGAAAAGTAAAATCTCGCTCAGGGGCCCATCTGGCCTTGAGCAGTGCCCAGAGTCCAATAGCCACATCCAGCCCCAGAGCAAAGCTGTGCAGAGGAGTGTCGGGGGGAAAAGGCCACCCCCTTCCTGAAGAACCTAACTGCAAGGAGCCGAGACCCTGAGATCCAGTTTCCCCTTGGGGATCCCATGTGGCTGCTGTTGCTGGTCTCAGTAGGGGCTCTGCTCACTCTTTAACTCTGGGCCAAGGGTCCCCGAGTGACCCTCCCTGGAATTTCCCGCGACATGTTGAGACAAGGCTGGAATACTGGATATTACTTTACTAAAGGCTCTGGGGAAATAAACACAGAGAGAAGCTCCAAATCAGAGCTCTAGTTTACAAGATAGGATTCATGCTTCACCCTGCTGTGGCTGCTACTGCTTGGCAGGGCTGCACAGAGCCTTCACCTTAACTTTACAGGCTTCTCTCAAGGCATCTGGGCTCCAGAGGCTCACACCCCAGGTGGATGAGATGCGGATCCTGTTTGGCTAAGGCTCCCACTTGTGGAGTTGTGCTTGAGGACCCAGGCATCTCTGAGTGGTTGGGGAGGAGTGACCCATTCGTGGCAGGTCACTTACACAGGGAGAATCCGAATGCAAGCCAGCATAGTTTGTTTGTACCAGAGGCCTCACCTACAACTGGGCGTGTGTTTGTTCACACAGGGGCAGACACACTTTCAGCCACCCTGGTCTTGCATTGTTCACACTGGCTCCCTGAGTATTTCTGCTTTCACTCACTGGCATGGACTGTCTCCTTGCCTGGTATCTTAGTCAGTACAGGCTGCTGTAACGGAATATCATAGACTGGGTTGCTTCAACAGCAAACATTTACTTCTCATAGTTCCAGAGGCTGGAGATCTGAGATCCTGGCTGGGTTCTTGATGGCACCTTGATCCATAAAGGCCCTGTGATGAGGGCCTTTTTCCTGGTTACGTCCTCGTATGGTCTTTGTTGATGTGTGCACGCAGAGGCAGAGGAGAGAAAGAGAGAGATCAATCTGTTGTCTGTTCCTCTTCTTATAAGGCCACTAATCCCGTCATGAGGGCCCCACCGCCATGACCTCATCTAACCCTAATCACCTCCCAAAGGCCCCATCTCCAAATACCATCACGCTGGAGATTAGGGGTTTAACATATGAATTTTGGGGAGACACAAACACTACATTCATAACATCTAGACTTCCCCTCCATCAAGCCTGTTTGGCTCCCATTCTGTATCTTCCCCTGGTCCCTGCTTTTCCAGACACTCTTTAGAACTTGTCTGTATCCTTCCTGTGACATCACGTGGCTTTCCTTTAATATTTTTCTTCCCAATCAGTCCTCTGTTTTTAAATATTCTCATTTTATATTACTACCTCATTGGCATCTTTCTTTCTTTCTTTCTTTTTTTTTTTTTTTGAGATGGAGTCTTGCTCTGTCACCCAGGCTGGGTGCAGTGGCATGATCTTGGCTCACTGTAACTTCTGCCTCCTTGGTTCAAGCGATTCTCCTGCCTCAGCCTCCTGAGTAGCTGGGACTGCAGGTACGCACCACCACACCTGGCTAATTTTTGTATTTTTAGTACAGACGGGCTTTCACCATGTTGGCCAGGCTGGTCTTGAACTCCTGACCTCGTGATCTGCCTGCCTCAGCCTCCCAAAGTGCTGGGATTACAGGTGTGAGCCAGTGGGCTTGGCCAGCTTATTTCTTTAACAGCTGTTTGTTGTGTGCCCACTCTGTGCCAGGCACCATGCTAGACACTGGCTACCCCCTGGAGAATACAGTGTCAGTGGTCTCTGCCCCCTTGGAGCTGACAGTCTGATGGAGGAGGCAGATGGTGAGCAAGCACACAGACAAGCATCTAGATAATGCTGCCGAAATGAGCAGGATGTGGAAATAGAGAATAACAGGGGCAGAGAGGGGGAATCTGCTTGGCCAGGAAAAGTTTATCTGCAAGATGACATTTAAACTGAGACCTGAGGAATGGGGAGCCTGGTGTCAGACCAAGGGAGAAAGAGCATCACGTGCAGAGGGCATAGCATGTGCAGAAGTTTGCAGGAGGGAAAGGGGGGAAAGGTGTGGCTGGGGCAGCGGGGCTCAGAGAGAGATGCACAGGTTGAGGTTGGGAGGCAGGCAGGGGCCAGATCACTCGGGGCCTCACAGGCCACAGCAAGGAGTTTGGACTTCTGAGTACAGTTGGAAAGGAGCTTCTGAAGCCAAGCAGTGCATTGTGAAAAACTGTGATAAGAAAGATTACTCTGGCTGCTGTGTGGAGAATTAAGGGAGGAGGCGAGAACGACTGCAGAGAGGCCAGGGAGGAGGTTATTTTAGAATAACTGGATCAGAGATGATGGCCACTCAGCCCAGGGTGGTGGCCAGGTGGAGAGAGATAAGTGGATAAATTGGAGATATTTCGGAGGTAGAAGTGATATACCTGGTCTGTGGCCTGAGGGTGATGGAGGAGCTCAAGGATGACTCACCGGCTTCTGGCTTGAGCAGCTTGGTGGTGATGGTGTAACATTCTGAGATGGCGAAGGCCTGGCGGGAGATAAATCAGGAGTTCCATTTTGGGCATGTTAATTTCGAGATGCCTTTGAGACATTCATATCTGGTGCTTGACTGAGGTTGTAAATTCTGGGGGCATTAGCGTATTTATGGCATTTAAAGCTAGAGGAATGGGTAGGATTCTCCTAGGGAGAGTCTGGGTGGAGAGGAGGCACTGGGAACCTGCCTGGCACCCTGTCAGTGCCCAGTAGTGCTGGATGCTGTTATTATGGTATTCTAGGAGTCAAAAGAATGTGTTCTGAAAAAGAGGGAATGGATAGCCGTGCCGTATGCTGTAGAGAGGTCTGGAAGGATGAGGACACCTGGGTCACCATTGGATTTGGGGACGTGGAGGGCCTTGGTGACTCTTACACAGAAGTTTTGATGGATTGGTGATTACGGAAACCTGATCGGGGCTAGAGAAATGTTGGCCAGTTGGTTGGTTAGAGCTTTCTGGGAAAGACATTAGTGGAAAGGGAAGATGTTTGCCCTTTGGGTGGAGACATGGCTGAGGAGAGCTCAATAGCAGTTTGGCTTTGATGGCTGAGGAGAGCTCAACAGTGGTTTGGCTTTGGGAAGTGTGGAGTGAGGTCGAGGAAGGCAGGAGAGTGAGAGTGACCCTGCCATTGCAGAGGAGCCAGTCCCAGCTGCTCTGTCATCACACTGGGCAAGTCTCAGCCTTGGGACAGACTCTAGTGTGGGGAGCACACCACTGTTGGTCTTTGATACTGACTCTGTCCACTGCACTGTGCTTAGGACCCTAGAATGTCCCACCCGCCATGTCCTCCCTGGGCTTGGAGGGGCCACGATATGGCTGCCACCAACTCAGCTTCTCCTGCTATGGCTAAAAGAGTCCTTCAGGTGTGGGAAGAGACTCTTCTCCACATCACTGTGCTCTTGTGAGCAACCTTGATGGCCCAGCCCCTTAGAGAAGCCAGCTCTCGGGCTGCCCAGAGGAGCCTTGCTTTTCGGCTTTCAATCTTCCTCCTCGAGGAGGTGTTTGAACAGTGCAGGGGCTGTTGGAGAGGTGCCCCTGGCTCCTGCAGTGGAAGTCCTGCCCAGGATGTTTTGAGGATGTGGCCTTTCCCGTGGCAGCCTTGGGATATGCTCTGCCTTCCACGTGGGCATCCCCAGGGGGGAGGCAGCCCTGCTCTCCTTCTTGTGAAGTGGCTTGTGGCGCCTGGGTGTCCTGGATCCAGCTCTCAGCTTCAGGGCCCTTTTGGGGTCTCTCATGGAAGACTCAGAGGCCTCATGCAGGTAGCCCTGTTATCTCAGGGTTCTCTAAATGTGTTACTTAATAAGAGGACAAAGTCAAGTCAGGGGGAAGGGGTCCTGGATTAGGAGTTACACTAAATCCTCACACTATCCCTGCCGATAACTAACTCTGTGATCTTGATGGAAATTAGGGTGAGTTGCTTTGTTAGGTAGTGAGTTCCCCATCCTCAGGTGCAGAGGCTGGAGGTCCTCTTGCCAGCATTAGAGGAGTGTCAGGGAAGGGGTGTTGGAGGTGAGTGGGCACATCAGATCACTACTGGCATCCTCCTGCTTAGAGCAGAATGAGGACATTGACTTATGAGCAAAGGAGCAGTGAGCTATTTGCTCTTCATATAGAGGGAGAGGGAAATTTGGAGATCACTGTCCCTACTCTCCCTGGTCCAAGACACATTCTCTGAGTCCAGGAGGAACCCTTCGGAGCATGTGACCCTTCTTCCCTCCATCCATGGGGGTGCACTGTGATCTCTGGGACGTGCCCAGGAGAAGAATCCTGATGAGCTGGGGTCAAATAGATGCTCACTCAGCAGCTGCAGGAGCTGGGCATGTTCTTCACAGCACGGAGCTCCTGTTTTCCTTGTCAAAATAAGGACAGTAGCACCTCCATGGAAGCTCTGGAGTCCATTCAGGAGGCCTTTCGTGGAGCTCTGTGTCTGGGAGCCTTGCACCTGGGATGCTGGAGTGAACCGCAGACCTTCCCTAAGGCGCCCACAGGCTTGCCCTGGCTGTCACATGCGGGGCCGGCCCCCACAGGCTTGGTGGGGTTGTTGAGAAGGCCTCTTGGAGGTGATGTCTAAGCTGGGTTTGAAGGAGGAGTAGGCCTATACTAGGAGGAGGCCCTTCTCTCTGTTCCTTGCAGAGGGCACATGCGTGTAAAACTAGAGGTACCCCAGAGGAAAGAGGGACCCAGCTCACAAAGCCGTGGACTCTGGGCCAGGGAGTCTGATTTTCCCCAGAAGACGGTGGGGAGCCATGAAGTATTTTAAGCAAGAGATAGACATGATTCAACTAGTGTTTTAGAAAGATCCCTTTGGCCGCTGTGTGCAGATGAGTTGGAGGAGAGCAAGGCTGGAGACAGAGACTCCCTTAAGGAAGCTGAAATGTGATGGAGTCTGAGATAGGACCAAGGCAGAGGGCAGAGGGCAGACGGTACGTGCTCAGAGACCTTCAGAGGTCAGCTCCCAGGGCCTCACTGGATGCAGACAGTGAACGGGGGAGCTTGGGATGGTGCTAAGGTCTGTGGCCTGGTGGCCAGCTGGCTGGTGATGTTGTCACCTGAGAAAAGGGGGTGGGGAAGAGGGGAGGAGGAGGAGGGGGAGGAGGAGGAGGGGGAGGAGGAGGAACGGGGGAGGGGGATGAGGAGGGGGAGGGGGATGAGGAGGGGGAGATGGTGGTCCTTGTCTGGCATGGAGGGACAATGTTTGGGTTTCAGACTTATTTGAAAGCCTTTGGAACATGCAAGAGGAAATGTCAAATCCAAAAAGTGTTTGTGTGTCTGCGAGTTTGGGAGAGAGGCAGGGGCTTGGGATGGAGATTATGGGATTAAGGGAAATAATGCATGAAAAGCAGCGAGCATCCGGCCCGGCACACAGGCACATGGTAAACATCATTCCTTCAAAGAGTGTTTCAGCTCGTTTGGGGAGACAGGGCTCACCCGTGTGAACCACTGTTAACTATGAAGAGGAGGCCCTGTTTGATTAGGTGTTGTAAGGATTAAACTGCTCGATGTAGGCATTCTGAGAAGGGAAGCTGTGAGGCTGGGAGAGCCAGGGAGAGTGGTGTGGAGACAGGGTCCTGCGGCGGGGACCAGAGGGAGGGAGGCTGTCTTGGGCGGAGGCTTCTGGGAGAAGAGGACAGGAGGGGGAGGCAGGACTGAGCCTCCTGGACGGCGGGACTGTACTGCTCAGGGCTGAAGGTGCCGGCTGAGGGAGGAGAGTCTGTGCGCGTAAGGTTGGAGCTTTGGGATGTCCTGGAAGACACTGAACAGGCAGGGGCTCCCCTGTTCCTCCCAGGCACCACACCTACCAGTCCTCAATTCCAGCCAGCTCAGGGTTCTCTAAAGGTGTTGCTTGATAAGAGCATGAAGTAGAGTCAGGTGGAGGGGGTCCTAGATTAGGAGTTACACTAAATCCTCACACCACCCCTTTTTTTTTTTGAGACGGAGTCTCACTCTGTCGTCCAGGCTGGACTGCAATGGCGTGATCTTGGCTGACTGCAACCTCCACCTCCCAGGTTCAAGCGATTCTCCAGCCTCAGCCTCCCAAGTAGCTGAGACTATAGGCACGCGCTACCAATGCCTGATTAATTTTTGTATTTTTAGTAGAGATGGGGTTTCGCCATGTTGGCCAGATTGGTCTTGAACTAATTCTATGATCGTGTTGGAAATTAGGGTGAGTTGCTTTGTTAGGTAATGAGTTCCCCACTCTCAGAGGGGCAGAGGCTGCAGGCCCCCTTGCCAGCATCAGAGGAGTATTGGGGAAGGGGGCTCTTTTAGGTCCCTTCTGAGCATGTGTAACTCGGACCTGCTGTTTCTTGGGACAGGTGAAAGGAATAGATGATGTGCTCTTGGAGGCCTCCCCTCCCCTCCCCTCTCCTCCCCTCCCCTCCCCTCCCCTCATTTCTTCCTTTCCTTCTTTTCTCTTATTTTTTCTCCCTAATTCTCAAAATGAAATTCACTTTACTGCTTTGTTGATTATAAAAGCCCTATGTGCTCATTATAAAAATAATTTCAGGACAGAGCACAGTAGCTCATGCCAGTAATGCCAGCACTTTGGCAGGAGGATTGCTTGAGGCCAGGAGATTGAGACCAGCCTGGGCAACATAGTGAGACACTGTCTCTATTAAAAATACAAAGGAAAAAATTAGCCAGATACGGTGGTGCCTGCCTCTAGTCCCAGCCACTTGAGAGGCTGAGATGGAAGGATCGCTTGGACCCAGGAGTTCGAGGCTGCTGTGAGCTATGATCTTGCCACTGCATTGCAGCCCAGCAACAGAGTGAGACCCTGTCTCTGAAAAATTAAAAAAAAAATCGGACAAGACAGAAAGGTATACCTAAAGAAACTAGAAATTATCTTCAATCCTAACACCCCAAAATAAGCCATGGCTAACATTTTGGAGAATGTAACTTGCAGCTATTTTTTTAGGTGCATATACATATTTGAACAAAAATGATGTCACACAGTATGTGTTGTTTTGTAGGCTATTTTTTTTTCTCTCTAAATACATTGTTAACATTTTCCCACTGGCTTTTTATGAGAGTCTGTTTTTTCCTGATGGGTGTGTGTCCCTGTGGATGCTTGAACAGCTTGGCTTTGCACACTTGTCCATCCACTCTCATTGAAGAAATGCGTGTCTGGACCTGAGCCTGCCAGATGGTAGGGAACAGCCATGTGCTAGGCTTTCCAGGGGAAGGGTATGCGCAGGCAGTAAGACCCTCAGAGAGCTCTTGGATCCCCAACGTGGGACTTCCCAAGGTGAAGGGAGGAGAGGGAGCCCGAGTGAACCAGTGGTCTTCACAGCAGGTGGGGAGTGTTTCTGGGCAGTTTCAGTTTCTTGAAAGCAACAAGAATGTGGCCAGGTGCTTTAGCTTACACCTGGAATCCAAACACTTTGAAGAGGGAGGCAGGAGTTCAAGAGCAGCCCTGGGTAACATAGTGAGAGCCCATCTCTACAATTTTTTTTTTTTTTTAATTATCTGGGTGTGGTGGCATGGGCCCGTAGTCCCGGCTACTCAGGAAGCTGAGATGGGAGGACGGCTCGAGCCCTGGAGGTCAGGCAAGGCTGCAGTGAGCTGTGATCACGCCATGACACTCCAGCCTAGGTGACAGAGTACAGACCCTGTCTCAAGAAAAATGAAAACAACACAACAATGAGCACCTGGCTATATTGTTGTTTCTTTCATTTGGGCTTATGAAACCTCGCCTTTAAGGAGGTTGGCCCAGTTGGGGGTCCTCAGAGAGACCACTCAGCACCAGCAGTGGGTGGGGAAGGGTTCGTCTCCACACAGCGGCTCTCTGTGCTCTGGACCACCTTGCCTACTGGCCCAAGCACTCTGCCTCATCTCCTGTGTGTGTGCGAAGGAGAACTGGGATAGAGGTGGTCGCTGGTATTATGGTGCATAGCAAGGGGCCTGGCAGGGGTGGATTGGGGGGGGGCTTGGTTTCCACATCTTTCTACACCTTCACGATGGGATAGATGTATGCTATATAGAAAGGCAGTGGCTGTGGGGCCTTGGAAGACATCGTTGTGCCTGAAAACATGGTTGATGGACTCCATGGGATGCAAGACTTCACCTTTGTGAACCCTGAAAATTTGAGACAGATCTCAGTCAATTTAGAAAGTTTATTTTGCCAAGGCTGAGGATGTGAGCCCGTGACACAGCCTTAGGAGGTCCTGATGACATGTGCCCGAGGTGTTCAGGGCACAGCTTGGTTTTATACATTTTAGGGAGACATGAGACATCAATCAGTATATGTAAGAGGAACATTGGTTTGGTCCAGAAGGCGGGACAACTTGAAGCGGGGAGGGGGCTTCCAAAAGGTGAGAGACAAAGGGTTGCATTCTTTGGAGCTTCTGTTCTCAGTGAGCAGAGGGATGACTCTGAATAGAATGGGAGGCAGGTTTGCCCTGGGCAGTTCCCAGCTTGAATTTTCCCTTTAGCTTAGTGATTTTGGAGGCCAAGATATTTTCCTTTCACACCTTGAAACAGAGGAGATATAAAAGATCATCACAGCAGAATTTCATCTGATAGACGAAAGAAGCTGAAGTCCAGAGAGGTAAAATTATTTGCCCAGTGTCATCCAGCTAAGGAGTGACAGGACCCAGACAAAAGGTCAAGTCTCGCCTCCCTGGGCAGGTGCCCTGTTCTTCGAGGCAGCTTCCATGGCACAGGGCGAACTGGACAGTGAGTCAAAAACCTGGGTCCCAGACTTGGGAGATATCCCATCTTTGACCTTTAGTTTCATTATGAAAAAGAATGGACAGAATCAAATCTGTCCAGAACACCTCACTAGGCTGTTGCAGGAAAAAAAAGAGAACCACTGTGAAGGCAGTTGGAATGCTGCAAAGTTAAAAAATGTGATGTTTCCCAGTGCCTCTGCTGGCCTGCAGACCTGGTCTGCTTCCAGCAGGAGAAAGGTCTGCATGTTGGGTAGACCCCCAGAAGGCAGCAGGGGCAGAGTGGCAAGGAAGGCTGGGTGCTTGGATACGTGTGGAGCCCTGGCAGTGGCTTCTGGCTTCTAGCTGCGGGTAGAAGGTCTAACACCAGCTGGATTTCAGGCTAGCCCAATCTTGGCAAAAGGGAAACTGCCTCTGCTTCCTTCCCTTTTCTTCCAGCTGTTTCCCAGGGAGCCCAACAGAGTGCCCCAAGCCCCTCTGCTTCTTCCAGAAGCCAGGCCGGTCCACTGCACGCTGCAGGCTTGGAAGGAAGGGGTTGGGGTCTTGGGGAGCCCTTCGGTGGAGGCCCCCAGTTCAGAAAGCACGGTCCCCTTTCTCCATGAGGACTCAGGCCTGCATCGTTTTGGTCCCCTGCCCTCCCTCCCCTGTGGATCCACCTCCCAGAGGTCAATGGCAGGAAGGAGGGGAAAGAAACAGAAATGATGATGACTTTGATTTTTTTTCTTTTGTCGGAGCCTGGGGAGGGTGGTTGTTTTGCTTCCTGGACCTCAGCGGAGGAGTCTCTGCCAGACAATCATCTCGGCGCTTTCATTGCTTTCTGATGCTCCTCTAACTGCGCGGGGTCGGCTATTAAATGGTCATCAAACCTCAGCCTCTATCCCATCAATAGTCATAAAGTTGGGGAGATAAAAGCCATCAGTTTTCCATTATAGCTGAAAACAATACTGTAGATAGCTATTTTCTGAATGCTGCAGAGAGATGTACTTTAACTAGAGCAGGGTATCCAGTGGGCCCGGGCTCAGCCACGGGTCCTATTCGGCCTGGGATAACCTGCCAGGTGTTTAAAATGCGGGAAGGGCTGGGGCTTTCTCTCCCTTCGCCCTCTCTCTCCTCAAAGAATGGAATGGGCAGATCATCAGGCTTGGGGTGCAGGATGACACCTCCGTGGTGGGACTATGGGTTTCTACCTTTCATTCTAAGCCGATGCTGGGGAAGAATGCAGTGAGTTGTCATCTGCTCATTCTCATGAGAAAGGACCCTCCTCTCCCTGATCTTGGGCTTCCGGCAGGCCAGGGCCTGGGTGTGGGGTAGGTGTCTGCTCATCAGATGATCTTCAGGGAGCTTGGGAAAGGCAGGGGAGGTCGGTGCCTGCAGGGTGGGTCTGCGTGGATCAGGAGTGGCTGCAGCCGGAGGAAGGTGGGTACCTGGGATGCGGAACATTTCAGGGGGTGGCATCTCCTGATATACAGTCCCCTGTAGCTTCTCACAAACGAGCAGGCCATTTGGAAATGGATTTTGCAATCAAACAGCCTGGCAGCCGGCAGCCAGCAGATAAGTCCTCAGAATGAACTTTTCATCGCACTCACAGCCCAAGGCTCTCCTGACTCTGTCTCAGAAGAACCTGGGTGCAAAGACCTCCTGCCTAGGTTTCCACATCTGCAGTGGCCTTTCTTGGCACCCCTGGCCTCCCTGAATGGGTGACTGGCCTCTGGCTTTCCTGCCTCTGGGGTCTTGCAGGAATAGGTTCCCCTGCCTTGGAAGTGCCCATTCCTCAGCTCTTTGTAGCCTGTCCATCTTTTCCCTTTCAGAGCTATTCTTATGTGTTGAAGTGGTTAAGTGTGTGGATTTAGCTCCACAATACTCTAGGGGGTGTTTACATTTCCTAATTTTTTGAATTCCTTCAAGTTCCTTCTCTCTAGCCTGGCTAGCAGGAAATGTAGCTGCAGTGAACTGAGCTGCCCCTGTCTGTGGCCTGCAGGACCATTGGGCTGGGCTCACGGGACTCAGACCAGGCTGATCTGTGCTCTTGCACCTCCTCCTGCTGGTCTCATGGGGGCTCCCTGGTGGATCCTTCAGCATCTGCTGGGGGCTCTTCCCTGGGTGGACCCATGTGCCCCCGTGGCTGTAAACTCCAAAGACCCTGGATTTGCCCAGAGAGATACCCCCCTCCCCTCTCCGCAGACTCATCCCTCACTGCCATGGGGCTCCCTGTTCTGTAGCTGCCAGTGCCTTGCATCTGGGCCATAGGACAGTGGCCTTTCCCACCTGCTGGCTGCTCCACTCGGCAGGCCCTGGGCATCTTCAGCTCTTGACCTTCCTTCTTAAGGCCTCTGAAAATGAGGCCTCTTCTTAGTGACAGACACAACCAGACTTCCTGACCTCAAAGTCCTGTTTGTCCCCTGGAAGGGACACAAGAAGGCGAAGGGAAAACACATCTCATTTATTTTCCATCTCCCCTGCTGTGTCTCTAGGAATGTAAGAGGCAGCTTCCTTGTCTACCATGTTCTATGCAGTGACGCCAGGAGCTCTTGGCCCGCTGGCATGTTCACTCGCCCCTGCATTGGGCCCAGGGCCTGGCCCGACTCAGGGCCCATAAATACTTGTGAAGTTCTTAAATGCTCTTTGTCTCCTTAAACAGAGATAGTGGAAGACACCTTCACCTTTTCTTGGTGACACAGTGTTATTCTTGACTCTGGGTGAACTTGCACAGATGGTGTACGCCATGCCTTCAGGTGCTACTGACTTACATAGAACTGTTGGCCCCCATGTTAATGAGCGCCAGATACTGTGACTTTTGAGTCATTGTAGTTTGCTTTTCTAGTATTTCTGTCTCCTTCGCTGTTTGCTGTCACTTCTTGCTGCAGTTTCTGTCTGCCTCTCGGAGCTTTCTTCCATCACCCTTTCTCCTTCGCGGGTTTTCTGTGGCACAGAAAACCAGATAATTGAACGCGTTGGAATTATGTATGCACGAGGAGCCGTTAGACTTTAATGGGGGCGCACAAAGGATTTTCTTAGGAGTTCATGATCTGTTTTGATGAACAAACTTTATACTGTCTGTTCAGGGGACTTCCTCATTCCTGGCAGGCTGCCAGATGAGTGACCTACAAATGTGCTGTTTTGCCGGAGCCCTTTTAGATTAAAAAAAAAATATTTTAAGATGACTTTGGAAAAGAGAGAAGGGGCATATGAAGGCCTTTTGGAGTTAGAGTTGGCCATTGAGATGGCTACGGATGATGGACCTCCCAAGATTCCTCTGTTTCTTTGCTAAATGACGTGGCCACATCCTCATCGTTCTCAGCTCTCCTTGGTGACCTAACATAGTTTGACCCTGTGTTTTTGTCACAGACTGTGGGTCCTGGGGTTTGATGAGGATGATTTGGTCTCAGTGGGTGGGGTTATGGCACCAGCATAGAACATTGACTCAGAAGACGAGGCTGTCATGCTAAAGCTGTCACTACCTCGCCACGTGACGCTGGGGGAGTTGGTGGTGGTGACAGTAACACTTGTTCTAGATGGGGGTGCTGGGAGGATCAGGCAGAAAGAGGGGATCACATGGTGGCAGGGCCCCTTTCAAATGAGGGGACACGCGAGCCGAGTTAGTGTCCGCAACACGAGGAAGGGAAGGAGCCCGGGGCCAGAATTCCCGGGTCCCAGCCCTGAATCTACCTCGTCTCGCTGTGGAAACCTCGGGGTACGCATGGAACTTCTCTGGGCCTGCTCCTTTATCTTGATAATTAATACTTATCTCAAATTCTGTGCTTCCTACACTATGATTTACCTTATTTCTGAAATGTGGGGAAAGGAAGGAGGGAAGATACGATTTGAGGAGAACCATGGGCTCAGGGCATTAATAAAGCACGTGCTGCCCTGGGAGGTGGGACCTTGAGGGCTGTACATTCTGTGGCCATTCTGCCAGCGTTGTGCTTCTGCAAGTCTGAGTGAGCTTGTGTGGACTGTGTGTGTTTCTGAGTGTAGTACCTGTGTGCGTTTGTATGTGTGAGAGATACAGAGGGCGATGGTGCTGGAGAGGCACCTGGAGAATGAGGAGCCACTGGGAAAATTAGGAGAGGGTCTCTCCTTCTGCATTGCCATGGAAGGCTCAAACCTTCGCTCCCTCTGTGGTGCAGATAGGGGCCGAGGAGTGACCTTAGGTAACCCATGTCCCCATCTGGCTGCAGCTCCTTCATTTCTGTTGCGAGAGGATGGGTAACCTGTTTTTTTTTTGAGACAGAGTTTTGCTCTTGTTGCCCAGGCTGGAATGCAATGGCACTATCTCGGCTCGCTGCATCCTCCACCTCCCGGGTTCAAATGATTCTCCTGCTTCAGCCTCCCAAGTAGCTGCACTACAGGCATGCACCACCATGCCTGGCTTATTTCGTATTTTTAGTAGAGATGGGGTTTTACCATGTTGCCCAGGCTGGCCTCAAACTCCTGATCTCAGATGATCCACCCACCTCAGCCTCCCAAAGTGCTGGGATTACAAGTGCGAGCCACCGCGCCTGGCCGGGTGACCTGGTTTCTAAGGTCCCTTCTCGTGCCGTAACACTGAGAACCCAGGAAACACCTTTATGAGGCCCCCCCTCCCACCAAGAGAGGCCCTCGAGGTCCACCCTGCAGCTCCTCCTCCTCCTCCCTGAATTCCCCAGAGTGTGGTGGGATCTCTGCCTCTCTAATTCCAGGCTTGCTGGGTCTGGGAGCAGACCTTTGGGCCCACCAGCTGTTCGGTTTAGTATTTGGGCTTCTTAGGCCCAGAAACAGGAGCTCCAGGCAGGTCAGGGCGGGATGTGGTCCCTTAATTCTCATGGTCTGGAAGAGTGGAGAGGAGAGTCGTTCTCTGGTGACTCTGAGAAGCCCTTTGGGGGTGGCGGTGGGAGGGAGGGGAGACTCAGTGTGCGGATTCTTTGGGCTGTGAATGTGGGTTTGTACCAGGCTGTGTGAGCGAACAAGTGTGTGTGGGCTTGAGAAAGGGATTTCCCTGCGAGCTTGTCTGTGTGTGTCTGTGGATTTTGACAACATTGTAGGTGCTCCTTCTGTAAGGAAACTGCCGTCTTCTTTAATGACAGTGAAGCCCAGTTTTCTCTGCGGATGTGAAGAGGGGAAATCTGTAAGTGCGAGGAAGGGCAGGGGGGCGTCTCCCAGGCCCAGCTTTCACTCTCTGAGACCTTCTTCCCCTTGGGGATCTTTTGGAGAGGACCTCAGCCACTCCCTGTGGGCCTGGAGGGGAGGGGCAGCCCTGCTCCCCTGTAATACTCAGGTCCCAGTGGGAATGCCTATCCACTTTTAAAGAAAATTTATATAGAGACAGGGTCTCACTCTGTTGCCCAGGCTGGAGTGCAGTGGTGTGATCACGGCTCACTGCAGCCTCAAGCTCCTGGGCTCAAGTGATCCTCCCACCTCAGCCTCCCGAGTAGCTGGGATTACAGCGTGACCCAACACACCTGGCTCCTGTCAACTTTCTAATGCCCCACAGCTCAGCCAGAACCAGGCGGAGAGGTTTATGACTGCTAAGTAAAGGCCCAGGGAGACAGAGATGAGCAGAGAGTCACCTGGGCTGCCTTGTTTTCCAGGCCTGGGTTGGCCCCGTCCTGCTCTGGTCTTGAACTGCCCCATGTGGTGGACACCACTGCGGAATCTGCCACTCGGGCACAGGCCTAAATGCCCGATTCTGCTGTCCAGACCCCAGACAGCAAGGCTGCAGAGGAGAACTACCCCCTCCATCCAGTAGTACTAAGGTGACCCTGAGTGAGCTCTTGTGTGTTAGCCACGGTGTCACCATTTTAGGAATTTCCATGTCAAACCGTGCATACGTACCCTTTATAACCCTTTGAGGTCCCCACTCTTAGAATTTCTTTGTGTTCAGATAAGGACGCAGGATTAGAGATTTTAAGGGACTTGCCCAAGGTCACATGGCTTATGATAAGGTCGAGCAGAAACTTGAAGCAGGGCCTATTCTGAGGGCTGCATTGTCCATGCATCCTGCACTTTCTCTCCAGATGTGGTCCATGGACGCCACATCTCCATCCATCATGGTGCTTATGAAAATGCTAGTTCTTGCCTGGGTGCCGTGGCTCATTCATATACTCGCAGCAGTTTGGGAGGCCAAGGCGGGTGGATTACCTGAGGTCAGGAGTTGGAGACCAGCCTGGCCAACATGGTGAAACCACATCTCTACTAAAAATACAAACAATAGCCGGGTGTGGTGGTATGTGCCTGTAATTCCAGCTACTTGGGAGGCTAAGGCAGGAGAATTGCTTGAACCCGGGAGGCAGAGGTTGCAGTGAGCTAAGATCACACCACTGCACTCCAGCCTGGGCAACAGAGTGAGACTCCATCTCAAAAAAAAAAAAAAAAAAAAAAAAAAACCTGGTTCCCGGAGTCTGTGGAAACAGAATCCTTGGATGTAGGGCCCAGGAATCCAGTGTGTCCTGGGCTCCCTGGGGAATTTTGTTCATGGTGAGGGTTGAGAACCACAGTGGGCGGGCACACCCTATGGCACTGGGGCCCGTACCTGGAATCAGTGCTGTGTGGTGGCCTGTGGACAGGGAGTCCAACAAACTAAATTACTTTCTACCATCTATTAACATGTGCCTAATGTATGTGATGAGGAGTTTATTTTCTGACGTCGCCCCTGCCTGTGCATTTTCTAGAACTCTTCCTATGGTAGAAGGAGTGTGCCTGGGCTGAAGGGCGGCCCAGACTCATCTGCACGGTGCATCTACACACTTTTGTTTTAATATCCAGCTGGCATTTTTACTACGAAAATAACCCCCGTTTGTTTATCCTCTGGAAAATAATCAAAGTATTTTCCGTGAATCCAGACAGTCCCTGGACATGGGCTGTCATTGCGGAGAGACCGCGGTGGTAAGGAGAGGACAGATGATTGGCCTGGCCCTCAAATACCGAGGGAGGCCCAGCGGGGAGGCTGCCGTCTGCGGGCAGACGAGGAGCAGTAGCGTCCAACCCGCTGTTTTGGCGGACTGTGGCCTGTCTAACCCTGGTCCGGAGCATGCCTGGCCTTGGGGAAAGGGCACTGGGAATCTAGGAACCCGAACCATGCCTTTGGTCATCCAGCCTGTCTCCTGGGGGGGGCCGTGATGGGGAGGTGGTGTCCAGGCGTGGAGCGCTGAGGCTCAAGCCCCACAGACTTCTGCCCTGGCAGAGCGCTTGGAGGAGAGGAGCACACTGGGATCTGTGCCCCAGTGGGTCACACAGGGCCCAAGGCCTGGGGACTGCACTTGAGGGACCCCCAATCCTCTGTTCTTACACAGAGGAGCCCCTAGCAGAGGCAAGGGAGGCCCTGTCCCTGGCTCCCATGGGAGGTAGGGCCCAGCTCCAGATGGCAACAGAGCCTGTGACCCTGGAGAGCGAAAGCCTGTCCTTGGAGGAGTGACCTCTCAGTCTGGACACACAGAGGGTTCAGCCTGCATCTGAATCAAACTGGGGTGAGGGAAGTGAGATCAAACACCTCGTGGGAACAGAAGGGGAATGATGAGTGTAGTGGGTTGAATAATGTCTCCCAACATTTATGTCCACCCGGAACTTCAGAATGTGGCCTTTGTTTGAAAATAGGGAATTTAGGGCTGGGCACGGTGGCTCATGCCTGTAATCCCAGCACTTTGGGAGGCCGAGGCAGGTGGATCACGAGGTCAGGAGATCGAGACCATCCTGGTCAACATGGTGAAACGCAGTCTCTACTATAAATACAAAATTAGCCGGGTGTGGTGGTGCGCGCTTGTAGTCCCAGCTACTTGGGAGGCTGAGGCAGGAGAATTGCTTGAACTGGGGAAGTGGAGCTTGCAGTGAGCCAAGATCAGGCTACTGCAATCCAGCCTGGGCCACAGAGTGAGACTCTGTCTCAAAAAAAAAAAAAAAAAAAATAGGGTGTTTGCAGATGTAATTAAGATAAGATCATACCACATTAGGGTGGGCCCTAAATCCAGTGGCCAGTGTCCTTATAAGACAGGAGGACACACAGAGACACAAGGAAGAAGATGGTGAGATGATGGACACAGACGCTGAAGTGGTGCAGCCACAAGCAACGGATGCCGGGCGCCACCAGAAGCCGGAAGAGGCAAGGAAGGGCCCCTCCTTGGAGCCTTCAGAGGAGGCAAGGCCCTGCCAACACCTTGATCTTGGACTTCTGGCCTCCAGAACTGTGAGAGAACAAACTTGTGTTATTTTAAGCCACTGAGTTTGTGGTAATTTGTTACAGCTGCCCTAGGAAGCTAGTGAGGCGGGGTCTCCCATGTTTCTCCAGGGGCTGTCACCAGCCAGAGAAGGACTGTCTTGTTCATGTTGCTGTGATCCCTAAGGTGGGTGGTACCTGGCTGCCTTCATGACAATTAATACCCCCTGAGAGCTGGGCAGCAGGGGCTTGGATGCACAGGTGCAGCTTAAGGAAGATCTGGAAATGGGAAGGGAGATTTCTGAGGAAAGGGATAGGAAGTGCGTGGGTGCCAGAGCTCTGGTTGGAGACGGTGGGGTGGAGTCCACCCAGGGTGAGGGATGACTGTGGTGTTCTTGGCAGAGGGAGGTGCTGGAGATAGACCACTGTTTTGAGGGCAGAGGCCAAGTATAAGGGGGCTGCCTCCTTGTAAGGGCCTGGCTTTCCTCTTGGCAGCAAAACCCAGCTCCTAGCTCAGGGGGACACTCAGGAGAGAGCCACAGCGTTCAAGATCAGGCAGCTCTGGCTCTGCCCTTGTGACTGTCACCCCCATCCTGGGGTCTTGCTCGGATTCTGCTGCCATTACCACACCCAACCCCAGCGGGTGATGCTGGATGCATGTTGGAACAGCAGCCCCAACATGTGCATGCCTCTGAGAGGACCGGCGGGCCTTGGGCTTGCACTGCAGAGAGACCTGGGTTCAAGTCCAGGCCCCACACTTCCCAGCTGTGCCACAAGTCATTTAATTGTTCTAAGTCTCGGCTTCCTTCTCTGTAAAGTGGGGAATTTTGCACTACCTGTGTATCTCAGGGTGTTCATGAGGATTAAATGCACTAATGCTTTTAGAGTGCTTAGCAAATGCCTATTAAACACTCAAAATTGTTAGTTATTATTATTTATTTTGAGTTTGGTTGGTCTCTTAGTAAATGTAAAGGCAAGACTAAAAGGAAATAATTATAGAAAACAAACAGCATAAAAATACAGGTTTCTAAAGTACAGATTTCAGCCTGAGTGTCTGGGCTGGCTCAGCATACTGGTGTCTGTCCCCCCGCCCCAGGCTGGGCATTCACTGGGCTTCTGTAAAGGGCTTCTGCCCTGGCCTCTTGCCCTCTTGAAGCCACCGAGGCCCTTCAGCATGCTGTTGCTGACCACAGCTGCCGATTGCTTTGTAGTAGGATCTGGTCTGCAGGTCTCACTCTTTGTCAGGAGCTCGATCAGAACAACCCAGCCCTGAGGGCTCTGCTTCAAGAGGAAGTCAGGAATCTTCTTGGGATGAACTGGTATTAGTTTTGGCTCCTCAGCCTCTCCAGACTGGCTGGTTCTGCTTTGAAGATGGAAGCTTGGGTGACATCCTATGCTCATGTGTGCTGCTGCCCCCTGCAAATCCCCTTCAAATCAATCACTCAAGCAGGATGGGTTTGGGGAAGGTTTGCAGTGTGAGGTGAGTAGGAGGAAGGCCTAGCCGGGAAGGCCAGTGTCCAAGGATTGTGCTGGTGTCCAGGGACTGTGCCAGTGTCCAGGAACTAGAGGACGGGTCCCCATTGCTGCTGGCCATTGCAGCCTAGGCAAGACATCGTATGTGTCCCAGAGAGACCTCCACCATCAAGGACTCTGTATGATGCCATTCCCTGTGCTACCTGTATTTGAGCCTAGGGGTGGGCCTTTGGAGGGGAGGTGTCAAGGGAGCTAACACTTCCCCTGCCAACTCCTGAATGCTCCTGGGATGGGATTATTCTTGGTCTCCTTTATGTTGTTTCTATGTACACGGCCTTGCCATTGTCTCAGGGCCCTGAGTACCTTCATTAAAATGTGAGAATTCACCCCCTGCAGACCCTTTGCTTGCAGATCACCAACCATCTGGTCTCGAATTGCCATTCCCAGTTTGCCTCCTGGTTTACAGGGCTTTGTCTAAGGCCTTCCAGCAGTGTTTTTATCAGTCCATTACTTGCAGACCTAGTACTGCAGAGGAGGCTATCAAATGGCCATTCAAGGAATAGTCCTCCTATTAGCTATGCCACTGGTCGACTTTCCTCACTGCCACAGATTGGCATATATCAGAACTCACGGTGCTCCATTCCAGCGTGGCAATACTGGGAATCTGCTTGCTCTTCTCAACAGCCCCGCACCAACCCCCCAGCAATGTCTGGATGAAAGTCTGCCTGTAAGGACATCTGGTATACCTCCGGTAGGCCAAGGGGCAACGAGATGGAACACCAAGAAACACCAGGCCCCCCACACAAGACCATCTGCAGGGAGATACTGTCAGGCTCTGCTGCTGAGACACGTTACCTATCTGTGCAGGAAGTGGAGGATTGTTCCCTAGAGCCTGGGGTCAGAGGTAGTCATCCTGGTTCACTCTTCTCCCTGCAGATTCTGTGGCTCTGAGGGTATTGTCTCCTCTGTGGGCAGATGGCCTCTCTTGTTTCCTGGTGAGCCTGGGCCATGGTTTCTGGCTTTCCATACACTCTACTCTGCCAGCGTCCATTCCTTCTGCCCTGTTTGATTTCCTTCCCTGGGGCTTGTCTGTTGAGTCAGCCTCTGTCTTCTGCCACCTGCTGTGGGGACTCCCCTTGGTTGACACACCAAGATTGCCTTTGACCTAGCACCCCAGATGCCCGCTGCACAAGCGGGATGAAGGAACTGGAGTTTGTTCTGCAGGAAGTGCTGCATGGCCAATGGTCTTATGGCCAGCCCACTTTCTAGCCTGTTGAGAAGAGGACGAGTGAGTGGTCTTGGCGACCTCCCTCTTGCTGCAAAATTTCCCAGGGGTGTCCAAAAGTCTTCCCAGTGGACCCTGCGGGGTGGAGGGGGGCTGTTCCTTCCACCCACTGGAGAGAATCAGAGGGTGGTGGTGGAACCCTCAGGGGCCTCCTTCTGCCCTGTCCTGGGGTCCTGGTGCCTGGCAAGGCTTCTGTTCATTTATCCAGGCTCTCTGGGGAATCTCTTTTATTTTTTGTAAAGCTCTCTCCAGAAAGCTTTCCTGTGGCTGGGATCTATTTCCTGCTCTCTGCAGTCCCATTGGCCTTGCTGGCCTTCCTTCTCTTCCTGGGTCTGCCTTTTCTTGTGTCTGGATTTAGACTCAGATTTTTCTTCCTTTGGTACCTTGTACTTCTATATCCTGTCTCCTGGCAGAGCCCTGAAGGGTGGTGAGAGAGACCCCAGTAGAAGACATGAAGAACCTTGCCAGATGCCTGAACCTGCTTGTTCTAAGATAAATGCATTCAAACTCTTGATGAACTAAGAGTCTCCTCATTCCTTCTTGCTTGGTGTTAGAACTTTATATAGAAGTCCCATCCTTTTTCTGCCCCATGGGAAGAGTCTACCTGGATGCTTTATCTTTTCCTTGGATGAAGCCAGAGGCTGCAGTTCAAATTCTCAGAAGCACCCGGGTCCTGATGCTCAATTTCTTTACAGCAGAGGTTTTGAGACGGTTGGTAACGAATCCAGAGGGACCCAGTGACTGCCTCCTCTCCCTGGCCTGAGTGGTCTGCTGTGTCCCCTCTGATTTTTATCCAGCCCACTCCATGTAGGGAGGCATTGGTGGGAGGTGATTCATTGCAAGACTGTAGCTCTGTGTAACCAGCCCTGGTGCATGCACTGCCTACATGGGGAGGCCTTGGCTTCTGGGCCATGGGCATGGCTCCCAGTCCTCTGATGTCAAAGGGGCATCTAACGTTGTCACCTGTTGTGGAGTTGGAGGGTAGAAATAGAGAGGACCCATAATTCAGGGATTAGGGAGAGGGCCTCTGACTGGGGGGGAAAGGGGACTCTTTCACTGAGGGTGTGTGGCCACGCGTGTATCGGTTGGAGTGGCAGGGCCTTCGTATGGGTCTGCGTGTGGGGACACATGGGAGAGCTCACTGCATGCGGGCGAGACCAAGGGCCCATGTTCTCTCCTCCCTGGATGCTGTATTCTGTGCACCTGACCTTAAGCTGACAGGTTAGAACCCCACAGTTCATAGATTCTATTTTTTGTAAAGCCCCTTTTGTGAAACACTAACCTCAGCTAAGAGGAAAGAAAGAAGAAAAAGAAAAAGAGCTGAGTTCAGCAGCTGCAGTTTGCTGTATTTTTCATCTTGCATCAGCAAGTTGGGACCACAAATAATCTGGTCTTATATGCTCCAGTGATGCTGCTGTTAAGACTTCACCCTCCTCCTAAGGCGCTATGTTCCTGGGAGCCTGCATGGCTCCCTTCCCTGGCTTCTGGCTCAGGTGGCCAGGAGGTGGGCAGACAGGGCAGGGAGTCCAAGTAGGAGGAAGGGCACAGAGGGGGAAAAGCACTGGCTAGCATGGGGGTGTGTAATTAATTTCTGAATGGTTTCTGGGATCAGCTAAACATTTCCTTTTAACCGGTTACCCCCAGCCTCACATCCTTTGTTAGTTCAGGAAAAATGTCATTTATAATAGACATTGCCTTGATAAATTGCTCCAGAGAAGCACAGCATTCTCATTAGTCTATATAATGAGAAAGACTCCTAGTGGTGGCATAGCTGCCCAGATATTTGCCTGATAGGAAAAATATTTGTCTACGCAGTTTTCTCTAGAAGGCTTGGAATGGAGGGCCCAATGCCCCCTGAAGCCTGTGACTCCGAGAATATATTTGCCCTGTGCTTTTTTAGAGCAGAACCCAGCCATGCCTGGTCCTCCCTGCTTCCTGGTGGGTCTGGGATGTGGTGGGCAGGCTCCAGCCCACGGTACTCACATGAGTCTCTTTCTCCCTGCTTTGCGTCCTGTGCTGAAAGCTGAAGAGGATTTGGGTGCAATTGGACTGCCTTTTTCTTATTATTCCCAAGAAGAAAGATCATAAACAGGTATACAGCCAATTCTATTTTTCAGAGCTAGTTTTGCATAGGGTGGTTTGGTTTCATCTCCCAAACACTCTTTTGTGTGGGTATCACAGCCACTTAGGCATGGAGAGGTGCAGCGGGCGTTTTGACCCAAATCCTCCTCCTCGTCTCTGACTTCCTTTGCCCTTCTGCGTGTTTGAGAATGGACACTCTACCCAGCCTTCCTCCACAGGGACCCACTGGATTCTCCTCTGTAGGTCCCCAAGGCACTTCTTCATGTTAAGAGTGGTGCTTAAGGATGTGTGTTAATTCTCGCAGGCCACTGGGGCCTCCTTTAGTGAATGGCTGTTATCAGAGAAAGCAGAGACACTTTTCCAAGTTTCTAACCACCAGTGGGCAGGATAAGAGGAAGGGGGGAAAGGCAGACACACTGGAGGGCATTTCTGGGAGCTGAACTATCTTGGTGCTCAAGTTAATGAAACATTGATACATTTTGCTTTGCTGCTAGCTGAAGATCTGCCTATAATTTTACTTTTCAAGGGGAGGTGTTAGGAGAGTTCTTAGATCTCCTGCTGCTTAGAGAAAGTCCTCCATGCCTCCAGACACAGTCCCAATCAATCAGTCCCTTCCCTTCCCTCCCCTCCCTTCCCTTCCCCTCCCCTCCCCTCCATTTTTTTTTTTCTTACTAATTCTCTTCCTCCCTCCATCCGGTGGCAACTGAGTCCCTTTTGAGTGTCAGGCATTTCTTTGGGCACTGAAGTTTTAAACATGAATAAGATGGTTTCTATTCTGAAGGAACTCATAGCTTAATAGGAGAAACAGATATGAAAAATGTAAGTTATGATACAGTGATGCCAGTGCGATAACTGGAGTTTGTGAAACATGATTAGAGTTGGGACAAGGCATTCAGAGAAGGTTTTCTGGAAGACCTGGTACCTGAGGTGGGTTTGGAAGGGTGAACTGGAGGAAGTTTAAGGAGAAGGCTTTCTCAGCAAGGGAAGCAACACAGGACCAAGGCATATGAAACGTCACGGCTGGGGAACGTGTGTGTTTGAAGTTGCTATAGGGTTGGGATGGCAAAGAGGAGAGATGAGATGGGAGAGATCAGTACATCCTGATCATGGATGGGGATCAGGGTGGCAAAGATGGGTTGTGGAAGCCCAGGGACTTCTCCTTCAGGGACTTAGACTAGAAATACACAGGGCTCCTCATAACAGCCAAGGCTGGCATGCCAGGCATGGTCCCTGGTACTTCTTGGGAATCTCGGTTACTCTTCCCAGAAACTCCTTGCCCCCTTTTATGGATGAGGAGCTCAGTCACAGAAAGGTGAGTTGGCCTAGGCTATACCCTTTGTGACTGGCAGAGCTGGGGCTTGAACCCAGGGGATTTGGTGCCTGGAGTCTTGCTCTCAGCCACCGTGCTTCCTGCCTCTCAGAAGAAGTTCATGCTCAGCCTAAAATGCCACTGAGTTTAGGCCAAGCATTCATCTCTGACTTTTCTCCATACGTTATGTGTCAGGAATGTGATTTGATGCAAGAATCTCTCTGAATCTTTGTAACAATATGCCGTGGAATAATAGGGTTTGCATGGATTGTGAGGCTGAGAAACACATTCTGTGGAAGTTGAAGGGAGAGGCAATGTTGGGAGTAACAGAATTGGGGAGGGGGTCTGGGTCTTTGAGTAGGAGGTCTTCAGAATTGGGAATGGGAAGAATGAAGGCTGGAGCTGCTAGAACTAAGAGCAGAAGAACTTGGCTAATGAGACTTCAGTTGTCAGGGTCTTCGGACAAATTACTGGTCTAGGAAGAGCATTTGAGAGAGTGACCACTGCAGGGGCACCTGCCACCCCCTTCTCAAGGGAGTAAACCTGGTGCTTTCTACTCATGAGCAGGAGGGAGGGGAAGGGTGGGGAGGGAGAAAGGGAAGAAATCCATCCTCGTACCACCAGCAAGAACCGTATCAGCATTCAGAGAAAGTTGAAAGAAATCTTTCAGCTGGCTGGCTACCTAGCTCAAGGCTAACCACACTCTTAACACAATAATAAGTCATCCTCACTGAATAATTAAATAGAGAGCCTTCATAAGTATTGACTTAATGTGACAGCAAGTCTATAGTGACTCGGGGTTTGCTTATGTAAACACAATCTCTTGTTCAGCTTACTTAGCAGTTCAATGAAATAGAACAGTCCTTCAATTAAAATCAAATGATGCATACGTTTAATTCTTTCTCCTCTTGCCGAGTAATAAGAGGTTTGGAACATAGGTGGAGGGATTGGGGAGAGAAGTGGAGAGAAGGGGATCTGCCCATCTGCTTGTGTTTTTGGAGGACGTGAAGGAGTGTATCCAATGGCGGTCTCAAGGAGAAGGATGTGGCCTTGGCTCCCATCTCTGGGCCCTGTGGGAAGATCCACGTGGACTTGGGTTGGCCTCTGTCTCATCTAGGCCCTCCTGACCCTGTTCCAGAGCAGACTTGGACCCCCTGCTCTGGGTGGCATATTGGTCTCTTGTTGGTGGCTGGGGTCTGATTGATTGCTTCTGGTCAGCTGGGGTTCAGTGCTCCAGCCACAGCCCTCTTAGGTCATTTCCCATGGTCACCTTCATGGCTCCCCCAGAGGAGAGAGGGGACACTGGGTGAGCTCCAGGCTGGATGGCAAGGGGGGGCCAAGGAGGCAGGTGGCACCACAGTGACTCCCTTGGATGGCTGCAGGAGAGAAAGAAAACTTTATTCTGTGGCTTCAGGACACTGGGACAGGGGGATGGGTAGGGGGCTGGGCAGAGTTGGGGGCTGGGGAGAGCACGGCAGAAGGGAAAAACCAGAAAACCCACTGGCTTTGTGGCTAGGATTTGAACCTAAGTCTTCTGGCCTTGCTGCTGTGTTGTGAGTTAATTAACCTCTCTAGGGCTCTATTTCCTTAGCAAAATGGAGCAATGATTCCAATGTCAGAGAACTGTTCGATTACCACTCAGTGATGGTAACGAACCCTTGTTGCGTGGCCCTATGCTAACAGAGGAGGTGCTTGTTAATAGGTCAGAGAGAACATGGCCCTTTGGCTTGAAGGGACATAGCTCCTGCCTTCTACATGGTGTCTCATGCTAAGGATTGGGTGGTGGAGCCTCCTAATGTTAATCACAACATCAGTGAGCATTGAGGGAGTGCCCACTGTGTTGCAGGCACTGTTCACACACATACGCACATTTGTTCACTAGGTATTTCATTTAATCCTTGTAAGGACTGTCTATTAGTCTGTTTTCACACTGCTGATAAGGACATACCTGAGACTGGGCAATTCACAAAAGAAAGAGGTTTAACCGGACTTACGGTTCCATATGGCTGGGGAAGCCTCACAATTATGGCAGAAGGCAAGGACGAGCAAGTCACGTCTTACATGAATAGCAGCAGGCAAAGAGAGACAGTTTGTGAAGAAAAACTGCCCCTAATAATAACCATCAGATCTTGTGAGACTTACTCACTATCACGACAACAGCATGGGAAAGACCTGCCTCCATGATTCAGTTACCTGCTACTGGGTCCCTCCCACAGCATATGGGAATTCAAGATGAGATTTGGGTGGGGACACAGCCAAACCTATCAGACAGTATGCAATTAAGTAGCATTATTACCTCCATTTTGCAGATGAGGAAACTAAGGCCTCCTTTAATTACCTGCTCAAGATCACACAGCCAAGAGTTGCTGAGCCAAGGTTCAAACACAGTCAATGTGACTTTAGAAATTGGATCTCATGGCTGGGTGTGGTTCTGTGCAGGGTCTAGGTAGAGGGGTTCTTGAAGAAGTCAGGACCTCTTGTGGGAGGAGATCAAAGATTTCTACTTCTAGCAGCCCCCCTGAGGTCTTGGTTGTGTCCTGAAGGGTTTGGTGGCCATTTCCCAGGATAGCCCTAGGCTCTTTCTCCAACCTGCAAGTTCCTAGGATCTGGAGCAGCCCAGGAAAGAGTAGCCAGGTCTTCTCTGAGATGGTGGCTTTTCTGTCTCAGCCACTTTGTCTTAGGATAGACAGTCAGTTGAATTTGCTGAGGCTTCCAGAACCCGTAACATTTTCTCTAACAGAAGGCTTAGAGAAATCATTGTTTATAATAACTCTGGATTCCTGAGGCCTAGTTCAATTAAAGTTAAAGAAATAATTACAATCATAAGGCAAGTTTATTAAAAATGAACATAATGAACAGTGTCTTCTATTAGCATCTTTTGAAATATACTTCTGAATCTTGTTGGTTCATAACTTAACATTTTCTCCATTTGTAACCGGGGGGCATAAACTCTATTGTCTCCTGCTTTTTAACTGCATATCATGATTTCATGTTTAAATTTTCATACATTGACACGATCTACATCCTTGCCATTTTGATAGCAATGTAGCTTTCCCTGGTGTTAATGTCTGTCTGATCCGTTCCTTTCAAGTTAAGCTGGAGAAATAATCCAAGGCCAGTTCTGTCTTCTTTCATGAATTTGATCATCATCTGTCTTCGGAGTTGCTCTCCTTGAAGTGCTCCTGTTACTGGGAAATATGGGAATTCTTGATTCTTGTATAACTTGGGAGAAAGAATTCAGCCAAGTGACGCACAGTGAGGGTTAAGCAGCAGAGTTTCTTGAAGGAAGATAAAGTAAGCTCCAAGAGAGCAGCCGGCTGACCTGGCTGGAAAAATAGCAGTAGCAGTGTTTATTTAAAGAGACAGCACACTTTGAAGGACAAGACCGAGCAGGCTGCTCAGAAGAATGAGCCAGCAGCAGCTAGTGCTGGGGGACTCTCTTAATGAGAATCTTACCTGATTATTCCTGAAGGGGCGTGAGGTGTTGTTATTTGCAAGCATGTTTCGGGAGGTCCTTTGGGCTAGGGTTGTGCTTGCTAGTCTACGTGTTACATGTCTCATTGGCATTGAAAATCTCCATGCATGGCTGTGTTTTTTTACTATTATAATGAGCAAAACTCTCCTCGTGGGCAAATTATTGGAGGCGTATGCATGCTTGTCAGTGGGGAAAGTCCCATCACGTTTATCTCTGGCTGTGGCATGATAAGTCCCCTTTAGTGCTGGAGGAGCCCAATCTCAAGGCCAGAAGTAGACAGTATAGCCGTTGTCTTTTCTGCTGAGTGTCAGTGGGCAGCATCTCCAGGACTTCATTTCCCAGGGGCCCCCTTGCCTGCCTACTTCTGGCCATCTGCCTACTCCAACACTCCTGCAGTCCTGGCTCTTTTGCTTGGGCTGGACAGATCCTTTGTGGGTTTTGTTTTTGGCCCACGTGGCCTTTCTAGTGTGTGCTTCTTCTGATTGCTTAGGACCTGGACAAAGGAGGTCATGCAGAATTAGAGAGTGACCTAAATAGTAGTCAAGAATGTTTCTGTCTTTTTTTTTTTTTCTTTGTTTCCCAGGCTGGAGCGCAGTAGTGTGATCTGGGCTCACTGCAACCTCTGCATCCCAGATTGAAGTGGTTCTCCTGCTTCAGCCTCCCGAGGAGGTGGGATTACAGGTGTGTGCTAGCATGCCTGGCTAATTTTTCGATTTTCAGTAGAGACAGAGTTTTGCCATGTTGGCCAGGCTGGTCTTGAACTCTTGACCTCAAGTAATCCGCCTGCCTCTGCTTCCCAAAGTGCTAGAATTGCAGGCGTGAGCCACCGCGCCTGGCCGAATGTTTCTGTTCCAAGTGACAGAGACCCAACTACCTTAAGAAAAATAAAAACAGAATCAATTGGCTTACATAATAAAATATAGGAAGGGCAGAGGAGAATCCCAGGGACTCATGTACAGATAGGTCTTGGTCTCTCTCTCTCTCGTTCTCTCTCTCTCCCTTGCTTTTCTTGTACCTTGTTTCTGCTTCTCCCTCCGGTTAGCTGCATGTGTATTCTTATTAGGATTATGAGGCTAGAATTGTGGTTCACATCTGTTGTATCTTAGAACCAAAAAGAAAAGCATGTTTTTCCTTGCCTGCCCCATTAGGAAAACTTTAGACAAGGACCCTGTTGGGCCCAGCTGACATTATTTCCTTATCTCTAGGCCAGTGTGGCCAGGAGAAAGGGGTGCCGTGGCTTCCCAGCCCAGGTCATGTTTCCCCCTGGGCCCAGGAGGTGGCATACAGCCTTTAATAGAACCACCTGGCCCTTGGGAGGCCAAGGCAGGTGGATCATGAGGTCAGAAGTTAGAGACCAGCCTGGCCAATATGGTAAAACCCCGTCTCTACTAAAAATACAAAAATTAGCCATGCGTGGTGGTGCGTGCCTATAGCCCCGACTGCTTGGGAGGCTGAGGCAGAAGAATCGCCTGAACCTGGGAAGCGGAGGTTGCAGTGAGCCCAGATCACGCCATTGCACTCCAGCCTAGGTGACAGAGCGAGACTTCATCTCAAAAACAAAAAACACACAAAAAAACAAAACTATCTGGCCCAACGAGGAAGTCCTCTTCCCCAGCCCACCCCAGGGGAGCTGCTGTTCTGGGCAGAAAGAATAGTAAGTATCCACTGTACAGTTAAAGAATAAACAGGAAGGAAGGGAGCCAAGTTGGTCCTTGACTTCATGAAACCAGTGGTGGCAGGAAGACACTGGAAAGGATGGAAGATCAGGTTGTCCACAGTGAGCCCTGGAGGTGTGGGAAAGCAGCCATGTGGGTGACATTCATTTTCCCTTTTCTCAGTGTCACATCACATTGAACCCACTTAACCAAGGCCTGCACTGCCAGAGGGGACGTTAGAAAGCCATTCCAGAGGCACTTGGGGCTATTAAGGCCATTTTCTCCACGTTTCCATAAATTGTCTATGAAACCTATCATGAGTAATTTGCACTTCTTGGAAACCCTTTTTTCCCTCCATGAAATATTCAAGTGCCCCATTCCTTTGTGTCAGGCAGTGCTGGTGGCCGCCCTTGTTTGTGTCAGCCACCGTACCTGGCCTGGTGTGCTGGCTGCAGGTTGTGTGACTGTGCGATCCAGCCTTTCTGAGCTTCTGTGTCCTCATTGTGAAATATGCTACTTCGTGGGATTGTTCAGAAAATTAAATGAGATAATAGCGCCTGACACATAGTAGGTCCTCAGTAAATGTCAACTCCCTTTCTTCCCCCTCCTCTTTCACTTCTGCAACCAGGACAAACCTGGTTTCCATGGAAGTGACATAACAGGTATCACCTGATAAACGAGAACTTCAGTCAGGCCTGGAATTCTAGCACTTTGGGAGGCTGAGGTGGGTGGATCACTTGAAGCCAGGAGTTTGAGACCCCCTGGGCAACATGGCGAAACCCTATCTCTACTAAAAATACAAAAAAAATTAGCCAGGCATGGTGGTGCATACCTATAATTCCAGCTGCTCCGGTGGCTGAGGCACAGGAATTGTTTGAACCTGGGAGGTGGAGGTTGCAGTGAGCCAAGATTGTGCCACTGCCCAGCCTTGGCGACAGAGTGAGACCCTGTCTCAAAAAAAAAAAAAAAAAAAAAAAGAACTTCAGACCAGTATGTATTGATCAGCACTGGAAAGTTTTGGGGATCCCCAATATTATTCTACATCAGACAAATTTGGGAAAGTATGCTCTTGGGAAGGTGTTTACAGCCTGGACCAGGGGAGGTTTTATTAATAACAATTTCCTGTATACTTCCTGTTGGTGAAGACCAAAGCATAGTGCTGGGAAGTATGTATCCAAGTGTAACTGTGTGTCTCCGTGGCGATAGGTGTGTGTGTGTTTGTACACAAACACGTGCACTCTTTGCCACGTAACTGTGGGCTTTCTCTGGCTGTGGCGCAAAGCACTGCTTTTTTTTATGGGTAAGCCATAAAGTGTGGATATTTAAAGCTGAGACTAGGAGGTGAGGTCTGAAAGGTACCCACAAGCCCAGCTCTGAAACCTGTGCAGGTGGCCACATTCTCAAACTTCAGCCTGCCTCAGAATCCCTGGGAGGGCTTGTTAAGGTGCAGATTGCTGGACTCTGCTCCTGGAATTTCAGATATTGCTTGTCCGGAACCAGGCAGGGAGATAGGGTGGAGCTAGAGAATCTATATTTCTAAGAAGTTCCCAGTTGATATGATGCTTTTGGTCTGCGGACCACACTTTGAGAACCAGTGACCTATAGAAAGTCCACCTGTACCCACGCAAATCTAGATGACTTCTGCTTGTGTGGCTTGATCTTTGCACACTCAGCCCTGCTCTCTTCCCCTTTGCTGGAGGCTTATGTATTCATCAAGTACTGTTGCCAAGCTGGGTGTGGTGGCTCACACCTATAATCCCAGCACTTTGGGAGGCCAAGGTGGGTGGATCACTTGAGGTCAGGAGTTTGAGACCAGCTTGGCCAACAAGGTGAAATCCCATCTCTATTAAAAATACAAAAACGAGCCAGGCATGGTGGCGCACACCTGTAATCCCAGCTACGGTGGGTGGGGCGGGGGTGCTGAGAATCACTTGAAATGGGGAGGTGGAGGCTGCAGTGAGCCGAGATCGAGCCACTGCACTCCAGCATGGGCAAAAGAGAAAGAGTCCATCTCAAAAACAAAACAAAACAAAACAGAACAAAACAGAGTTGCCAGATCCAACAAATAAAAATATTGGATGCCCAGTTAAATAAATATTCTGGATAAAAAAGAAAAACTGGCTCTCCCTCTCCCTCTGCCTCTCCCTCTCCCTCTCCCTTTCCCTCGTCTCCCTCTCCCTCTCCCTCGTCTCCCTCTCCCTCTCCCTCGTCTCCCTCTCCCTCTTTCCACGGTCTCCCTCTGATGCCGAGCCGAAGCTGGACTGTACTGCTGCCATCTCGGCTCACTGCAACCTCCCTGCCTGATTCTCCTGCCTCAGCCTGCCGAGTGCCTGCGATTGCAGGCGTGCACCGCCACGCCTGACTGGTTTTCGTATTTTTTTGGTGGAGATGGGGTTTCGCTGTGTTGGCCGGGCTGGTCTCCAGCTCCTAACCGCGAGTGATCCGCCAGCCTCGGCCTCCCGAGGTGCCGTGATTGCAGACGGAGTCTCGTTCACTCAGTGCTCAATGGTGCCCAGGCTGGAGTGCAGTGGCGTGATCTCGGCTCACTACAACCTCCACCTCCCAGCCGCCTGCCTTGGCCTCCCAAAGTGCCAAGATTGCAGCCTCTGCCCGGCCGCCACCCCGTCTGGGAAGTGAGGAGCGTCTCTGCCTGGCCGCCCATCGTCTGGGATGTGAGGAGCCCCTCTGCCTGGCTGCCCAGTCTGGAAAGTGAGGAGCGTCTCTGCCCGCCCGCCATCCCATCTAGGAAGTGAGGAGCGCCTCTTCCCGGCCACCATCCCATCTAGGAAGTGAGGAGCGTCTCTGCCCGGCCGCCCATCGTCTGAGATGTGGGGAGCGCCTCTGCCCCGCCGCCCCGTCTGGGATGTGAGGAGCGCCTCTGCCCGGCCGCGACCCCGTCTGGGAGGTGAGGAGCATCTCTGCCCGGCCGCCCTGTCTGCGAAGTGAGGAGACCCTCTGCCTGGCAGCCGCCCCGTCTGAGAAGTGAGGAGCCCCTCCGCCCGGCAGCCACCCCGTCTGGGAGGTGTACCCAACAGCTCATTGAGAATGGGCCATGATGACAATGGCGGTTTTGTGGAATAGAAAAGGGGGAAAGGTGGGGAAAAGATTGAGAAATTGGATGGTTGCTGTGTCTGTGTAGAAAGAAGTAGACATGGGAGACTTTTCATTTTGTTCTGTACTAAGAAAAATTCTTCTTCCTTGGGATCCTGTTGATCTGTGACCTTACCCCCAACCCTGTGCTCTCTGAAACATGTGCTGTGTCCACTCAGGGTTAAATGGATTACGGGCAGTGCAAGATGTGCTTTGTTAAACAGATGCTTGAAGGCAGCATGCTCTTTAAGAGTCATCACCACTCCCTAATCTCAAGTACCCAGGGACACAAACACTGCGGAAGGCCGCAGGGTCCTCTGCCTAGGAAAACCAGAGACCTTTGTTCACTTGTTTATCTGCTGACCTTTCCTCCACTATTGTCTTATGACCCTGCCAAATCCCCCTCTGCGAGAAACACCCAAGAATGATCAAAAAAAAAAAAAAAGAAAAACTGTTTAGCGTAAGTATTTCCCAGATATTATGTGGGACATACTTATGCTAAAAAAAGATATTCATTGTCTGAAATTCAAATGAACCTACACGTTCTTCGTTTAATATGGCAACCTTTTCATCCAACTGGGGGTCAAGTGTCTCTCTCTCTCTCTGTCTCCTGCTGCTGCTTTCCTGCAACTGAACAGGCTACAGCTGCCAAGGAAACACGCCCAGAGAGGGTTTGTGTTTTCCAGACAGATCCACCTGCTGCCCTGAGCTCACTTGGCAGACTTAGCTTGGTCTCAGCCGAGATGGACTTGGCTCCTCTTCATTTTGGTTCTCTTGCTGGCTCTCTGTTTTTTTCCTATCTGTTCCTCTCTCTCTTTCTCTCTGTCTCTCATGCCTTCTTTTATACCATCTCTCTTACAAGGGGTTTAAAAGGCAGGAAACTGCAAAGTGATAGGGCTGATCCAGGAAAAGTCTGTTCTCAGCAGCAAGACCAGAGTCCAGGAGTGACCTCCTGGTGTTGGAGGGAAGAGTGACGTTTGGTCTAGAGAAGGCACAGAGATCACCAGCAGCCTTGTATTATGAAAAGCATAACATTTGCCTTGGAGAAATTTGCCTAGCAGTGCTGGGGCGAGGGGTCATGGCTGGAGTGGGACAGTGTCCAGGGCTTCAAGGAAATTATACCACGTGGTCTCTGATGCTGGCAGAGGGAGCCCACTGCTGTGGACTTGATCACACGTGGAGGGGCAGAGAGAAACTTTAGCAATCAAAGGCCTCCTGGAGCCTTGGGCTTGGACTCTGTGTCCTCCTAAATAGCTCCATTTGTCACTTTATCTTGCCAAGGCTGCTGGACGCTGAGGATGGCGCAATGGAGGAACAGAAGGCTTAGCTGCTTCTCTTCACTTTGCCGTACGCTTTGCTGTCTGCCGGGCTCAGGCCTGTGTTCTCCCCCTCCGTTTGCTATGAATAGCTCTCCAAGGCCCTGGCACCAGCAATCAGGCCTGCTTTGAAAGAAGTAGGTCATAACCTCAGAGGAGTGAGGGGGTGCTCTTGTCAGTGGTCACCCGGGGGCCTAGCCAAGGGGCCCTGAGTGCCTTGCCCTGCTTTGAGGGCTGTGTGCCTCTTCCTGTGTCCCCAGCATGGCATGGAGAAGGACGGTGGGGTCAGGAGGCCCTGGTTTCCAGCAGGCTGGGGTATGGTAGAACAGGAGAGCGAGAGGGAGCCCCGTCTCCTTGATGCGCTCACTTGCCCTGTGTGGGACCGAGATCCACCTTGCAGGATAAGTGGGTCTGTTTTTCCTTCTGTATCAGACGCCAGGGAAAGCTGTTCCTGCTGTGCACTTCAAGTGGCAGGCACAGCGCTAGGCAGAGAAGGAAGATGAGGATGGTGCCTCCTGTCTCCATCGGGCGCCTGCCATTCCAAGCGCCCTCACTCATTGTCTCCTTAGCTCTCTGTCGCAGCCCAAGGCGGGAGGTTGGCAGGTGTGACTCTCCCTGTTTGTTCACTGGGGACACAGCCCCAGAGACATGACAGGCCAGCCCAAGGTCACACAGACAGCGAGTGAGAGATGGAGCGTGGCCATGCGACAGATACCCACTCCTTCCCCAGTGGCTGGGTCTGCCCCTCCCCTCTTCCCTGAGGAGTCCCTCTGGCCAGCCCCACCTGGGTCTGGATGCTTTCACCTTCTGTTTCCTGGCTGGCTTCCTCTACTCCCGCCTCTCTCCCTATGGCCCTGCTCTCCTTGTGGCCCGTCAGGGAAATATTTGGGATTTCCCAAAGGGCAAAGGAACAGGAAGCCATGTACTCCCCATTCATGCTGCTGTTCCTTCTCCAGCGTGTGGGGCTGGAGGCATTTGAGAAGCTGCATGGATGGTGAGGCCAGTCGAGGTCCTGAGGGTTCCCAATGTCAGGGATGGGAGAACTGGCCTTGCGGGAGGGAAGCAAGGCTCCCTGTGCACTGGGTGGGAACTGGCATTGCCTGGGAGGCTCCCAGTACCTGCAGAGAGTGTGTGGGCCCTCTGGTCTGCTGTGGTGGGCAGTGTGCTCCCCAAGGGAGATAAGCAAGCAATGATCTCCCACTGCCCCAGTCCCTGGCCCCCAGGCACACTACCCCGGCCCCTTAGCTGGAGTTTCCTTTCTGATGTTGCGTCCACGCTTGCCATTCCCATCTTTTGTCTGTTAGCCACGCGGCAGGGCTCGATGTGTATTTGGAGAAAGGATGCATGGCTATCTACACCTGCCCAGAGGAGCAGCTGTGGAGGATATGGATGAGGAAATCAATGGAATCTGCCACTCTGAGAATGTGTGTTCTAGTTGGAAAAACCCAGTAGGGCAAAATCAGGAACTGCTCATGCAATGAATCTTTCAGTTGCCTGGTCCAGGCTATGTGTGTGTAGCTAGAATATGGAAACGGAAGAAATCCACACAGCTAGGTGGGAAGGGCTTCATGGGGAGGGACTGGTGGGTCAGGAGAGAGCTGGGCCTGATGCATGACGGCCTGGCGTTAGAATGGACTCCTGCATTAGAGCTAAGGCCTGGTGCTTGGATGCCCTTTGGTGGGGAGAGGATGGGAACCAGCGGCTTTGCTCATTATCCAGTGGCCTCCTTGTCCCACACCCTGAAGGAGCTAGGTCCTGCCTTTATCTTCTTGCCCACCTGCAGCCCACTCCGGTGTTCGGACCTGATCATATCCCCTTAGCTTCTTCTGGAGGGAGACATTTGGCCAAAGCAAACAGTGAAGTCTTTGAAAGGGCTGCATTCATTTCCTGGGGCCGCTGTAGCAAAGTACCACAAGCTGGGTGGCTTACAACAGAAGTTTATTCTTTCACTGTTCTGGAGGCCTGAAGTCTGAAATCAAGGTGTTGGCAGGGCCATGCTTTTTTCTGAAGGCTGAAAGGGAGTCTGTTGCATGCCTTTCTCTTTCTCTTAGTTTCAGGCACTGCTGCAGCCCTGGGCATTCCTTGGCTTCTGGCTTCATCACTCCTATCTCTGCCTCTGCTGTCTCATGGCGTTCTTCCTGTGTGCCTATCTCTTCTCTTCTGATGAGGACACCAGTCATTGGATTTAGGGCCCACCCTAATCCACTGTGACCTCATCTTAACTTGATTACATCTGCAAAGATCTTATTTCCAAATAAGATCATGTTTATAGGTCCTGGGGATTAAAACTGCAACTTTTTTTGTGGGGGACGTATAATTGAACTCAACAGATTTTGTCTCTAAATCCCATCTACCTGTTAAGAGTCTCTGTCCCCTCTCAAGCCACCTCTTGGATCTCTGGAGGTCTGGGACATGAATGGAGACTCCCACCTTCCCCTCTCATAGCACTCTCTCTCATTTGCTGGCTGCGGAGGGGGATGGATGTGGGTTTTGACATCTAAGATGGAGTTGTCTCCTGCAGGGGTGAAGGATTGCTTGGAAATGCTGCTGCTGCTTGTTTTGAGGAAGCAGAGGGTGCATTTATGGGCAGAAGAGAAGGCAGGGATAACTGCAGATTTCCTCCTCGTTTCCTGTGGAAGACATTGCTTTCCTGAGGTGCAGAATGATGGCTCTGGAAGGGCCTTCAAGGGCTCCAGGCCCTCCTGCAACACAGGAGCACTGGGGCCTGCCAGAAATGGTGCCCACCTTGTTGGAGCTCTAGACTTGAGTCTTGGCTCTGCTACTCAGTGACTCTGTGATCTTGGGGGCAAAGTTGTTTAGCTTCTCTGAGGCTCAGCTTCTTCATCTATAAAATGGGATAATAATAACTGCTTGTCAGATCTCACGGAGCATTTGTGAGGGTTAAATGATAAAAGATGGATATGAAAGTACCTTTTAAACCATCATTGTGGTAAAATACACATAACAGAAAATGCACCATGTAAGTGTATAAGTCAGTGGCATTAAGTATATTCACATGGTTCCGGAACCTTCACTGCCATCCATCTCCAGAACTTTTTAATCATCCCAAACAGTTAAAGTGCCTTTTAAAGTGCTAATTAGAGTACTTTTTATTCATTTGATACATAAGAAACTAGAGTCCCGGAGAAGCAGGGAACTTGGGCATGGTCTCCCAGTGAGTTAGGGCAGAGCTGAGCTGACTCTTGGTTTGGTACCCATGGCCTTCTCTTAGCCTGCAGGGTCCTGGGGCACATCCCAGGAGGGTTTCCTCCTCTCAGAACCATCCCTCAGGATCGCGGGGGCCTCCAGAGAAACGAATTTGTCCAGTGGTGGGACATACTCAGCCCGTGTCTGCATGGTGGGGGCCCCCTCAGCAGGCACCAGCACCTTCCGGTGGAAAGCCTGCATTCTCTCTCCTGGCTCAGGCTGGCTCAGTCCCTCTCAGCCTTCTGTCTGTCTCTCCTTCTACCTGTTCCTTTCCCAAATGGGACAGGGTTCCAGTGGAGAACCAGGGGAGCTGAACCTGTGGTGAACTCGGAGATGGCTTCATGAGGTGCTATATGTGCAAAGGATGTGGTCAAGGGATTTGGGTGACCTGGGTTCTGGTCCATCCTGCAGCTAGCTTGTCGAGTCACCATAGAATTCTCATGGAGTGCATGGCGACTGAAGTCCTACTGAGTTCCCATCATTGGGAAAGGCCCGTGAACAGACCTTATTACTAGCTATTTGGAGCTGCTGTGAGACATAGTTGATATGATACATGAGGGCTGTGTGTGTGGCAAAGGACACTCACCTGTAGAAGGTGATGATTGTCACTTGACATGGCAGAGGGGGAGCATCCTCCCCCAGCCCAGGCTGTTGGTAACATTCCTGGCCAGGGCCCAGGGCAGGAGGAAGAGGAAGGAATGGAGATGGCCATGCATATTAGACTTGGATTCCCCATGTTCCATGGAACCTTCCATGTCTAGGTCTGGAGCTGAGGGCTGGGGACAGACCCAGCTCAGACACTGTCTGCCTTCAAGTGGCTCATGGCCCAGTGGGGAACATAGAGCTGTGCACAAGGAGTTTTGATGCAGTGTCATCGATGCTGACAGAGGGGAATGGGTGGCGGCGTGTTACCGTCACCAGGGGAAGGGAAGGCCGCTTCTGCCTGGTGGGACTAGGGTAGGGGTGGAGGGATGGCAGAGGAGCCTTTGCTCTGGCTTAATGCAGAAGAGACCAGGGGAGGATGCCCGTGGCATGTCTCACCCAGGGAGACTCTTTTGCCTCCCTGGCCACTGGCTTCCTTGACCCTCAGATAGGTCCTATGAAGCATCTAGGGAAGGGACTAGTCACCTGTTTTGCTGGTGGGATTTTGCAGTGCCGGGTTGAAGGACTTGGGCAGGCTCATCCAGGGCTGCAGCCTCTCAGAAGGTGGACCCAGCTTTCCTGCCTGGGGTCCAGGCATTCTCCACAAACCCACCCGGCTCCAGCCTAAAAGAGCCATTTAGAGCAGGCTGTTTCTGTGCCTTGAGGGGTCCTTTTTGTCAGCCAATGACTGGGTTTTTCTTAAGCCGCACTATGTGCCTGTCTCTCCGGGAAGTCTCTGTCCTCAAGAAGCTCACAGATTGAGCCCCCACAAAGACTTGGTTCCCCCGACTTTCCTCCCCTCCCTCTTCCTGGCTTCTTCCACCCTGGGAAGCTGCAGGGAGGAGATGCCACTGGCAGGACAGAGGAGACAGAAGGCAGCTAGACTGAACCCCTGTTTTCTCTATTGCGTCTTCTACCCACCACCAGGTCCCGGCTGGCCGACTTCCATGCCAATTGTCGAGCCTCCTACCAGACGGTCACCAGCTGCCCTGCGGACAATTACCAGGCGTGTCTGGGCTCTTATGCTGGCATGATTGGTAAGCTCTTCCTGCTCACCTGGGCTCTGTGGGTCCTTGCTGCCCCCATCTCAGCAGGGCAGGGGCCGCAGCCCAGCTCAGGGCCAGCTGGGGGAGACAGCCTGAGCCCGGCCTTCTCTGCATCAGATTCAGAGAGCTGCGAGGGGAAACCAGGGGAAAGGCAGTTTTGTAACAAGGCGGAGGACCTAGCTCTTTATCATGGGGGAAGGAGGGCCCCAGGGGCCTCCTAAAGCTTTTGAGAAAAGAAGCAAAGGTAACATTTATTGCATGGTTCTGACATTCCAGGCTCTGCACTGAGCAGTTTACACGGACTGTCTTACTGAATTCTCCCAACAGCTCTTGCTAGCGGGGTGCTGATAATCTCCATTTTATAGATGAGGAAACTGAGGCTGTAGAGCAGTTGAGTGACTTGCACAGTCTCACCTCGCTCATAAATATCGGCACTGGGGTCTGATCCCAGGATGTGAGCCTCATTCACCCTGATTTGAGAATGTTGGCTGCTTGCTGGTGAAGGACAAAGCAAGGGCCCACACTCTGGGAGGGGCTCCAGGGCATCTTCTCTGCCTTCCTGGTGGCAAGGAGCCCAGTGTCCTCTATGCTGCTGGCCCCTCTGCCCCTGCTGAACATGGTCCCTGGGATAGTCATGCTCAGAGTTAGGAGTGCGATTGGGATGGATGTGTGTTTTGGGGCCAGGTCAGAGGATGGGTACCACGCCTCTGCCCTGCTGTGCCTGGGGTTGGTCTGTGGGCCCAAGGGGAAGGCCCCACCGTACCTCTCTCCTCTCCCCCACCTTTCTTCCTGCCCAGGGTTTGACATGACACCTAACTATGTGGACTCCAGCCCCACTGGCATCGTGGTGTCCCCCTGGTGCAGCTGTCGTGGCAGCGGGAACATGGAGGAGGAGTGTGAGAAGTTCCTCAGGGACTTCACCGAGAACCCATGCCTCCGTAAGTTCTGGATGTTCTCCCCAACCCCAGCAGCCCCTCCCACCCCTCCTGGAGTCTGTCCTAGCCATTCCCATCTCCTTCCGTGGGGATGGCTGGTGATGTAGATGAGGCTTCTCCGCCATGGGTGTTGCCCGTGGGGACCTTGGGTTTTGAGCTTTTGGAGATTCACACCAGAGCTGTCAGTAGGCCAGCCTCAGTTTACCACCAGAGGTCTTGAACCTATGTCAAGCCTGTTATTTGGTCTGGTTTGTTATTGGGACAGCTTCAGCCAGTTTCCTTTGGAGACTGAGCCCTCTCATGAGGATCGCTGGCATCTGTCATGTCTCCCTTTAACGAGTTTATTTCCCCCTGGAATCGACTTCCTTTTCACATCGTCAAACTCCTAACCCAGAAGCCAGAGAGAGGTTAGCCACAGTCTAGCTCAGTCTGCCTTTGATCTTTCCAGCCCAGCACCCATTGCCATCCATGCCCACCTGAAGATTTCTTCCCTCTTTCCTTCCCTCCATTATTTATTCTGTCCATCTCTCCATCCTTCTGTTCCTCCCTCTCTGTGTGGCACTAGAGATTCAGGGATCCAAGTCATCGAGGAGGTGCCTGACGGAGGTAGACTGAGAGGGGTCACTTATGATCACAGTGCAAGTGAGCTGCTCTGGGCGGGGGGTCTGCACAGGGTTCTTGAGGAGCCCAGGATGGGGATGCCCAAGTCAGCCAGGAAGAGGGAGGCCCTGAAGGCTTCTTGGAGAATGTATCTGTGGATGGTTAGCTGGGCATCGGTCAGTTGAAGAGGCAGGGGGCGCCTGCCAGTCCACCCTGGGCAGAGGTCCTGGGCTCCACAGAAGACCATGGCGGGTGGAGGGAACTGCCAATCACGTAGCCTTGCTACATAGCACTGAAGATGACCAGAGTGGCAAGAGTTATCTGGACAGGTAGATAGCATCCTTGTCATGCAGGGCCTTGCAGGCCTGAGGCATTTAGATCTTCTTGTCCTGCAGGGGTGACAGTGGTACTGTGGGTGTTTGAAGGAATGTCAGCAAGGGTGTGAGATCAGATCAGCATTCCAGAAAGTGAATCTGCCTGTGTTGTGAGGCAGCGGGAGTCAGAGTGAATCAATTCTGACAGGTGACCTGACACAGAGAGGCCCATCAGAAGGCCATAGTAGCTGCTCACAGGGGCACACAGTGGTGGCTGTGAACCAGAGCAGTGGGAGGGGAACAGCGATGGGAGATGGGGTGGAGGGATCTTTAGGAGGTGAGCTCAGCGGGCTGCCAGTGCTTGTGCAGGGAGGCACCAAGGGTGACCCTCAGGATTCTGACATGGGGGACCAGGGTAGATAAGAGATGATACCTTCAAGGCTGCAATATGAGGGATCAAAGGGAAAGGAGCGTTGACAAGGGTAGGAGGAGACGCCTAGCCCAGGCTTAGACATAACGAGTTTGAGATGTGTGTGGCTCGTGGAGGCGGAGATTTTCTGGGCACCTCTCTGGATGGTGTGGGAGGAGCAGAGGCCACCCAGGGAGAGCCTGTGGTGTGGAGTGGGCAGAGGGCTGAATGTGGGACCCCTGCATGCCAGGGTGGGGACCTGGGAACATCCGAGGAGGCACAGGGGCCGGAAGAGCCTGTGACTAGGGAGCTGGGGGTGAGGAGCTTTGGGAGGTGTGGCTGGTGGCACCATGCAGAGGAGGTGGCCCCCTCCTCCCCTAGGCTCCCCTGCATCCCACCCCCTTCTTTTTCTCCTTTTTTCTTCTGTGTTCCCCATCATGTACACTTCTTGCTATTCTGGCTTCTGTGTTTTTTAACCTCTCTCTTGCTATATTCTGTAGCTGTGAGACCTTTGTAGGTATCTGAAGAAGAGGTTCAGCAGAGGGAATCTGGCTGTGCTATGCCCTGTCCTGGCTTCTGGACCATTCCAGGGAAGGGGGTGGTCAGGGTGAAGAGTGTGAGGAGCAGGGACAGGAGTGACGGACGTGGGTTCTGACTTCTCTGCATCTGCCCTCACCCCCATCCCAGGGAACGCCATCCAGGCCTTTGGCAACGGCACGGACGTGAACGTGTCCCCAAAAGGCCCCTCGTTCCAGGCCACCCAGGCCCCTCGGGTGGAGAAGACGCCTTCTTTGCCAGATGACCTCAGTGACAGTACCAGCTTGGGGACCAGTGTCATCACCACCTGCACGTCTGTCCAGGTGAGGGTGTGTGGCTGAGGCGTGGGGGGAGCACCATGGCACCGGAAGTGGCATGGGAAATGACTCAGCTGAGGCCAGGGAGGGAGGGTCCTCCCTTTGGATCAGGGACCCAAGAGGCAGGGAGGAGCTGCCGGGGGTCATTCTTCACCAGTTCCTTTATTTGGGCATTCATCTTGCAAGTGTTAAACCCCTGTTACATCACAGTGTTATACCTGCTTTGCAGGCTATAGGGTCTGAAGAACAGGCAGTGGGGCACAGCCTCGGTGCAGGTGCAGGGGGAACAAGTCCTGGCTGTGTGTGGGGCAGTGAGGCACCCGTCTGAGTGGGGCAGCAGGCTCCTAGGGTCAACAGTGCACCTCCACAGTGCCAGGATGCAGGCTTGACCAGGGACTCAGCCTGGCGGGGTTTCAAGTCCCTCCTGGGCACCCATTGCAGAAGTGCATGTGCCTGTTCTGGTTATGGAAGTCCTCCCCTTCTCTTTCTGCTTCCTTCCCCCTCCCTTGTGGGCTCCCCTGCTCAGGAGCAGCTGACCTCCAAGTGCCCTCCTGGCGACTGGGTGGGGAGCTCTTCCATGTCCTGCTCCCTCCACTTAGCTCCCCTCCTGATTGGAGCTGAGGTGCTGTTGTCACCCTTGGGCAGCTCCTAATGACACTGGGCATGCTTGAGTGGCTGCAAGCAGGGGGCTTGGGGTCCTGCTCTGCAGACAACTGCTCAATTTCATGCTAGAGCGGCGGGCAGCTCAGCCAGTCGGGGCTGTGCCATCTGTCAGGTCCTCCAGACTCTACCAGCCTCCTGCATGCACCCTTCATCCTGAGCCTCTTGGACCGGCCCATCTGGGGAGAGGCTGACTTGGCAGGATGCTGGCAACCTTCCCAGGACTCCCACTGTGGTTCCTTGTGGTCATAAGGTCCAAAGCCGTGGCTTTGGGAACCCCACCCAGCCCCCTTCACCATCAGCTCTGATGATTCTGAGGCCCATTTAATTCTTTTTCTTCTGCAGTTTGCCGAGCCATCAGTTGCTTGGTTTCTTGTAGCCCCAGCCTGGTTTTGTGCAGTCTCACCATCGGGGGCCTGCTCAAATCTTGGTTTGATCTCAGTGGAGATATGGGTGATCTGTATGTGACATGATACATGCGAAAGTGCTTGGTCAATGGAGGAATGCTGCACGAATGTTAGGCGTTACAAATCCGGGGGCTGGGGAGGCTGCCTGGCAGGTGGCTGGAGGCCTACAGACTAAGTCAGTCTGGGCAGGACAGCTGAGAGAGCCTCCCAGGAGGAAAGGAGGAGAAATAGACCCTCCAAAGGGGTCCAACCTCTACCACTCTCCAGGCTTCTTCTCAGAGAAATGGAAGAGGAAGGGCCTCTGATTCAGTTTTAATTACAATGTTTTTATTTTTTATTTTTTATTTTTTGAGACGGAGTCTCGCAGTCTCGCCCAGGCTGGAGTGCAGTGGCGCGATCTCGGCTCACTGCAAGCTCCACCTCCTGGGTTCACGCCATTCTCCTGCCTCAGCCTCCCGAGTAGCTGGGACTACAGGCACCCGCCAACATGCCCAGCTAATATTTTTTATTTTTAGTAGAGACGGGGTTTCACCGCGTTAGCCAGGATGGTCTCGATCTCCTGAGCTTGTGATCCACCCGCCTCGGCCTCCCAAAGTACTGGGATTACAGGCGTGAGCCCCCGCGCCCGGCACAATGTTTTTAATGAGCACCTGCTATCCCATGCTGGGAGCTGGAAGTGTCGAGTGAATAAGCCCTCGCCCCTGCCTTTGGCTTGCCTGGGGCTGGCATGGGTGCCTCCCCTCCTTCCCAGCCCACATCTGTCCCCTGTCTCTCAGCTCCCCTAGCTTGGACCATCTCTGATTGAGTGGCTTTGTGGTGGCCCTTGTGGGGTCGTAGGGTGTTAGGGGCACCCATAGCTATAGAAGGGAGTACCTGAGTGATCACAGGGACAGAGAGCTGAGCCTGGATGGGAGGAAGGGTGGGGGAGCCTGTACACCCTAGATACACCCTAGAGGGAGAGGCAAGGTTATTTTGCTGATCTCTGTCCTCCTCTGTCCTTCCTTCTTCCTTGGGGGAAGGCTTAGGGAACCCCAGAGATGGTAGCCAGTTGGGTCCCTACGTGGGTATCTGTATGTCAGGACTTGAAAGACCCTCCAAGATCTTCCTAAACCCAAGCCACCAGAGGCCTGGTGAAGACAGCAGCATGTCCACAGCCCCACAGCCAGTTGGCAGTCGAGAAGGGCCAGCAACCCTGCCTCCTGGCCACCTTCTGGTTCCTCCTCCTCCAAATCTGCTCCCCACAAAGGACTTTCCCACGGTGGGAGTGGGGCTGTTCAGTGGGGCTGTGGGAGTCTTGGACGCCACCACAGTAGAGCCAGGAGCCCCCTCCCAGTTGGCCCTGTGGCCGATGTCTTAGGTCCTACTCTCAGAAGTGTCTCCTTCAGGCTTTGGCCCCCTCTCTGGGCAGCCCTGCCTCCCTGGGGCTCTGTGGACCTTGGAGAGGCCTGATAGGGCCTGCAAAATGGTCTCTCCTGGGGCCTTCTGGTATATTAAATATATACCTTGTCTGAATTCCCTTGCCCTTCTCTCCATCCCACTGGGCTCTAGAGCAGGGAACCTGAGTGTCAGGTCAGTCTTGGACACCTGCAGGATGGGTGAGCTACCTGCTGGTCTGCACTTGGCCGTTCCTCTGAGTAAGACGTCTCTCCTTGTCCACTCCTCTCCACCTGGTGCGTCCTACCCTGATGTCACCTCTTGGGAATGCCTTCTCCGATTCCGTCCACACCAGGTTGCCTTCCGCCTGCTCTGGGCTCCTGCTTTGCGTGTTCATGGCCCCATCGTGATGTGTTCTCCTCTCCCCTGCTAGGCCAGGGCCCCCAGAGGCCATAGTGGCATCTCACCCTCCTGCGTCACCCTGCGTAGCTGGGTGCACAGTGCCTGGCATGGAGTGGGTGCTTTGTTCAGGTGGAAGGAGAGACCCCGGTGTCCCCAGTTCATTGGATTCATTGAAACTCCCTGCTGTCCTAGAGGATGGGCTCTGTGTGTTTCAGTGCCCGCAGCTCTCTTCCTTCTCCTAGGTGCCCTCTGTGCGCAGGACTGGGAAGCTGCAGAGGTGAAAATGCTTTTCTGTTGAAGGTGTAGGAAGGTTTGTTAGAGACTCGTGGTCTTATGATGGGGCCTGGACCAGGGCAGTGCAGTGAGGGCTGCAGGGAGACGGGCGATGGTTGGTGCTTTCCTGGCCATGGCCTGCTGTTCTCCCTGACACTCCCTTGGGGCTACTCTGGGCCCAGAATGCCAATTTGTAGGACCCCTTCAGATCAGCTGGAGTCCCACCTTTCCCAGCACCAGGGAGCCCTGCAACATACCATCTCCTTTGCTTCCCCATCTCCACCTGCCCACCTGTGATTTGGACTGCCAGTCACATCTTGGGCAAATTAAAAATGAGTTTTGAGAGACTGCCCCAAGGCCCCCCTCACTGCATGCCTGCAGCCGACTCTGCAGCCAGCGGCCACCTCTCTCTCCTCCCTCCTCCTGTCTGCTCCTGGATGGGTCTCATACCCAGCACACAGACCTGTGGACCTCAGAGCATGGGACTGAGAGACCGGTCAGTGCATTCATTCATTGACTCAACAGAAATTCTTACTGCACGTCACTACATCCCAGGCACCGAGGCTAACAAGCCTCATGGGCCGGGACCATGGTCCCGGTGCTGGAGGATTGACAGGATGAAGCTCACATGGCTATGAGGGAGAAGGTGATTGGTGCACCTGCTGCGTGCGGGACTGGTAGAGGGTGATGGGGTCCAGAAGAGGGAGAGAGTGCGTTGACTGGGAGTGGAGGCCAAGGACCCGTGGGCATAACAGTGCCTGCTGCTAGGCCTGAAAAGAATCGGGAGAATGGGTGTGGGGTTGCAGTGGGCAGGCTGCCCCAGGTGAATCAGCAGCGGAGCCGAGGCACAGAGTCAGGACAGCACAGAGTGCTGAGTGGGGGTCTGCTGTGCTGAGTGGGGGTCTACTATACTGAGTGGGGGTCTGCTGTGCTGAGTGGGGGTCTGCTGTGCCTGGTTTTACAAATGAAGTGTTACACACTTCACAACCACACCCTGTCTGCATTGTCTTCTGTCACAGGCAGCACTGAGTTGTGGTGATGGAGACAGTGTGAGAGGTGTGAGTTACTGGGGATGGTGCAGGTCAGGGAGGAAGGCCAGGAGCGCTGAGATTTAGGGGCGGGGCCAGGGCCAGAAGCAGGGAGTGCAGGAGAGCCATGGCTTCAGCCAGCAGGACAACACTAGACTAGCGCCTGGGCCAGACCAGCGAGGCTCTGGGAATGCCGGCCTGCGCTTCGGGGGTAGGCAGGAGGTGGGCAAGGAAGAGGAGGAAGACAATGATTTCCTTCTCGCTTCCTGGGCAACAGAGCATCCCTGGGAGAAAGCTATGGAAGGATGAAGCATGCCTTTCCCACTGTCCTTCTTCTTTCTGCGTCCTTCCCCCAGTGCCATCTGCAAGGGCCAGTTCTTTGATGCTTCTGGGGCACCCACAGCACAGCCCTCAGGGGTCAGCTCTTCCCACAGTCCCTGTGCTGCCTCCATGGTGGAGGATTTGCTGTTAGCAGCCTTGTGTCCTGCCATCCTTGCAGCCTAGGCCTGTGTGCTTTTGGACTGGAGCCACAGATGCCTCTAGGGGATGAGAAGCTCTGGGTAGGGATGGAGTAAGCTCCAGGCTATTTCCCTAGACCCACAGGCAGGCTTCTCTCCCCTCTGTGTATTCGTCTGCTGTGAAGGTGGTTGTATTAGTCTGTTCTCACGCTGCTAATAAAGACATACCTGAGACTGGGTAATTCATAAAGGAAAGAGGTTTAGTGGACTCACAGTTCCACATGGCCGGGGAGGCCTCACAATCATGGCAGAAGATGAAGAGCAAAGGGACGTCTTACATGGTGACTGGGAAAGAGAGAGTGTGTGCAGGGGAATTCCCATCTATAAAACCATCAGATCTCATGGGACTTACTCACTACCACGAGAACAGCATGGAAGAGACCCACGCCCATGATTCAGTTATCTCCCACTGGTTCCCTCCCACAACACATGGGAATCATAGGAGCTACAATTCAAGATGAGATTTGGGTGGAGACACAGCCAAACCATATCAGTGGTTATGTGCGAGTTTATTTCTCTATTAGAGTATGAGCCCCTGGAGGGCAGGGAGGCACTGAATTTGAGACACTGGTGGTTTTGGCATCAGAGGTGGTCTCTCTTTCTCTCTGCCCCTCCCGCCACTAGGTGCCACCTTCAGGAAAGGTCAGCTGCTGGGCAACACTCCCACCCAAGGGCCCTGTTGCCCCTGGCAGAGACCACACCTTGGGGCAGATGTCCCTTGGGATGGCCCAGGGAGGTGTTTCACTGTCCCCTGATAATCAGCATCAGATGAGAGGGTACAGTGGTTGTCCTCAGCCCTCTTGCCTCCCCCTTTATTCTCTCCCCTGCCCTCTGTTGCCTCCTTCCTCTATTTCTTCCCTCTGTCTTCTGTTCCTCTGTCCCCTCCCCTCCTGCTATCTTTCTCCCTCAGCTTCCTCCCCTTACCATGCCCTCCCCTCCCCTTTCCGTTTGTCCCCTCTCCCTCTCCTCTGTCCCCTCCCCTATCCTCTGTCCCTTCCCCTCTCCCTCTGTCCCCTCCCCCTTCTCTCCCCTCCCCTCTCCTCTGTCCCTTCCCCTTTCCTCTGTCCCATCTACCCTCCTCGGTCCCCTTCCCTCTCCTCTGTCTCCTCCCCTCTCCTCTGTCCCTTCATCTCTCCCTCTGTCCCCTCTCTCTTCTCTCCCCTGCCCTCTCCTTTGTCCCTTCCCCTTTCCTCTGTCCCCTCCCCCTTCCTCTGTCCCCTTCCCTCTACTATGTCCCCTCTCCTCTCACTCTGTCCCCTCCCCCTCTTCCTCTTTCCTGTTTCCATTTCTCTGCTTCTCCCTTCACCTGGTTTCCTCTCTTCCTTCCACCCCTTTCTTCACTCTCCTCTTCTCTGTCATTTTTCCTGTGTAATACTTGCCAGTGTCCCCTCCACTCTATCCTATTTAAGAGGAACTTGTCAAGTTCTGCTCACTCCGAGGAGCAAAGTCCAGTTGCAGGCCCCCTTTGCTCTCTGGAGCGTCGGCCTTTAGATCCTCTCTCTCCACACCTGGCCAAGCTCCCAGGCCAGGGAAAATGCACTTGGTGTGTGCTGGTTGCTTTGCCAGCTGCTCTGCATGGGCTGACCTCGGGTGTAACCCTGCAGAGTGTCTAGGTCCGGGGCTCCCCTGAGAGTGGCACCCACAGCCACAGCACATTGTGCAGGCCCCACCCTGGGGCCCTTCTTGTCGGTTGTTTTCTCAAGCCTTATTTTGTTAAGCAGTAGACTATTATCCAAACAATTTTATGCGTACCTCCAATATACAAATAAGCTAAGACTCCAATATACAAAACAGCTAAGACTCCAATATACAAAACAAATAAAAATGGAGCTGTTATGGTGGATGGGGGTGAGGATCTTGAGTGCAGGGAGCTTCTGCCTCTGTGATTCCCCATGGGCTCCACTGGTTTAGTGAGGAAAGGGGAGGGGACAGAGGAGAGGGGAGAGGACAGAGGGAGAGGGAGAGGGGAGGGGAGAAAGAGGGAAAGGGGACAGAGGGAGAGGGGACAGAGGGAGAGGGGAGGGGACAGGAAAGGAGGAGGGGACAGAGGAGGGGGAGGGGAGAGAGGGGGGAGGGGACACAGGAGATGGGGAGGGGACAAAGGAGAGGGCTCCCAATGGTTTAGTGAGCTCTGTTGGGGGTAGGGATGTAGGGATAAGACATGGACTCCCAGAAAGGGCGGGGACTGGCCTGCCACACCTGAAACAATGAGAGTAGGAAGTGACGCTGGGTGTCCGTAGGTGTCAGGCCACAGGCACAGACTCCAACAAGCCATAGGATGTCACAAGTAGGGACTGAGGTGACTGAGCAAGGATTGGCCAAGGGACTCGGGAGGACAGATGCGAGGCCATTATGACAGCACAGCCTCTGAGGGGGTGGGCGTGTTCTTTTTCCCTGACACCCTTCCCCGTGGCCTCACAGTCTTAGCTGGAACAGCACCAAGTCCTGGGGAGTGGAGTCCAGGCCTTGGGTCTGGAAGAGTTGTCGAGCACGTGCCCTTCTGCAGAGGGCAACAGCTGGGGAGTTGGCTGGGCATCACCTTGGCACCTGGGGACACTCCTGGTTCCATTCTCGCTGTGCTAATCATCACCGTGGTCCTATCTCCACCATTGGCAGTGACTCTACTCTTGGCCAGCGTCTCCATGTGACAGCTGGGGTCTTGTTTAGCTGACCAGATGCCCTGGGTGGTAGATTGCCTGTGATGTCCAAGGGGTTATTGATACTTCTGGCCGAGGGCAGTGATTGCGGCATAATTTCTTGGGCTTCCCAGTTGCTTTTGGTGGCCAGAACTTCCCTGGAAGTGCCCTGGGAACAAGCCATTTGAATCCTGGATGGAAGCGCTGCATCCCCAGCTGGTTCCCATGGATCTCCATTACAGTGATGATAACAGAGGGCCGTTCATCATGTGCGCCCTCTGGCCCTGCATCCAGGTGGCCACACCAGGGTAGACAATCTTGGAATCATTACCAAGGCAGCCCTTCTCGTCCCTCACCTTGCCCACAGTGTTCCCAGGTGTGCACATCCGTGTAGGACAGAAATGGGCTGGTGCAGTTGCCAGATATCCACCTAATGGACCAGTGGCAGACATCACTAATCAATCATGCCTCTCTTCCCCTCAAGCCCAGATGAATGCTCATGATCTTTTTATATAGAGCCCTCCATCAGCCATGGCAAATTAACAGGAGTTGGCTCTTGGAGGCTGTTTATGATCTGTGACATTCATTCATTCATTCATGGATGCAGGCATCTAGTGAAACATTTGTTGAGTTGTTGTTATGAACCAGACACTGCTCAGTGTGAGGAAAAGAAGACATGGTCCCTGCCCAAGAGTTGCGCTGAGTATATGGACAGACATGCGAATGGCTGATGACTATATAATGCCGCTAGTTGGGAGCAGAGTTAGAACTCTGTTCTCCAGGAGCCAGAGGAGTCGGGTCCTAATTGCTGAGGGTGTCAGAGAAGGGCAGAAGCCTTTTGTGCTGGGTGGAATTGAGCTACCCTCTTCACCGTGTGCGCTGGCTGTGCTTAGCGGAGCCAACAGTGCATGGCGGGGCCTCATCTAAGTCTCTGGACAAAGCCCAGCCAGGAACAGCCTGGTGACTCGTCCTGACTGGCACCTTCTCTCTCGCAGGAGCAGGGGCTGAAGGCCAACAACTCCAAAGAGTTAAGCATGTGCTTCACAGAGGTGAGTTGGGGGCAGAGTGGGGATGGGTGCAGAAGGCTGGGCCGGTGGGGGGCGGCATTTCCCCGGCGAGCCTCAGATCCAGCGCCCTCAAATCTCATCGCATGGGCTGGGCCAGCTGAGCTTCTGGACCAGGGTGGGCACTTACTCTGCTGGGGTGGGGTGGGGGAGTGCGAAGGCTGCATCCAGGGCCCCTGGCTCTCTCCTTGGGGAGAGACAAATGGCTGCTCTGAGCAGAGGCCCTCCCATGCCTTCCTTACTCTCTTAAGACAGTTGTGTCGACCACCTGCTCGGCACTGTTGCTGTGATATTTAGGAGGCACAGAAGTGGAAACAGACACAGTTCTTCCCTTGAAGAAACCCCCACTATAGGAAATATATATATATATAAAAATAAATAAATATATATATAAATATATATATATCTCATATATATGACGTATATATAAATATATATATCTCATGTATATGACGTATATATATATATGACTTATAGACCCAAGACAGTAACTTAGATGAGAAGAAAAGGCAGTGTGAGACCTCACAGAAGAAAGAGAAACTCAGACAAAGATGTTCAGGGAGGGCTTCATGGAGGAGTGGGGATTGGAAGAAATTGAGAAACAGGGCGAATGTGGGCTCCCTTGTCTCCCCTCCCCTCCCCTTCCCTTCCTCTCTCCTTCCCCTCTCCTTCCTCTCTCCTCTCCTTCTTCTTCTCTCCTCCTTCTTCAGCTCTTTATACCATCTGCCTCCTCACTGGGACGCAGGTCCTCAGCCCTGATGCAGGGAGGAGTAGCCTGTTATCCTGGTGACCACTGCCCTCCTCTCCAAACCCCAGGGCTTGTGACCAGAAGGGACAGAGCATTCCCTTCTGCTCCTGCCTGGGCCAGCTCCGGGAGAGTCAGCGCTCCCTTCAGAGTGCAAAGGAGGGTCCCTGTGGGTGGAAGAGAGGACAGGGGCTTGAGGTGTCCAGTTCCTGAGTCCGTTTCTCTGCCGGGTCCCAGGCCTCCTGACTGTTTTCTTTGTTTTCATTCTCTTTGTTCCTGATTCTTCTCCTGCTGCGGACTCAGCTCACGACAAATATCATCCCAGGGAGTAACAAGGTGATCAAACCTAACTCAGGCCCCAGCAGAGCCAGACCGTCGGCTGCCTTGACCGTGCTGTCTGTCCTGATGCTGAAACTGGCCTTGTAGGCTGTGGGAACCGAGTCAGAATATTTTTGAAAGCTACGCAGACAAGAACAGCCGCCTGACGAAATGGAAACACACACAGACACACACACACCTTGCAAAAAAAAAATTGTTTTTCCCACCTTGTCGCTGAACCTGTCTCCTCCCAGGTTTCTTCTCTGGAGAAGTTTTTGTAAACCAAACAGACAAGCAGGCAGGCAGCCTGAGAGCTGGCCCAGGGGTCCCCTGGCAGGGGAAACTCTGGTGCCGGGGAGGGCACGAGGCTCTAGAAATGCCCTTCACTTTCTCCTGGTGTTTTTCTCTCTGGACCCTTCTGAAGCAGAGACCGGACAAGAGCCTGCAGCGGAAGGGACTCTGGGCTGTGCCTGAGGCTGGCTGGGGGCAGGACAACACAGCTGCTTCCCCAGGCTGCCCACTCTGGGGACCCGCTGGGGGCTGGCAGAGGGCATCGGTCAGCGGGGCAGCGGGGCTGGCCATGAGGGTCCACCTTCAGCCCTTTGGCTTCAAGGATGGAGATGGTTTTGCCCTCCCTCTCTGCCCTCGGGTGGGGCTGGTGGGTCTGCAGCTGGTGTGGGAACTTCCCCACGGATGGCGGTGGAGGGGGTTCGCACCGTGCTGGGCTCCCCCTGACTGTAGCACGGAGTGTTGGGGCTGGGGGCCAGCTCCAGGAGGGCTTGAGAGCTCAGCCTGCCTGGGAGAGCCCTTGTGGCGAGGCATTAAAACTTGGGCACCAGCTTCTTTCTCGGTGGCAGAAATTTTGAAGTCAGAGAGAAACGGTCCTTTGTTGGCTTCTTTGCTTTCTCGTGGGTCCTTTGGCAGGCCTCCCTTTGGGGAGAGGGAGGGGAGAGACCACAGCCGGGTGTGTGTCTGCAGCACCGTGGGCCCTCAAGCTTTCCTGCTGTCTTCTCCCTCCTCCTCCTTTCCCCTTTCTCTTTCCTCATTTCCTAGACGTACGTCAACTGTATGTACATACCGGGGCTCCTCTCCTAACATATATGTATATACACATCCATATACATATATTGTGTGGTTTCCCCTTTCTTTCCTTTTTTTAAGCAACAAAACTATGGAAATAATACCCCAACAGATGAGCGAAAATGTATTATTGTAAAGTTTATTTTTTTTAATACTGTTGTCTATAATGGGGAAAAAGGACATTGGCCCCGCAGTGCCCTGCCCCAGTCAGCCTGGCTGGGCTCTGGTGGGGGCTCCTGATCCGCATCCAAGCTTAACCAAGGCTCCAATAAACGTGCTAGGAAGCAAGCTGCCTCTGCCTCGGTCCCGTGGGGTTTTGCCCCCATTTTGTTCTTGGTCCAGTGTTACCTGCGTAAGTGGAGCTCCCAGTGGGCTGGGGAAATGTGTGTCCGTGTGTGTGCCTGTGTGCATGTGTGTGCATCCATGTGTCTCACCCATGTGTCCACATTGTGTGTAGATGGAGCTCTCTTAGGAGCTGGTTTGACACTGGGGGCGGGATCTGAGGGTCCACGCTGTGCTGAGCCTGGTGGGCTGTTCTGTTCCCTCTTTGCTCACTTCTCCAGTTGGCGCAAATGCCTGTGGCTCCCAGGCTGGAAGAGAATGCAGTGGACGTGGACGTGGTGGGGAGCCACAGCTTGGCATCACACGTTGGGAATGTTTTATTGTCAGGCTGTCTGGGTGGCCCTGTTAGTCTTACATAGAGCAAAGTGGTATGTCCCTCTGGGACTCCTGGCTTATTTGAGATGTGTGATTGTGAGTGCAGTGACCTGGCCTTTTGGGTCCCACCAGAGAAGAAGGACATGACTGTGCATGTTCTGGGGTCATGGTCTGAAAGCATAAGTATTTTTTGGGTCTCCCTCTATTCCTTCCTTTCCTGTTTCTCCATTTGCTACCCAGGCCCCACTTGGACACTAGGCCTGCCATAGTCTCCAAGAGAGATTCTCCCCAGAGAGGACCAGGAGAATGCCTGCTGGCCAAGTGTGTGTGTGTCCATGTATGTGAGCATGTGTACATGTGTGTGCGGTCGTGTGCAGGCTCGCACATGTTCACGTGCACGTGTGAATATATACCCATGGCAGGAGGGAGAATGGAAGACTGGTAGGCGAGAAGATGTTTCTACTGTCAGCCTGGCCTTCAGGGCTGCATGTGAGCCCATCCCATTTCAACTGGACAATAGGATGCAGTTTTCCCATCTCCCAATCGCAGGTCCCCTCAATGGCTTTTGCTTCTGGTTGTATATGTGTGAGCAGCATCCGTTCACAGCGTTTATCACTGTGGTGTATTGCCTTCCAGCCTCTGCATGGAAGGGGTACAGTGAGCCAGCCAGGTCTCTGTCCAGCCATTGCGGGTAGACGTGGTCATGGCATCCACTTAGGAATCCGTGTTCTTTGCAAACAGCAAAGACCATTTAACTTAAAAAGTACTTTACTGGAAGGCTATGGGAGAAGGTGGCTCACGGAATTTGTGGGAGGTGGGGGGACCAGGGGAGGCGAGGGCAGGGACTGGAGGGCATCTGAGGGGCTGGAAGGCAGGATGTACAGGGTCAGCATTCTGCTGCCAACCATTGCCCATCTGGCTGAACTGGGCCTTGTGCCTGCCCTCTGCCATACTTGAGTGTGAGAGAGAGGATATATATGTCATGTCTGGTATCCCTAATAGGAGGTAAGCCCTTAGGCTACATCATGGGGGAGAGAAAATTTCCCAAGAGGAAACTGAGGTGCCATTATGAAGGAGGAGTGGATACTAGCTAGCTTTACTCTGCCCTCAAATGTCTCCCTATCCAAGTATCACATGGCTGAAATTTTACCATTAGGTATTCATTCCTTTGGTTGAGATGATTCCTATTTGTGATTCTCTCAAAATATGCAAATCGAACTAGAAGAATAAATTGTTGCTATCTTAATGTTAGTTAATTTAATGGTGTGAATGAATTCTAGTAACATTAAGACATTTGAGTCTAGACATTGAAATTGGGGTTGAGGGACCAAAAACAGGAAGTGAATCATGGAAAGTTTGGTAGGGACCACCAGAGATAGATTTTTTTTTTTTTTTGAGAGAGTCACACTCTCACCCAGGTTGGAGTGCAGTGGTGCGATCTCGGCTCACTGCAGCCTCTGTCTCCTAGGTTCGAGCGATTCTCGTGCCTCAGCCTCCCAAGTAGCTGGGATTACAGGTGTGTGCCACTATGCTTGGCTAATTTTTTTATTTTTTTTTGTATTTTTAGTATAGAGACAAGGTTTCGCCACGTTGGCCCGGCTGGTCTCGAACTCCTGACCTCAAGTAATCTGCCTGCCTTGGCCTCCCAAAGTGCTGGGATTATAGGCGTGAGCCCCCAAGCTCAGCCACCAGAGACTGATTTCTAGATTTTCTTAGAGTTGCTGTGGGAGACTGCAGACACATGCAATCCAGGGCCCTGTGCCTTTACCCCCTAGTCAGCAAAGTGTATAAAATTAGCTTTTTTTTGCCACCAGCCCCCTGAGGATTCCTGATCAGGGGCATGCCTCTATCTGCAAGTCTGGCTCACTCCGTTTTCTAGGCTCTGATACCTTGTCAAGTGTGAAGTCATATAGGTGGCCAATTCAGAAGCTCAGGATTGAGTGAGCAGTGCCGCAGGTCCCACGTTGACCCACGGTGGTCCTCACAGCAGGGCGCCTACCTGGTATCAAGACCAAACACAGGGTCGTCACCTTAGTTCCTGGCACCCCAGGCCCTGCCTTTGCTATCGGCTTGGCACACAGGTTTCCCAGAACGGGGCTCAGCCCTGCATTTGCTGGTCCTGCCTTGACGGGGATGCTTAGGCTGAGGAGGTGCCCTGCTGTTTCCCACAGACCTTCCTGATGGTGGTCCTAGGCCTGCCAGGATGGACATCTTTGGCCAATCTGGACTTTCGCCCATGACTCGCCTGCTCACTGAGGAGCCCACCGGGTCTCTGGTTTAGCCTCCCAGTGTCGGCTGCCTGCTGGTTCCTGCCTCTGAGGGTCTCATAGCCCATCTGCTATGGCTTCATGCCAAAGGGGCTTGTGTGTGTGTGTGTGTGTGCGTGTGTGTGTGTGTGTGTGCGTGTGTGTGTGTGTGCGCACACACCCATGGCTTCACTTCTGCCAAAGGGGCTTTGTGTGAATGTGTTTGTGTGCATGCACCGATGGCTTCACTTCATGCTGAAGGGGCGTGTGTGTGTGTGTGTGTGTGTGTGTGTGTGCGTGTGCATCCATACATATGCACCTGTCTCTAGTTCCCAGCCACAGACTGTCGAATGCCTAAGATGAAGACTTTCCTTTACTCATGAGGATTGAAGCCCCAGTGTTCCCTGCCAGCTGGAGAAATTCTTTACCAGCATTTTCTGATCTGTGAAGTGAGTTGAAATTGGGCTGCCCCTCCCAAGGATGCTGAGGCTGGTCACTTACTGCATATTTTAAAAAATTTGTGTATTTATTTAAATATTTTTATTATTATTTTTTGAGACAGGGTCTCATTCTTTTGCCCAGGCTGGAGTGTGGTGGTGTGATCATAGCTCACTGCAACCTCAGGCTCCTGGGTTCAAGTGATCCTCTCACCCTAGACTCCTAAGTAGTTGGAACTACAGGTGTGTGCCACCACACCCTATTCATTTTATTATTTGGTAGAGATGGAATCCCACTATGTTGCCCAGGCTGATCCTAATTGTCTGGCCTCAAGGGATCCCCTGCTTCAGTCTCCCAAAGTCTGAAATTACAGGTGTGACCCACCCATGCTCCTGGCCCATACTGTGTTAATACAAGTAAACAGATTCATCGCCTGTTTGTTGCCCATTTTTTTAGAGTCTTAGTAGGGGTAGATAATCTTTTTTTTTTTTTTTTTTTTTTTTTTTTTGGCTGGAGTGCAGTGGTGCGATCTTGCCTCACTGCAACCTCTGCCTCCCAGGTTCAAGCGATTCTCCTGCCTCAGCCTCCCAAGTAGCTGGGATTACAGGCACCTGCCACCACACCCAGCTAATTTTTGTAAATTTTGTTTTTTTAGTAGAGATGGGGTTTCGGCATGTTGGCCAGGCTGGTCTTGAACTCCTGACCTCAGGTGATCCACCCACCTCTGCTCTCAAAGCGCTGGGATTACAGGCATGAGCCACCGTGACTGGCCCATTCATCTTTTAAAAATGGATTAAATTTTTTAGGAAAATCCAAAGTCATTTAGAAGCCAAACTGGTAAATAAGGTTGATGACATTCTCTGTGGTGGGTTTACATGGTGGAATGGCTGCCTTCTAGTCATTTACGGTGACTTTCAGGCAATCTTGTTCAATCTTGGTTGCCTCACCTACAAAATTGTATTGGATGATTCAAGTACTTTTCACCTCTAAACGAGCTCTGGAAGAGAGGAGACAGACTGAGACAGAGATGGACAGAGGCTGCTGAGGCTGACTAAGCAGTCAGCTGGGTTTTTCCGGCCCAGCACATCCCCTCCCCTGCAAGGAGTACCTCCAACGTCATGAGCGATGGGGGTGATCCCAGCCTGCCGAGGTGACCACATTGAATCTTTAAGGTCTGATGTGTGTTCTAAAAACTCAGCAGTATGGCTTCATCACTCTACCTCCTACATTCAAGCAAGTGAGTAAATAGAAAGGGCTCTGAAAACCTCACAAAGATGTTGTTTACACAATCAAGGCCATGCAGAGTGTCAATTAACCAGACATATTTGCCACATTCCTCTTTTAGTGTGAAGTGGAGTTTTTGTGCTGTACCTTCCAGAGCGGAAAAATGGTATCAAACATTTTAGGAGGATTTTAATAGCACTACTGCAAACCAAACCAAAACCAAATGTAGATACTTAAAAATATATATATTTAAGAATTAACTCATGCTTACATAGCCCTCTCCATGTGCCAGACATCATTCCAAAACTGTATGACTGTTACCTCATTTCATCCCCATTAGGATTCAGTGAGGCTGGTGCTGCAGCCCATTCTACAGACGAGCACACTGAAGTGTGGAGAGGTTACTCTCTGCCCCGAGATGCTACGGGGTGTGGCAGTGCTCAGACACAAACTTAGCAGGCTGGCTCGGGGCCCTGTGCTGTAACTGTCATGCCAGGCTGTCACCCTGAAATGAGTCACACATGCCACCTGTGTGCTCTGCCTGTGCTGACCACGGGGTGCTCCAGTTAACTGGGCTTTATCATTGCTCCTTCTCCTCCGTCTCCAGCAGCCTCATGCTTGTGCAGGTCGGCGGTGACAGACAATCCACAGATGAAGGGCTGAGTATACCTTTGTGGGCTTCACAAGGGAGCCCACAGAGCAATGAGGGGGGAGTTCTATAAGTGACTTCATTAAATCAAGTATGGTGTGGACTTGAAACGAGGGAGGAGGGAGTGGGGAGGAAGGCGGTGCCCAAGGACACAGGTCCCTGCTCAGAGCCTTTCCAGTGGGGTAGGGGGATGAGGGTGGCATTCCACTTCAGGGCTTGCCATCCTGATTTTGCTGGGATTGATAATGACCTTGCTGGGAATGGCTTTACTGGAAGCTGGCTTTTCCGGGAAAGAGACCGACCAGCTAGGATCTTGCTTGCTTGGACCTGCCTGGACAGCTCTTACCTTGGGGGCGCCATGGTTAAGAGGTTTGTAAATTTGGGAATTAGGCAGACCTGGGTTTGAGTTCCAGATTAGCCACTGACCAAGGGGGTGACCACGTCCAGTCTGAGTTTCAGTTTGCTCATCTGTGAAATGGAGATAGTGGTCCCTGCCTCCAAGGAGTGGTGTCAGGATTCAATGCAGTACCCTGCCATATGCCCTGGCATGCAGGGGTGCTCAGCCACTCCCTCGGTCCAGTGGCCACCCTGCCCCAGCCTCCAGGACTCCTCAGCACCTGCTGGCCACCGGGCTCCTTTAGGCATTGAGAGAAGCTGCACTGGGACCCATGCTTGGATCTTCTTCCTTCCTCCTCCTCTCTGTGGACTAAGAAGCTTTCACGGATTCCCCATGGCAGACGAAAAAATGACTGTGATCAGGCCCCTGGGATGTGTTCTTGCAAGCATTGCCAAGTGGAATTGAGAGGGCAGGAAGAGAGAAGACAGAGAGAGAGAAAAAAGAAACTTCCTTGTGTTGGTAAATAGAGTTGATGTGATCTGTGAGCCACTGGGGACAGTGGCTACAGAAGATGCAAATGTCACGCTCTTTGGAGTACCTTTGACTGGCTGCCTCCTCTCCACGCATGCAGGCAGAGGATGTGCTGCCGGAGCAAGTGCACCAGCTCAAAATGGTGAATAAATATTGATCAGATGTGGAGCTGAGCTGAAGGGAATGTCAACACCGATGGGAGGTGGGCAGGCATGGGGTTGCCCTGTCAGGCCTGATGCAAAAGCGGAGTGGGCTTTGCTACCTCGGGCTCCTAGGAGATTCCTCCAGGGAGAGCCCCAGGAGGGTATGAGTTCTGAGCCACCTCGATGTTTTCTAAGTAGAGCCACTTCTCCTTTGTGTGCTTTTCTGTATAGAGAAAAGGCTGGCAGGGGCTGGGCGTGGTGGTTCACACCTGTAATCCCAGCACTTTGGGAGGCCTAGGCGGGTGGATCACCTGAGGTCAGGAGTTCAAGACCAGCCTGGCCAACATGGCGAAATCCTGTCTTTACTAAAAATACAATATTAGCCAGGTGTGGTGGTGTGTGCCTGTAATCCCAGCTACTCAGGAGGCTGAGGCAGAAGAATCACTTGCACCCAGGAGGCAGAGGTTACAGTGAGCTGAGATCACGCCACTGCACTCCAGCCTGGGCAAAAGAGTGGGACTCCGTCTCAAAACAACAACAACAACAAAAAGTTTGGCAACGGGGTGAGAGTCTGATGACATAGTAAAGTCATTTCTTTTCTCAAGGAGTCTGGAATATACCAGAAGGAGTATCAGGGGATCCAGGTTCAAATGCTGGCTTTGCCATCCAGCAGCTGGTGACATCAGCTAGGTCACTGAACTTCTCTGAGCCTTGGAAAGTTTGCTCTAGGTCAGGGATGGGCACACTTTCTCTGTAAAGGGCCAGATGGTGAAAATGACAGGCCTTGTGTGCTATGCCATTTCCATTGCAACTAGCAACTGTTCTGCTGTAGTTCCAAAGCAGTCATAGGCAATGTCAATGACTAGGCATGGCTGTGTTCCAACAAAACTTTATTTACAGAAACAGGCACAGGCCAGATTTGGCTCATGGGCTGTAGTTTGCCAACCCCTGCTCTAGATGACCTCTGAGACCAAGCTGTCCACCCCAGGCAGTTGGAACTCTGAGGGTTTGCAGCGGGGAGTGACTGATGGGTGACAGGGCTGAAATCATCCTTAAGTTGGAGGAAGAGAGAGGGCACACTGGCCCATTGTGCAAAGGGAGGTGAACTCACATGGGAGTTGGTGGAGGAGAAAGCTGGGAGGAACCGTCCTGCATGCGGTCCAGAGGTGCAAGGAGAGAAGGCAGGTAGCCTGTGGACCAGGCACACATAGGTGTGGGCTGGAATGTGGGGACTTTGCTTGCCACTGTGAGATTGTACTCTGATCAGGGGCATCTGGTAAGCAGGGCGAATGGGGCTGAAAGCCAGCCACCCTCAACTCACCCATCTGTGCACCCAACCTGGGCCTCAGCCCCGAGGAGGGGGCATCATTCTCTAATTTGCACCAAGGTTTCTCTGTGTGCTTGCGGAGAACTTGTGGCCAAGAGCAAATGGAGCTGCCACCCCAGTGGCTGGGGAGGGGACAAGGGTCCTGAGTGCACAGAGAAGCCCCTGAGAGCGCTGCATGGCTGTGGGCAAGTCACTTACCCTCCCTGGACTCTCCTGCCCTCATCTTCAGAGGGAGAGGTCAGAGGGGCTGCTCCCCAACCTTCCCTCGGCAATGGGATTCTGTGATTCTGTGACTGGCAGCCATTCCTGAACTCACCGGCCTGGGGAAAAATGACTTGAAAGGAGGCAGAATTCATCTCCCTTTCAGCAAACACCGCCACATGCTTGGTTGCTTCAATTTTTCTCTGAGCCTCTAGTCCAGAGCTGTGGACTGCCACCTTAGAGCTTGCTCTGTGCGTGGCACCTTACACGCTGGCCTGTTCCCACTCCTTCAAGACAGCATTTCTTGGGAAGCCAACCTCTGGGGCCATGTGAAGCAATGACTCAGCCCCCGCCTGGCCTCCCTCCCTGGAGGAGGGCACACTTGAGTCACCACCTTGACCTAGACACTGCCCAGCATCAGAGGTCATGAAGTCTCCTACGCATGGACCAACCACCCTGGCAGAAAGTGACTAATCTCATCAAACATCTCTGTGGGAGGTTTGCACAACCACCGTGGTGAGCGTGACTGCGTGTGTTGAAGCTCTTACAGCCAGAAGAGAGTCTTCCAGGAAAAACTCTTTGATTTTTTCCAGCCCAGCACAGTGGACTGACCCCGCCCCTCTCCTTCCCTGCCCACCAACACACAGGAGGCTCACAATGTAAGATGAGGTCGCTGCTCTCATCCTACTCCATTTAATAGTCAGGGTCCAGCCTGGTTGGTCAAACAAATCCTTGTGGAATGACCCCGCCTGGCCCAGTCTATCCTTCACTTTTATCCTCAGTGGAAGATAAGCCTTTTTCAGGGGCCCCAGCAACCTGAAATTACTCTTAATTCTCGTTTTGCTAGAAAGCTGGCTGAGTGGGAGGCTGCAGTGACATGAGGGATCTGTACTAAAATATCTTATTCTGGGAAATGTATTTCTGGTATTTCTACCTGGAGTGCGTGGTGGTGATGGGGGCTGCTGGAATAACCTTTTCTTTCAAATGGAGGAAACTTGATCTTCTTCACAACTGGAAATGGTCCAGGGGTGCTGTGGTCCCAGGTGATGACAGTGATGACCTAGCCCGACCCCTCAAACTCCCCCTCCTGCATCTTGATATGAAGTCCCAGGGCAGCCTTGGAGAGGACAGGTCTAGAAAAAGCACCGGGCAGTCTGAGAAGTGTTTGTGGAAGCAGCCACACTGTTGGGTCCCTGCTGTGAGTGGGAAGTTGGGCTGAGCTGGCCCCGTGAGCCTCCTTCCTTTTTGGGCATTGGTTGGCAGGACTAGGAAGTCCACACCACCCAGGATCTGCTTCGCTGAGTCTGCACCTTGCAAAGGATCCCATCAGAGATAAAGCCCTCCTGGGGAGGGCTCTGTTTAGGGCCAGGCCCTGGGAGCATCCACAGAATTAAATTAGACAGTGGCAGGACAGTGGGGGGACGCAAGGAGGGTACTACTCATTCGGCAACCAACATGACTGATGGAGTGATTGATTTCTGGCAGCAAGATGAGTGCTCCCAGGGATCCCCCTGAACAGGAGTCTCTCTCGGGGGATCCCTAAGGATTCTCTTTGCCCTCTGCAAGCCCCCTGACTTCCACCCTTGGAGCCAGCTGCCCCCGGGACTCCTCCTCTTTCTCCTCTGCTCGCCCCACCCGCTGTGGTCAGGCCGGGACTACCAAATACTTGAGCGTGCACATGTAGGATTTAGACGACAGGTGTGGGACTCTGGGTATGATACGTGCATGCTGATTAGGTCACCCCTAGTTGCTGTGTCCTGTTAGAAATTCAGCGTGGCACAGACTTGGAATCCAATCATTCTCTTCTAGGAATTCCCTCTTTCATCCTTCCTCGTTACAGCCTCTTCCGCCTGGCTGGCTTTCTGTCTTTCGCCTTCTGCTGCCGGCGTTGTGTGCAGCGTTTGCAGGCCCTGGAGAAGGAAACGGGCTTTATCCTCCCACATCCTGTGCTTCGGGTCAGGATTGCTCTTCCTCTCGGCTGTCTGGACCCAACTGAGCATCATTTTGGGGTATCCATCCACCCAAAGCCCCTGAACGAACCTGCTCTCTGGGTCCATCGTGATCATTCCATCTTCTGTTTCCCACTGTCCAGGCCAGGCTCTTACAGGGTCCTCTCCCCTCCTGGGGAATGGAGTCGAGAGAAGGAACCCGCTAGGAACACACTAGCATGTTAGGTGGCCTCACTCTACCCATGTAGTTTGCCTGAATATTGTTACGTATTTTTTTCCAGTTATTAGCCTCTTGGAATTCCGCTGTGCATTTCCTGGCTTCTTTCCATCAATCTGGGGCAAAACTCCCCTCGTTTGAATTAATTGGGAGGTTTTCAGGGAGACTCATTTAAATGAATTAAAAAATCTGAATTATACAATTTTGCTTAAACAAAGAAATGTACTATAATCTGTTTCAAGTGGAACCCAACCCTTATGAGGCCTCCCTATACAGCCTCCATTTAAGGCCTCCATATAAGGCCCTCCATGGTCTGGCTCACTACCTTTCTGACTCCTTCTCCAGCTGCCCTCTCCACCCACTCTGCTGCAGCCACAGGGGCTTCCTGGCTGTTCTTTGCACGCCCCCAGCCGATTCTCACCTCCAGGTCTTTGCAGTGGCTGTTCCATCTACCTAGGATACTCTTTTCCTAGTCAATATCATAGCTAACTCCCTCACTTCCTTCAGGTCTCTGCTCCAACATCAGCTAATTAAAGAAACCTTCCCTCTCCAGGGAACCCTTTCCCCCCACTAGTTTAGGACTTCCTAAATTTTACTTTTCCAAAGCACTTACCACCTTCCAACAGACTACATATGCATACATGTTTACCTGTGTACATATGTATGTGTGTCTGTGTGTATAATTGTTTATGATGTACTTCCTTCTACTAGAATGTAAGCTTCGAGCAGGCAAGATCTTCCTCTGTGTTTTTCTTCACACCTCTATCCTTAGCCCCTAGAACAGTGCCTGGCAGAGAGTGGGACTTCAGTAAATGTTTGTTATTGACTGAAAGAAAGTAGGCATGGAGTTTCGGTGGGTCCTGGGAGAGTGTTCAGGTAGAATGTGAGGAAAAATGGGATGGGGAGAGGAACAGAGAGGATTTTGAATTGGCATATCAAAGCAGATCGCAGGGAGTGCTGGCCTTAGACAGCTTTTTTGTATTGCTGAATCAAGGCCACACTGCCGTGCATGAACAGCAGAGCCGAGACTAGAACCCTAGACTGTATTTCTGAGTCCATTCCTCTCCAACCTTGGAAAATGGTTTCTTCTCTTAGTGGGTTCTGCACATACCCTACAGTCCACTTTGATTAATTTGCTTAGCAAACTCTTCTCTTGTCAGTAGAGCAAAGGGAACTTGCCATGGAAGCACAGTGGGTTTTGACCCAATAGGATTTGAAGGAGGGTGTTTTGGTGAGACGCTCCAGGGTGGGGGTCTGGCTATTGTGGGAGACTTGGACATCTGCCGAAACAAGTTCAGTTGAGTTCCTCTGCAGAAAGCCTGTCTTGTAATCAAGCTCGAAGCCGTCTAATTTCTTCATCCTGTCCCTCCAAATAACTACATGTCCTGGTTTACCCAGCCTCACCCTCCTACTTAAAAAAAAATGATGTTCCAGCGCAAAAATACCCTGCATCTATGTCTCTTTCTGAATTTGCACCAGGCCTGCATGCTTGCTGTGTGCTGTGGCCACTCGCTGTCTCGGTAAACAAATGGGGAAGTTATCCAGGGAAAATCTCCCCTGTGCTGAGCCTGGGCCTGGAAGGGTTAAGAGGAGCCTCGGGAGGGGGAGGGGGCAAAGAGGGGAGCAGGTGGGTTTTATTTACTAAGCGGGGGCTAATGATCACAGAAAGAGGAATATCAGGTCTTGCTTGTTCAGGTATATGATTGAGAAAGGCCATCAGCAGAGGGAAGAGGAGCTTGTCAGAAATCACCAGGCGAGATCAACAGCTGCCTCTTGAAATGGTAAGGAAATAGATACAACCTCAAGAGGACAATGAAATTCAAAGATTCCAGTGTGCCAGGGTGAGCGAATATCACTTCATAAAAGATCTACTCGGGCAAGCAGCCTCCTTATAGTAATTGTCTTTCTCCAGCCATTAGTGACAGGAGTGCAGGACATTGGTTGAAGCCAAAGGTCAGGGGTCAGAAGCAAAGGGAAAGGATGAGACCAGCTGAGTAAAATTTCCAGCTCCTCCGCCTCTGGGGAGGGGCCACACAGTTGCTGACTTTTTTTTTTTTTTTTTGAGACGGATTCTTACTCTGTTGCCCAGGCTGGAGTGCAGTGGCACGATCTTGGCTCACTGCAGACTCCACTTCCCAGGTTCCAGCAATTCTCCTGCCTCAGCCTCCCGGGTAGGTGGGACTACAGGCATGTGCCACCATACCTGGCTGATTTTTGTGTTTCTAGTAGAGACAGGGTTTCACCACGTTGGCAGGCTGGTCTCAAACTTCTGACCTCAAGTGATCCACCCGCCTCGGCCTCCCAAAGGGTTGCTGACTTTTAAAGACAGAGGAGAAGGGAGGAACCAGGAACAGCAAGCCTTAAGTTTTCTAAATTTACTTAAATGATGCTTAGGGTATATAGGACACCATGCTGCCGTTCCTGGGGAGGGGGAGTCTAAAAGGGCCTGCAAATGGTCCTGCCTGGTAGAGAGAGGAACTTCAGTGAATGTTTGTTGATTGACTGAAAGTAGGCATGGAGTTTCAGCGGGTCCTGGAAGAGTGTTCAGGGCAGCTCAGTTGAATTGAGGGGGCCACAGGCATTTTCTGTTTTCTATACTCCCATTCTGCAGTGAGGGGACAATGGTGGGTATATATATGTGATAAATGCACACACACAGAAGTTTCTCCTTGGCAAACATAGAGGTAGGTGGAATTGTTTATTCATTTACAATTCTCTGAGCCAAACCTTGGGTTCCTTTGGGAGAAGCTGATTGACTAACAAAGGGAAGCGGGCTAGAAGTGACTGGGCCATAGAGACTAGACATCCTCCTTCTGGCCCCGCATTGACCCGGTTGCAGTGGCATGAGGTGACCACAGGGCCCCGACTGGGCCTGACTGAGGGTTGGGGAGCCCACTCTGCTGGCGGATGCTGCCGCCTGGGTGCCTGACCTCTCGTGTCAGATGTCGGCCGACATCATGCCTGTCCTGAGCCATCTTCTTCAATGGCCCCATGATGCCATTCTTCCCGTGATAATTTGTAACTAGTGAAGAATTTTGCCAAGCCTATCATTTGGGCTTTAAAAAATGCCGTTGATTATTTGCACATGAACTCAGAGTAATCAAGGGAAGAATAGACAGAAAGAATGAGGCATCCACAGAGGCGGCTGATGAGAGGGCTTCCCCCTCCCTTTCCTGAGCTTCCCTGCGTGGGTGGAGATGACCCCATATAACATGGACTGGATTTCGGGCATCACAACCCTCCCGCTAGGGTCCACGATGTGCCTGCCCTCAGAGTTCTGCTGAAGTGGCTGTGCCCTTGAGGTGGAAGGCAGACAGAGGGCAGAGGGGCCCTATCCAGCTCCTCATCACTGAGAAGCAGTTGTTAGCACGGGTCCTGGGAGCTCCAGCACTTGGCTGGCTGTTGCCCAGGAAGAATGATTCCTTCTGCTGGATGCAGGGCGGGGGAGGAGGTATCTGCCTGGGAGTCAGGAAAACAAGGCTGTGGTTTCTGCCTGGTCTAGGTCACTTGCCTTCTGTCTGCCTCAGTTTCCTCTTCTGTCAAATAAGTGGTTTGGACCGGGTGGGTGTCCTGGCAAACAGCTCCAGGGGATCTAGAATGACTGGGCCAGGTAAGGTATGGATGGGCAGCTTATGAAACTGGGCTGTCTCAGTGTGGACCAGCTCAGTCTTTGGGTCCCTCAATAAACTCTAACTATATGACCTTTGGAAGCCACTTAACCCTATAAGCCTCGATTTTTCCCTCTGTAAAGGGGGTTACGTGACATTTGCTTTGGAGAGTTGGGGGTATTGAATGAGCTAATGCACATTAAGTGCCTAGTGCAGGGCCTGGTATGGAGTAGGTCTTAAAAAATAGGTTCCCTTTTAATTTCCTTTATCCCCATGTCCTCTCTGCCTATGCTTGCATTCTTCTCATTCCGTTGCTGAACCAAATTTGAGAGTTGGAAAGCCGTGTGAAGAGACTGCAATAGTTTGATTCCCTGTGTAAATGTGATGACTGGAGGACATTCTAACATTCTACTCTTGGCTCCAGTGGGGTTTGCTATCAGTCACAGCCACTTCATGAAGGCTTGCATTGTTCAAAAGCTCATTCTGGAAGACAC